>NW_017852933.1:1284743-1605929 GCF_000001405.40 Homo sapiens | reverse complement strand
AAAAATTGACAGAAGAGTTGACTGAGAGCACAGTGAATGAAAAGGAAGACTATAAGCCAGTGCCATATAAATGCTTACTGTTGGAGGTATGCTTCTATGGAACACGGGTTTGCTCTCTTGCCATATGACATTCACATATTCAGCCACCTGGAACACTTCCTGTCAGTATGTGTGAAGTATCATGTGTGGTCAAAATTGTCTCAACAGTCATTTTCCACACCAACTGGCAAACTAACACTAAAAGAAATCAACAAGTATTGCTTTTTCAAAAGCCTAAATCGGCTGAGTGCGATGACTTACACCTGTAATCCCAGCACTTTGGGAGGCCAAAGCAGGCGGATCACCTGAGTCAGGAGTCCGAGAACAGGCCGGCCAACATGGTGGAATCTCGTCTCTACTAAAAATACAAAAATTAGCTGGACGCCTGTAATCCCAGCTACTCAGGAGGCTGAGGCAGGAGAATTTTTCCCTGTAACCGGGAGGCAGGGGCTGCAGTGAGTCGAGATTACACCACTGCACTCCAGCCTGGGAGACAGAGCAAGACTCCATCTCAGGAAGACAAAAAAAAAAAAAAAAAAAGCCTACATCAAGGAAAACAGAACCAAAACACCAGGGACAAAATGGTACATAAGAGGCAAAAAAATTTTCACCAAAATTATTCAGATGAACAATAATAAATGTGCCTGCATCTGAAGATGTTCTAAACCTTCATTTAAGCAAGAAGCAAGATCAAGATCTGTTCCGTCAGTTACCTGGAGTCTGTCATCTTTCTGAATAGGGGACAGAATCACCTCAAATTTAACTAATAAAAATTTATGACTTGGCAAACACCCCAGGTATTTTTATTGACTAACAAATCAGCTATGACAATCTTAGCAACAAATCAAGTTATGCTATGGGGTATGTCCACACTTCCCTGTTCCCTCTACAACAGGAGAAAATCAAATTTTTCCAACATCCTAACAAACTGTTATTGCCTGTAACCAAATGTATCACAGTATCGTCTACCAAGGCGTTACATCCTGAAACTTTCCTACAAAAAGCACAGCTTCAAAGAAACCTTGCAAGCTTTCTTGTAAGCTCCTCCCTTCCCCCATCGCCCCTCCCCAGAGCCAAGAAATAAAGCACTTGAAAGAAACAACATGGATAATATTTATTAATAGCTCATGTACATATTCCATAACTACATAAGCCATTTGGCTTCATACCTGTCAGCAATGAAGTCAGCTGGCCCTAGCACGTGGCTGCGACTCTTCTCTATTTATTTAGAACTACAAACTACAATTTACACTTTTCCAAAAGCTGTAGGACTATTTGGGAAGGGCACTTTATTCTTCTAAAAGGTTACTAAATTCTCTTATATACTTATACTGATCACAATACTGAAAAATAATAGAAAATCCATTGTCATTCATTTACCACCTAATTTGTTAGATGCCAGAAAATCAAATTTCACACATTTCAATAAAAAGGCAAAACTAAGCATGTCAATCATAGGAAAAAAAATACTTAATCAACTAATTTTATTTAAAGCACTCACAAACTCTTAAGTGGTACAAGACAAGTCAACGCTGTTTATCGAACAATATTTTTTTTTACGACTAAACATCTCAATTCTAGACTCAGGCACTAATTATTAAAGTCATCTAGTTATATACACCAATTCTCAACAGACACAGTTTTTTTTGGAAAGGCATATTAAACAGACTAAGATGTGTACTACCCATTAGCCAAAGATAATTTTATTGATTTTTCTAACAAGTCTTCAAATGTTACATTCTAACATCTTAGCAAATTATTTCCAAATACTGCTGGAATTACATGTAACTATCAGGAAACAAAAGGGCTTCTCAACAACTTGTGCGTTCTACATTATCTGGCCAGTTTCCGGACAATTATAATACAATTGTGCTCCAAAGTAGGAGAGTTCCATGAATCAATTACCCCTAAAATATATTTCTGTATATTTAAGGAGTTCTAAGCATTGGGTTAAATTCCAAACAGACTCTGAATACAAGCATTTATTTAGTAAGAGAGGTTAGAATAAATCAATCCTAAATTAGGCACAGCTGCCCTCCCCCCATTGATCAAAAAGACAGGAAATTACATTTATTTAAAAAGTTAATGTTCCTAATATATTCAAATCTAACTAAGCCCCAAAACGGTCTGACATCAAATCCTCCATAAAAGAGGAAATTCTCTAGACTTCTAAGTGGGTGCCCAGAGTTCACTCAAGTGTCCAGGTATGAATTACGATTCACCAGAGTAACCGGCCTTGCACTTAGGGAAAACTTCCATCGCCCAAGACCAGAGTAGGTCGATCCCATCAACAGTCACACAATCTCATCTCACGCTCCACTAATGAATGTTCTGCCTAAAGTCAGAGCAATGCCTTAGCTGGAGTTTTGTTTTGGTTTTTTCAATATTACCACGTGGGGGTCACAGAAAGGAACAGAGGTTAGAAGAGCTCTCACGTGGCGGCTGAAAGACTGGGGAACCGAGAAAGTGAATGAGTAACAGGGAGGGTCCTGGACTCTCAGGATCTCCCAACTCGGGGTCAGGGGGAAGCGGTAAGTGGAATGCCCCCCGCCCCCCCACCCCCGCCTCTTTCTCACCTCCTGGTCCCGACCCTAGGCCAGTGCCACCGCCGGGAGCCCCGGGTCTCGGCTTCAGCCCCGGGCTGAACAAGCAGGGAGGGGAGAGGCACTTAGGCCTCGCCTCCCCGCGGCCTTCCTCCCCCAGCCGGGGCGGAGGAGACCCAGGAAGCCGCGCCCGGCTCCCGGGGGTGGAGGGCCTAGGCCGCGCCTCCCAGCCCCGCGGCCCTAGGCCTCCGCCCGCCCGAGGCGGAGCCCGGGAGGTCGGGGCGGGGTCCCGGGCCGGTCACCCACCTGGGTTGCCAGTCATTCCAGCTCCGCGAATAGTTGGTGCCGTTGGTGCCGCCGCCGCCGCCGCCGCCGCCGCCGCCGCCGCTCAGCCGAGACCCCGGGGCTCTGCGGCTCATTACCTTCCCCGACACGATATGGCCAAGCGCCGCCGCCCAGAGAAGCGCGAGTCGCCACCCGAACCGGCCGCCGCCAACACCCCGCTCCGGCCCGGGGCTGAGAAGGAAGCCGAGAAGGAGGAGGAGGAGGAGGCGGCGGCGGGCGGGGGAAGAGGACGACCGTTTCGGGTTCCGCCTGAGCCCGCAGCACAGGACGAGGAGGCGGGAGCGGCGCGGTGAGAGACAGGCGGATGAAGGGGAGGCGACGTCTCTTCCAGGGCCCTGCGCGGCCCACGTCGCCGGGGCCCCCGAGGAGGAGGACGACGAGGAACAGGCGGTGGCGGCAGCTCCTCACGCTCACACGGCCACTGCTTCCCCGCCTCCCGGCTCCGCTCGCCGCGCCGCCGCTGTCGCACGGCATGCTGGGAGCGAGAGGCGGGGTCGGCCCCGCCGTGCCTGCGGAGAGAGGCGGGTCCTGTCGGCGGGGCGGGGCCGATAGCAGGCCGCCCCGCCCCCCACGGCCCCAGGCTCTTGGACGGCGAAGAGGTCTGGGCGTAGCGGTGACGAATCCTAAGACGGGATCTCCACTACTGCGGCCACACACTTTTCTCCCAAATGCTTCCCGGAAAGCACCGGAGGGCCAGGCAGTCAGGTGTAAACAGGCGTCCAATCAAGGACCTGCGGTGGGGGGTGGGGGGGGGGGGGCGGGCTGTTGCCCTGGGGTGCGCGCGCACACAGGCGCGCCCTTGGATTCACGTGTGCCAGTTTTCCCACTTTCTACGGGGCGGGGTGGAAAGTGAAAATAGTCAGATCGACAGGTGGATATCCACCTTCCCAACCTCCACCTGAAATGTGCCCATCGAGTCCTAGCACCTTTTACCATTTCTTCCCAATGAAAAAAACTAAACGATGGAAGGGAAGGGAGTACCCACGACCACCAAACCCTGTCCTCTGCAATGTGAAATGTGCTTTGAAGTCCTCTCACCCTGAGGCTTGCCCGCCTTCTGCTGGTGAAAGAAGCTGGGGGCTAGGCGCGGTGGGTCACGCCTGTAATCCCAGCACTTTGGGAGGCCGAGGTGGGCGGATCATCTGAGGTGAGGAGTTCCAGACCAGCCTGGCCAACATGGAGAAACCCCGCCTCTACTAAAAATACAAAAATTAGCCGGGCATGGTGGAGGGCGCCTGTAATCCCAGCTACTTGGGAGGCTGAGGCAGGGGAATCGCTTGAACCCAATAGGCCGAGGTTGCAGTGAGCCAAGATCAGACCATTGCAGTCCAGCCTGGAGAACAAGAGTGAAACTCTGTCTCAAAAAAATATAAGAGAGAGAGAGAGAGAAAGCAGGGAGGGAAGAAAAAGGAAGGAAGGAAGGAAACGAGGGAGGGAGGGAAGGAGGGAGGGAGGAAGGAAGGAAAGGAGGGAGGAAAGGAAAGAAAAGGAGAAAAGAAAGAGAGAAGGCCGGGCGCGGTGGATCACACCTGTAATCCCAGCACTTTGGGAGGCCGAGGCGGGCAGATCTCGAGGTCAGGAGATCGAGACCATCCTGGCTAACACAGTGAAACCCCGTCTCTACTAAAAATACAAAAAATTAGCCGGGCGTGGTGGCGGGCGCCTGTAGTCCCAGCTACTCCGGAGGCTGAGGCAGGAGAATAGCGTAAACCCGGGAGGCGGAGCTCCCAGTGAGCAGAGATCGCTCCACTGCACTCCAGCCTGGGCGACAGAGCAAGACTCCATCTCCAAAAAAAAAGAGAATCAGCTGGGTAGAGGAGACGTACCTGACTGTCTACCCCATGACATGCCCCATGCCCCAGGGAAAAAAATTCCCTAAAGCATCTGATGCATAACGTGAATGCATACACATTTTTTAAAAGGTGGGCCAGGATGCTCCTTAAACAAGTGCCTAAACCTTATCTGCATAAGGAGTCTTAACCTATCATTTTATGTTGCAAAGAAAACGTCTTTATATATCGCTTGTGCAATTAAAAATTGTTACCAAAAGTACTTGAAGATTACGAGGAGTTGACACCTCCACACACATGCATATCCCCTCCACCTTGGGCTCCTTGCTTATGGCCACCAATCCCTCACTAAGGGAGGATCTTGCCAGTTCTAAATGATGGGGACTACAAAAATTACAAAAATTACCCGGCGTGGTAGCGCGTGCCTGTGGTCCCAGGAACTCAGGAGGGTGAGGCAGGAGGATGACTTGAGTCCAGCGGGTGGAGGCTGCAGTGACCTATGATCCTGCCACTGCACTCCAGGCTGGGCTGCGGAGGGTAGGGAGGGAGGGAGAAGAAGAAAGAGAAAACGCGGGGCACCATGGATGGCTGACTCCTGTAATCCCAGCACTTTGGGAGGCCGAGGTGGGTGGATCACTTGAGGTCAAGAGACCAGCCTGACAAATATGGTGAAACCCCGTCTCTACAAAAAAATACAAAAATTAACCAGGCATGGTGGCGCACGCCTGTAGTCCCAGCTATTTGGGGAAGCTGAGGCATGAGGATTGCTTGAACCCAGGAGCCAGAGGTTGTAGTGAGCCGAGATCGTGCCACTGAACTCCGGCCTGGGTGACAGAGCAAGACTGTCTCAAAAAAAAAAAAAAAAATCATTTAGATGAAGTGATTCATGCCTGTAATTCCAGTGATGGGAGGCTGAGACTGGAAGATCCTTGAGCCTGGGAGTTATAGGCCAGCCTGAGCAACATAGTGAGACCCCCATCTCTACAAAAAAAATATTAAATTTTTTTTTTCAGACGGAGTTTCACTCTTGTGGCCCAGGCTGGAGTGCAATGGTGTGATTTCAGCTCACTGCAACCTCTGCCTTCCAGGTTCAAGTGAGTCTCCTGCCTCAGCCTCCCAAGTAGCTAAGATTACAGACACATGCCACCATGCCCGGCTAATTTTGTATAAAAATTTAAAAATTTTTAAAATTAGACAAGTTAGAAATTGCTTGAGCAACTGGACACAATCTCTGGTACTACCTTTCTTTTTCTTTTTTATTTTTTTATTTTATTATTATTATTTTTTGAGAAGGAGTCTCGCTCTGTCGCCCAGGCTAGAGTGCAGTGGCGCAATCTCGGCTCACTGCAAGCTCTGCCTCCCGGGTTTAAGCCATTCTCCCGCCTCAGCCTCCCGAGTAGCTGGGATTACAGGCGCCCGCCACCAAGCCCGGCTAATTTTGTTTTTTTGTATTTTTAGTGGAGACGGGGTTTCACCGTGTTAGCCAGGATGGTCTCAATCTCCTGACCTCGTGATCCGCCCGCCTCGGCCTCCCAAAGTGATGGGATTACAGGCGTGAGCCACCGCGCCTGGCCCTCTTTTTCTTTATTGGTCAAAATATTATCCAACTAGGCATATGGATGTGGAGGCATGCCTGTGATCCCAATTACTTGGGAGGCTGAGGTGGGAGAATCGCTTGAGCCCACGAGTTTCAGGCTGTGGTGAGCCATAATGGTGCCTCTGCACTCCAGCCTGGGCAACAGGATGAGACCATTTCTTAAGGGGACGGAAAAAATCACTCTGGCTGTGGCAGATTTCCTTAGGATAGATTCCGAGAAGTGGAGTTATTGGGGAAAAGGCTGTTAATGATTTTAAGTCTTTGGATACAGACTGTTAAGTTGCTTTCCAGGAAGTTTCTGCCAATGATAGTGTGATACTTTCTGTGTCCTCACACCACCCTTTGTCAACACTGAGTGTTTTTGAGGGTTAATTATTTCTATGAGAGAAGTTAAAAAAAAAAAAGACAACAAAGAAATTGCTTCAGGTGGGGCATGGTGGCTCACGCCTGTAATCCCAGCACTTTGGGAGGCTGAGATGAGAGAATCACTTAAGCCTAGGAGGTGGAGGTTGCAGTGAGCCTAGATCGTGCCACTACACTCCAGCCTGGGCAACAGAGTGAGACTCCATTTCAATAAAATAAATCAAATGAATCAAACGTGAGCAACTCTCATAACTTCCAACATTTTTTTCTTCTTCCTGTTGGTGGTTCTGCCTCTCTGGCTCCATTAGGATTTCCCTACTCCATTTCAGTCATGGGAGCCGAGTTTCTGTTCCTGAAACACACCAGGCCTTTCTGGCCTCTGGATTTTTGTACTTGCTGTTCCCGCCATCTGGAATGCCTTCCCTGCATTTGTTCCCATCAGGGTTGGGACTAGCAAAGTGACAGGTGATGGAGTTGCTGAGGGTGCAAAATTTAAGGAGGCACCTACTCCCAGGGTCATGCAAAAGCCAACTTTGCATTTGCACAATCCTGTGAGTGAGTCCCTCCTTAAATTTGAGGCTGTACTGTAATCCCAGCTACTCAGGAAGCTGGGGCAGGAGAATTGCTTGAACCTGGGAGGCAGAGGTTGCAGTGGGCCGAGATCCTGCCATTGCACTCCAGCCTGGGCAACAGGGCGAGAATCCGTCTAAAAAAAAAAATGAGGCTCTAGGCACCACATTTGCCCTACTCTGGCCCCTGCCCTGATTTTCCTGGCCTGTCTCATCTCCAGACAGGTTTGCTTTGACCTCCCTGCCCATAAAAGCTGGCCAGTGCCCTTTCCAGGTACTCTGTCACATACCCTATTTCTTTCCTTGGTAGTACCCAGCACCATCTGCAAGTATTGGGTTTCTTTGCACATTTAGCATCTGTCCAACCCTTAGTATATCAGCTTTGCAAGAGCAAAGGTCACATCTATCTCAGCCTACCTCCTCCATACTCAGCACACAGCACAGCACCTGACCATAGGAAGCACTCAAGAAATGGGAGGAATGAAATGGAAATTATCTAAAATAAGGATCAAGATTGATACAGAAGTATTCATCTCAGTTTTACTTATTAATAGCAAAACAAAAACAAAACACCTGGAAACTATACTAATGCTCAACAATAGGAAACTGATTAGGATGCAGTACATTCAGAGCTGAAATTTTCTGCAGCCATTACAAATTATATTTGTGAAGATTTTTTTTTTTTTTTTGAGATGGAGTTTTGCTCTTGTTGCCCAGGCTGGAGGGCAATGTCTCGATCTCGGCTCACTGCAACTTCCGCCTCCCGGGTTCAAGCGATTGGTCTGTCATTTTCAGACCCCACAGAAACACAGGTGCTCCTGCCAGGCCCCCGGGGACTGCCTCCAGGAGTCATTTGTAATGACAGGGTGCGTTCTGCGCACGGTTTCAGAGTCTGTCCAAAGGGCCAATGCTGGGGCTGGGGCAGAAACGGTCCAAGGCCTGTGAGCTGTGCAGCTTTATAGGCAAATGAAGATCGTTTACCCAGAATTGCCTGCTGGAGAGAGCATAGAGGAAGTGGCGGCAGCTTCACCAGTTCCAGGAAGCCCAGGCAGCCTGGTCCCCCAGGGTGCACCTGGCACAGCAGTTCGCACAGGGCCAGAGAGCGGCAGCTGACCGCTGCAACTACAGCTGGCCTGACACCGGGCACAGGTACCAGCCCAGCCCAGTCCCGCCCAGCGCAGCCTGCGGCCCCTAGCGGAGCCAGCACCTGGCAAACCTGACACCCAGCCTTGGAGCTTGGGCCCCCCTCTGCAGCTGGCTGGGGCTCCTGAGACAGCTTCTTTGTCGGAATCCACTCGGTACACACACGGTCCCTAACTTAGTGGCTGCCCAGTGAACATGGGGCTTAGTAGAACCAGTACCTTCCTCCCTGGCCCCTTCAAGTCTAAATATCCCCTGCTCTGAGTACAAGCTTCCACCTTCTCCACCGACAGACAGCCCCCACCATCTCCACCGACAGACAGCCCCCACCATCTCCACCGACAGACAGCCCCCACCATCTCCACCGACAGACAGCCCCCACCATCTCCACTGACAGACAGCCCCCACCATCTCCACTGACAGACAGCCCCCACCTTCTCCACTGATAGACAGCCCCCACCTTCTCCACTGATAGACAGCCCCCACCTTATCCACTGATAGACAGCCTCCACCATCTCCCGTGTCATCCCCTGGGGGGACTTGTAAAAGCAGTGGTGGGGGAGTGGGATGGAAACCCAGAGCTTCTGATCAGGCAGGTCGGGGGAGAGGGAGACAACACATCTGCACAGAACAAGGTCCCAGGGAGGCCGGCGCTGCTGGTCCAGGGAGCACCCCCCAGCACAGGCGCGTGCTTCCCTGATGGACACGTCACCGCCCTGGGCTCCAGAAAATGAATGTCTGACCCAGTGACCCCTGTCCTCACCCAAGGCCAACCTCACCCCAGAATGGGCTGGAATGCTGAGCCTGCCCATGCCGGCTCCAGATCCACCCGCCTCCCCACCATTGCTGGCCACAGAGAGAGGTCAAAATGGTCCGGAAACCCCAAGGAAAATGAAGCAGTTCCAGGGCAGGGAAGCAAAGGCAGTGTTTCCTTTTTTTTTTGAGACGAAGTCTCCCTCTTGTCGCCCAGGCTGGAGTGCAATGGTGCGATCTTGGCTCACTGCAACCTCCACCTCCTGAGTTCAAGCCATTCTCTCACCTCTACTTCCCGAGTAGCTGCAGCCTCTGCCTCCGGGGATCAAGTGATTCTCCTGCCTCCTGCCTCAGCCTCCTGCCTCAGTAGCTGGGATTACCGACACCTGCCACCACGCCCACCTAATTTTTGTATTTTTAGTTGAGACAAGGGTTCACCATGTTGGCCGGGCTGGTCTCGAACTCCTGACCTCAGGCGATCCACCAACCTTGGCCTCCCAAAGTGTTGGGATTACCGGAGTGAGCCACCGTGCCTGGCCAGGATGGTCTGCTTATAATGGCTCAATTTTGATGTCCAGTCTCTGCAGAGCACAAGGCCCCCGCTTTGGGCCAGACATACAGATGTCCCTGGGCAAGCACAGAGATGATCCCAAGGCCCTGGCCCCACCTGTCTGCTCAGTGTTGAATCAGGTTTCTGTGAAAACAAATTACTAACAGGCTGGTGTCACATTTTCAAATTCTGTCACCAGGCCTTGAACACATGTCTTTGTACTTTTTTCCATTTTTAACCGGGGCTGAGTTACGCCCAACCACACTGTCCTGGCTGGCACGGGGGAAGAGGTGTCAGCTGCTGTCCAGAATGGGGCTGACACATTCATTTTAAACAGGCCAGGAAGATGCAGATTTGGCAAGCTCTGAAATTTGCCGACACCCCAAGTCGAGGGTAAGCAGGAGAACCAGAAAAGGGCAGCTTCTCATGTGGTCAGGTTCTCCTGATGCAAGCGTCCTGGTGGATTTGGGTTTCCCAAGGGTCCTGACTCCAGGAGACCCCCAGGACCGACAGGAAGGGCCACCCCTCCCTCTGAAACTCTGAAGCCAGGCCACCCGGTGCTGAAATGCTGTGTGAACTCGGGAAAGTTCCTTCGCAGGGACTGAGCCTCCCTTTCCTGTCTCCAACAGACTGGAACACTGCCTCCCATTGTATGGGTGAAATACCTCGCGGACATGTCTTACGGCGCCCCATGAAAGCATCACCATTAATCTGACCAGTCACCGCAGCATTAGTATCTTCAGGGCACAGATGAAGCCGTGGGCACCAGTGATAAGGAGTTGCCACTGCTGGCTAAGTGCGGAGCCTCACACATCTGTGGCCCAGAAACCCACACCCCACTCCAAACCCTCTATAGCTCCAACAGTTATGCTAACAAGAAAAAGGAGTGAAAACCCGCTCCAGTTACGGTATTGTGGAGGTGGAGGACACTTGTGGCAGCCAATCCAACACCTCCATTTTATAGCTGGTGTAAACATAGTTCAGAAAGGTTGTCCCACTTGCTGAAAGTCACACAGCAGTTCCTGGGCGGCAAAGTGAGGACATCCAGGTCTCCTAAATCTCACCCTCGTGCTCTGCCCACTTGACTGGGCTTTTCAATCCTGGCTGTCAAAGAGAAGCACCAAGTCCACTTGGGCTCCTGGCCAGCATCCAGGCCAGTCCAACTCAACAGCAAGCGGAAGCAAATACCACACAATGAACTCGTTGAACAGACTCTGCGCTCAGGCTTAACCAGTGCACAGCCTGCACACCCGACAGGCGGATACAGCTGTTCCAAGCTAAGGCCAGGGCCTCTCCCCAATCCCAATGGGCTCTGCAGGTGCAGTGATGGAAGAATCCCTGGTGACAGGGAGCCCTTAGCTCTGAGCAGGACCTGAAGCCATCTCAGGGCTTGCACCGGTCCAGATGCTGCTGCACAAGTGCTACAGGGGCTCCTGCCCTGCCCTCCTCACCTGCCCCCTCACCTGTCAGGGATGTTTGATTCCTGGCTGGCCCCTCCCCTACCTGACCCCTGCCAAAGACCTACGCCACCCCAGGCTCCCAGCTCTGAAGCAAACGCCAGAGAAGTCAAGCGCCTGGCTGCGGGCCACACAGCTTGAGGGACTCAGAGCTCCAGGGACAGTGCCCGGGCCCTGCTCAGGCCTTCTGCAGAGGCTCTGGGCTCTTCCAGTTGACTCAGCTCACAGGGCCCCTACACGGTACCAGGTGAAGACACAGCCCCAAGAACTCCCAGGCTCTGAAGCCACACATGTGAGCTGTGGGCAGAATCCTGCATTGGCCTCCAGCAGCTCGAGAGCACAGGGACAAAGCTGGACTGGCCCCAGGGTCACCGTGGCCTTGGTTTTGTAGCAGCTGCAGTTTGAGCACGTACACCAAAAATAAAATTCTAAGCCCCCTAACTGACTGAAGGGACCCCTCCTATTGGCCAAAGGGATATTCCAAAGTTAACCTGAAAAACGAGCTCAGGTCATGATGGGAAGAAGGGTCACACAGGCCTTGTTATACCCCCTCCCTCTGGAATTCAGGTACAGCTGACCAGCACTAACATTCAAACACAGATCTTGGCCTGGCTCAGTGCCTCATGCCTGTAATCTCAGCACTTTGGGAGGCTGAGGTGGGCAGATCACGAGGTCAGGAGTTCGAGACCAGGCCGACCGACATGGAGAAACCCCATCTCTACTAAAAATACAAAATTAGCTAGGCATGGTGGTGGCAGGCACCTGCAATCCCAGCTACTTGGGAGGCTGAGGCAGGAGAATCGCTTGAACCAGGTTGCAGTGAGCCGAGATCATGCCACTGCACTCCAGCCTGGGTGACAAAAACAAAACAAAACAAAACACAATATTGGTCTCCACAACCTCCTGTCTTACCCAGATACTCCTTTCTATTGATTCCAGGTCTTTAGCTAATAACTCTTTCAACCAATTGTGAATCAGAAAATCTTTTGCCAGGCACGGTGGCCCATGCCTGTAATCCCAGCACTTTGGGAAGCCAAGGTGGGCGGATCACCTGAGATTAGGAGTTCAAAACCAGCCTGACCAACATGGTGAAACCCCTGTCTCTACTAAAAACACAAAATTAGCTGGGCATGGTGGTGCATGCCTGTAGTTCCAGCTACTCGGGAAGCTAAGGCAGGAGAATCACTTGAACCCAGGAGGCGGAGGTTGCAGTGAACTGAGATCACGCCACTGCACTCCAGCCTGAGTAACAAAAGCATCTCAAAAAAAAAAAAATATATATATATATATATATATAAAGAATAAAGAAATCTTTGAACCCACTTGTGACCAGGAAGCCCATCCCCACCTTGGAGTTGTCCCGCCTTTCTCGGCAGAACCAACAAATACCTTTCACATACTGACTGATGTCTGCCTGTAACTTCTGTCCTTGTACAAGGTATGAACTCCAGCTGTGGCCCACCCCCTGGGGCACATGTCCTCAGGGCCTCCAGGCCTTGGTCCTCACATTTAACTCCGGATAAATCTCTTCAAATATTTTACAGAGTCTGGCTTTCTCGTTAACAAGCAGCTCACACATATAGTGTCTCAGCAGTGACAGATGCTGGCCCACCCCGAGGTCAGGATGACTCAGCAGGGATCGAGTTTGCGGGCGTCACGCTCCAAGGCCCGGAATAGGAGGTTGGTGCTCATTCCTCACATAGTGGGCAAATCCTAGGGCAGGGGAGGGGCGGGCAATGCCAGAGAATGGTCCCCACCTGGGGCGGTCTGACGGCCAGGGATGCAGAGAAAGAGACGCCTCCCACGCTCCCGGAGGGCACGAGCTGTGGCCACCCCGGAGGGTCCGCCTTCCAGAGGGAGAGTTCAGGATTTGGCCACAATCAGGGAAGGAGACGCTGCGGGGGGGCCCTCCTGTTGGAAAAGGGCAGCGGCAGGAAGGGGGTGCTGCCACAGGGCCTCTGGGGAGCGCGCGGGCACACAGTACCAATCTGCGTGCATACACATGCCCTGTCCCTGCAGACGGGCCAGGCAAGGCCTGCCCATGGCCAGCCATCCAGGTGATGCTCCAGGGAGGGCCAGGCCTACTGGGGAGCAGAACCCTGTGGCTGTCCAGGATACCTGGATGTGAGTCTGGGAAGGATGGAGAAGGGTGGAGGAGCGCGAAGAGCCCCTAGGGGTTGCTGGGGAACACAGATGAGCCTCTGACCCACCTGTGTCCTTACCTGGGCCGACTGGGCCACCCAGTCTTGCTGACACCTCCCCAGACCCCTGGCACCCACCAGACTCCCCAGGCGTGGCTGTGTGCTCCCCTATGCCTGAAGACAAACGGTGGCCTCAGTGTAGAGGTGGGCACTGTGGCCCCTGGCTCCTGGCTTGCTCCTGCCTCAGTTTCCCCAGCTGTAAATTGGGGATTATCACTGGCTTCAAAGGCTGGAGTGGAAAGTGGTGGCCAAGAGGTGCCAAGAGGTGGTGCAAGCGTGTGCCCTACCTTGGACACCCCTCTCCAGGGGGTGGCTCTCACCCTGGCCTGGGCCCTCGGGGGTCTGCACAGCCCACCCTTCTGTGTGAAGGCGGCTGGTACACATTCCTGGGCAAGATTCTGCACATTCTGCTGGATTATGAAAGAGGTCTGTGACCCAAGGAAAAAGGGTCAGAAGTGCCCGTTAGGCTCTCCTGTGTGGCTCAGGTCATGTGCTTCTGTGAACTCGCCCTAGGGCCTTGCCCCGAATCCCGTGATGCAGCGTGACCTGCCCAGGCGCTGGCGGCACTTTCATGTCTGGCTGGGAAAGTCGGATTTCAGCACTAATCACTGGCTGCCGCCTGCAATGAGCCCACGGCTTGAGCTCTGGGGCCCACCCAGCTCCTTAAACACGCAGAACCTTTGCTAGCTGAGCCAGGGTCCCAGCTGTGGGGGGTTGGGGATGGAGGGGTGCAGGGATCCCAAAACCCAACCCGGGGCCAGGTTTTACACAGGCCTGGACTGAGAAGTGGGGCTACAGGCTACAGGTGCTTGATACCCCGGGGGGGCCCTGGAACAGGCCTGGACTGAGAAGCGGGGCTACAGGTTACAGGTGCTGGATACCCCAGGGGGGTGCTGGACACACCAGGGGGGCGGATAGAGGCAGCCAGGCAGCCTGAAGACCCTGGGGCAAAACACACACAGGCCCCCTCTGCTCTCTGGTCACTGCTAACTGGCCAACTGGCCTTTGAGTCCACTGACCACAGCTAAGCCCACAGCCATCAAAACCCACCCCTTACACCCTTCACCCTTTAGGGAGGGGCTCAGAGACAGTTGTGGCGATTCCTACTTCCACCCACAGCCCCCCGACCCTGGGCCTGTGCCGAGTGTGGGTGGGTGACATCATCTTGCACCCAGAGCTCCAGACTAAAGGAAACCCTGGCTCCTGTCTCTGGCTCTTCCCTCCCTCTCTTTGTTCCCTTGCTCCTTTCTTTTTGCCAAAGGAGAAGACAGTGAGGCTGAGGGCTGCTCAACATGCACAGTGAGCAGGAGATACAAGCACGTGGAGGGACGGTCACAGCCCGTGCAACTGGCACCTTCACACACGGAGGCCTGTGATTCCCAGACACCTGGCGCTGGGGCAAATCCCATTCCACAGCCAGAAACAGGCTCGGCAGGGCCAGGTGGATTTCTCAAAGCCTTGGTTGCTTTTGGCCTGACGCTAGCTGGACAATGTCTCAGCTCACAGGTTCCTAAACGCACACCCGCCCACACCAATCTGCTGAGGAGTGACAGCCATGGGGAGGAGACCCACCTCACTCCAGGGACCCTGGCACCGTCTCCCATGAGGCCAGGTGTCCTCAGCCACCCGCAGCCAGAGTCCCGCGAGACCGATGGACGGCCTGCCCCTGCGTGACGGCACGCCTGGGACTGTCCCAGCAGGCTCCCATGCTTCACCCAACTGGGACAGGGAAACAGGAGGGGGCTACTTCTGCTTTCAAGGCATGGAGGAGCTGTCTGCAGGCCACTTCCCGAACACCTATGCGCTTGGGGAACTGACTGAGACTGAGCCGGGGTATCTTCTCCACGATGTGGTGAGCCCATCAGGCCCTTCTTCTGAGAGCACCTCCCTGGAGGTGGAAGCCCCTGAGGCCCACAGCATCTTCTGAACCTGTGAGTTCCCACTTACTGAGAGCTCGCCTGGGCCAGTGCCAGTCCACGGCTGTGGCCGGGACTTTGAGTAGATGCTACCCTACTTGCTATGCAGAGCCAGCTGGGGCCCAGGGAGGTCAGATAAACTGCCCAAACCAAATCCAGGCCCAGCCAGAATCTCAACTCCAGCCTTTGCGCCTTCTGATAAAACCCAGCATTGCTTGAATTTCCAGTACACGCTGCCAAGTCTTCATCAAGCAATAAATAACCCACACAACCCTACTGTCATGCCAAGTTCCATATGGCCATCCAGAAAGAGACACATGGAGCTGGTTCCTCTCATCTTTATGACCCGTGAAAAGCGCACCAACACGAAGACACGCGTGAAAGGACCTCATCTCCTAACCAGACTGACAAGCAAGGGATTTTTTCCACTCACCGTCAGTGGGATGGTTCTAAGCACCGAGGCCAACCCATTTCACACGATTATTTCACAAAAAGAAACTTTCTGTGGGACGTGCCTGGGCGACTGAAAAGACAGCCAGCAAAACTGAGAACCTTGTTCGCAAATCCGTACCCTCTCCCAAGGCAGCCTCAGAGGCCCGAGGGCTGAGGATCCAGACCCGAAAGCCACTGTACCTTCTGTAGGATCAGGCTCAAGGACTAAGGGGGTAAAAGGTGCCCTTTCCCTTCCTAAGCAGAAAATTCTGGAACCCAACCTTATGTGTGATCATTTAAAAAAAAAAAAAATCAGCTGGGTACACTGGCTCACGCCTGTAATCCCAGCACTTTGGGAGGCCGAGGTGGGCGGATCACCTGAGGTCAGGAGTTCGAGACCAGTCTGGCCAACATGGAGAAACCCTGTCTCTACTAAAAAATGCAAAATTAACCAGGCATGGTGGTGCATGCCTGTAATCCCAGCTACTCGGGAGGCTGAGGCAGGAGAGTCACTTGAACCCGGGAGGCAGAGGTTGCAGTGAGCCGAGATCGTGCCATTGCACTCCAGCCTGGGCAAAAAGAGCGAAATTCCATCTCAAAATAAATAAATAAATAAATAAATAAATAAATAAATAAAATAAATCACTTTCTATGGCTTTTCACTGCTCCAGGAACAATGTCCACAGATCAAACGCCGAGCCTCTCCTTCACACCCTGGAGCGCCCATCCTGCCCACTGGTCCGGGCTCCAGGCTGCCCCCTGCACCTGTCAGAAGTCCCCCTACAAGGGCAGGGTCTCCCTTCCTGGGACATCCACTGCCCTTCTCCGAGCTGAAGTCAGAACGACCTGAGAATCAGCTTGGAGTTCTACCAGACTCAGCCAAGCCCACCTCTGCGACAGCACTCCTTTCAAGGGGGCACCAGCTGCAGGGAGTCTGTCCCTTACAGACCCGTGACCCCGTGACAGATGAATAAAGTACAGACACACAGATATTCTGCTCTGCCAGTCCAGCTGAGTGTTCCAGCCGCTTATAGGCTCCCTGCTGAGTCCTGTAAACAGTTGCTACTTGGCCCTGATCAGCTAGTCAGACGCGCATTTATTCAGTATGATTAATTAACAAAAGCTTGAGTCAACACCATTAGAGTGTAACAGACATTGTGGACTTACCGGGTAAAAAGCATTTAAGCACCCAGGGTCTTAAGATTATATGAGTAAACAAGCTAGCTAGGTAAACTACTCTGCCTTTCTTTTATTTCTATGTTTATTTGTTTAACTAAAGGTAAAGGGATCAGGCCGCCTTCAGCCAGAGCTAATTACCAAAGTTATGCCAACTTCTCGGCCTTCCAAGATTTGTGTCTATTTCTATAACTACCTCTAATATCTTTCCCACCAGAATGATTGAACCCCAACACACCTCCCTCTCTCAGCAGGGTCTGCCTGTTCAGAGAACACAACTTCTCCTTCTCGCCTTACACACAGGGGCAAGAATAGATTCACTCTTGCAGAGAGCACATCCCTTTCTGTTACTGAAAATCACTTTCCAAAAAAAAAAAAAAAGCAACACATACACACATACTCACCACATACACAGGTGGGTCAGAGAAAAAAAACAAGTACAAATGGCTTAGGGACATGAGAAGTGTGGCCCTAACTTTCGCTGAAAGGGATCCTATTAACATTAACCCTCACCTCTGGGTCAGAAGGGTTGGCACTCTAGAGCCTGCCTTGAGGCTTTACCTACTGGGACCAAAAGGACTGCTGGAAAGCTATTTTAGGCCGGGTGCGGTGGCTCAAGCCTGTAATCCCAGCACTTTGGGAGGCAGAGGCGGGTGGATCACCTGAGGTCAGGAGTTCAAGACAAGCCTGGCCAACATGGTGAAGTCCTGTCTCTGCTAAAAATACAAAAAATTAGCTGGGCATGGTGGGCACCTGTAGTCCCAGCTACTTGGGAGGCTGAGGCAGGAGAGTCACTTGAACCCGGGAGGTGGAGGTTGTAGTGAGCCGAGATCGCGCCATTGTACTCCAGCCTGGGTAAGAGCAAAACTCCATCTCAAACATAAAATAAAATAAAAATAAATAAATAAAAATACTTTTTAAAGCCCTATTACCACAAAATAAATCCAGGAACGTGTGACTTGGTACAGCCTCTTTGGAAGGCACATTAGCTATTACATTAGACTCCACACCCCGCCGGGTGCGATGGCTCATGCCTGTAATCCTAGCAAATTGGGAGGCTGAGGCACATGCCTGTAATCTAAGCTCCCGGAGGTTGAGGCAGGAGAATTGCTTAAAACCAGGAAGCAGAGGTTGCAGTGAGCAACGAGCCTGGGCGACAGAGACAGACTCTGTCTCAAAACAAAAACAAAAACAAAAAACAAAAAACCACATAACCTTTTCCCATTTGCACAAAGCTGGGAAACCCCAAATGCCCTCCACAGGGGTCTACGGGGGGTCGGGGGGTGGGGGCGGTGAGCACACTTGTTCCTGCCGACACAGGGAAGTCTTCTTAGCAGCTAAAGAGGGCAGCCTCTGCGTACTGCCTGGGAACATGGCAAAACCATTTTAGGCTTAAAAAAAAGGTGGAGAACAAGTTGTACATTATGATCTTTTAAATAAATAGGCCAGCGATATATTTGTAACAGAAGCAGCTCTGGAAGCGTACACTGTCAGCCACAGAAACTCTGGGGCTGGGGGGTGGTAAAGGAGGAGAAATGTGTCACCCAGGCAGGAGCTTAGTGGCACCATCTTGGCTCCCAAGTTCAAGCAGTTCTCCTGCCTCAGCCTCCGAGTAGCTGGGACTACAGGTGTGCGCCGTCACGCCCAGCTGATTTTTGCTTTTTTTTTTTGAGACAGAGTTTCGCCTTGTTGCCCAAGCTGGAGTGCAGTGGTGCGATCTCAGCTCACTGCAACCTCCACCTCCTGGGTTCTAGTGATTCTCCTGCCACAGCTTCCCGAGTAGCTGGGATTACAGGCATCTGCCACCACGCCTGGCTAATTTTTTGTATTTTTAGTAGAGATGGGGTTTCCCCATGTTGGCCAGGCTGGTCTCGAACTCCTGACTTCAGGTGATCCGCCTGCCTCGGCCTCCCAAAGTGCTGGGATTACAGGCATGAGCCACAGTGCCTGGCTGGTTTGAATTTTTAAATGATGATGAATTCATGTATGACTGATGTGATTTTTATTAGAAAGAGAAAACTAGGCAGCGCCCCATCCTATGTCTCCTTCCTGGTGGCCAATGAAGCATTTCCCACAACTCACTCCTGGCACCAACAGGAAGTCAGACACTCAGCACCCAGGGGCTGCTTTTTTTTTTTTTTTTTTTTTTTTTGAGACAGGCTTGCTCTGTCACCCAGGCTGGAGTGCAGTGGCAGGATCTCAACTCACTGCAAACTCCACGTCCCGGAGCATGCCTCAGACTCATAAGTAGCTGGGATTACAGGCGTGAGCCACTATGCTCAGCTAATTTTTGTATTTTTAGTAGAGATGGGGTTTCACCATGTTGGTCAGGCTGGTCTCGGACTCCTGACCTCGGTAGATCTGCCTGTCTTGGCCTCCCATAGTGCTGGGATTATAGACGTGGGCCATCACACCCAGCCAACAGGGATTCATTTTTTAAAGGTAAGAGTGCAGGCTGCATAAGCTATTATCCATGTCGTTACATACCAGGCGGGCATGTACCTAGGCGAGAGGGAGACTGAACCAGTGAAATTCTAATGACAAAAAAAAGAAATCAGTCATCCCCTACATTCACATGTCCAACGCCCAGCTGGAAGCCACAGGCTCTCCCCACTCCTGTCCTACGATTTTTCCCGGCTTTGACCTGCATGGTGGTGCGGCTGCTCCGCTCAGAGCCTCAGAGAAACCACACAGAGCCCTGCTGAGTCTTGCCCTCGGGGCATTCTCACATTTATGAAGAAATGCCTCCCCCTCCCCCTTCTCCCCAAAGTACGGTGTGGCAGAAAACAGCGCCAACAGGTCCTGCCAGTCAGAAGCCACTCCCCTGATTTCATGGCTCAAGACCCCAACTATAAATTAACCCTTCCCACCTTGAATGTGTACACACACTACTGAGATCCAGGCCGATCCTTGCCATGGGATGAACCTGAGAATTGCCAAGACCCGCCTTCCCACGCCACCCAACCAAATCATGTGGTATCTGGTACAAGTCATTTTCCCCCTGAAATCCCACAAGAAAACTATTTTGAGGCCGGGCACGGCGGCTCACGCCTGTAATCCCAGCACTTTGGGAGGCCGAGGCGGGCGGATCACAAGGTCAGGAGATCGAGACCATCCTGGCTAACACGGTGAAACCCCGTCTCTACTAAAAATACAAAAAAAATTAGCCGGGCGTAGTGGCGGGCGCCTGTAGCCCCAGCTACTCGGAAGGCTGAGGCAGGAGAATGGCGTGAACCCGGGAGGCGGGGCTTGCAGTGAGCCGAGATCGCGCCACTGCACTCCAGCCAGGGCGACAGAGTGAGACTCCATCTCAAAAAAAAAAAGAAAAGAAAAGAAAACTATTTTGAAAAGCAGTTCTCTCTGGCCTGGTGAAGAACACACCAGCACCATGCCCACCAAAATAGGAGCCCCATGGCTGTTTCCCAGAGTAACCTGGGACCCGAACCTCCATTCACTGTAACACAGACTGAATCTGCAGCCAAGCTCCGCTCTCTCACTACTGGGCAACCCTCAGGGGGGATCCCTTAGCCTAAACCAGCACCAGTCACTACCCGCACACGATTTTATTACTACTGTTTTCTTATGAGTCAGCCCGTGTCACTGATTCCTGACGAGCTGGTGTGGAGAGCAGAAATGAATAATTTTCTTTTTAACTGCAATTTCGTTTTCACCAACCAGTCAGCAATCGGAGCTTTAACAATAAACCGGTTGCTCAGTTACTCCACGTGGGTGCCACGCAAGAGGCTGGGAGTATTGCTCAGCGGGGCCAACGGGAGGCTGGCACTTGCCTGAACCGCTTAAGTGGGGGAATGAAATGCCCACCGAAGGGCAGGGCAGGGACCCTGCTGTCCCGTCACTGAAGATATTCCCAGCCTGTGGGGAGAAGTGTAAAAGAATGAATGAAAGAAACGCACTTGGTTTCTGGGACCAATGACCTTAGCCTAGAACTGCCGGGACGGTCCAGGAACGCAAAAATGTAGAGATGTGGGAGCCAGGGGCGTAGTGATGCAAGGATGCAGGGACCCAGGGACTACGACCTCCCAACCCCCGGCCCGCGCCCCGTACTCACGCACGGAGTGGCAGGCTACGAGCTTGGCTGCCTCCTCGGGCACCGGGCAGGTGGGGAAGAGCGGCTTGAGCAGGTAGGTGGCGAAGACCAGGGCCACGATGTACTGCGATGAAGGCCGGATGATGAGCAGCTCGATCCAGAGCTTGAGGAAGGCGGGCAGCGAGCCGTAGACGTCCAGCATGTAGGCGTAGTCGCCGCCCGATTTGGAGATGGTGGTGCCCAGCTCCGCGTAGCAGAGCGCGCCCACGATGGAGAAGACGCCGCACGCGGCCCACACCACCAGCGCCAGCCCCGGCGAGCCTGCCTCCTTGAGCACGCCCGTGGGCGTCACGAAGATGCCCGAGCCCATGATGGCGACCACGATGACGGCCACGCCCTTGAGTAGCGTGATGTTCCCCTGCAGGGTCACGCCCTCGCCCTCGCCTGCCGGCGCCGCGCCGTCCGCGCGCTTGGCGGCCATCATCTTCTCCCGCGCCTCTTCCTTCTCCTCGGCCACCGGGGCCGCTAGCGCGCGCCGCTTCGGGCCCGCACCCGCCATGCTCTGCTTACCGGCCGGGCCTGGGACACCCGGGAGCCGCAGCCGAGCGAGGATTGTGCGCGCCGCTCGCCGCCCGCCGCCCGCAGCTGCGTCAGGAACCCCGCCCGCGCCGCCTTTTAGGCCCCGGCCCACTGGCCCCGCCCACCGTCCGCGGCTCCTCCCCGACCCGTGGCCCGGCCGCGGCCCTCAGCCCCGCCCCCTCGACCCAGCTCGGAGCACGTGCGTCGTCCGGCCTAGCCTGGCAGGCGATTCCCAGGCCCGCGTGGTCCTCGAAGGCCCCCGTACTCCTGCGCCATGGAGACCCCGGCCTCGCGACCTACCCCCCCGGCGCCCGCGTCATCCCAGCCCGTCCTCCCGGGTGCGCCTGGGCGGGGCCTGGCAGTCAGGGCGAGCCCCTTCACCCACTGGCCCGCAGCCTCTCGTCAAGCCTGGGAGCGGGCAGTGCACCAGGGCTGGCCTGAGGCCAAGGATGGGGTTTGGGGTACCCCCCGAAGGGAACCTAGGCTCCTGTCCCGGATGGGCCGAGGGGATGGAACCGCCCCCACAACCAGCTCCTGGGGCACGGGGGAGGGATGAGAAGATGACCTGAGGGGAAGCTCCTGCAGCCTCCTTCCAGCCTGGGGGCTGCATCAATGTGGCTGGTGAGCCGCGAACTGAGACGAGGGAAGAACCGAACCGAGGCCACCCAGTAATTCCCATTGTATCCCAAAAGAATCTTGCCAAAGATGGCGATCCGGTGCCCGTAGCTTTGAGAAGCAGTAATAACACAGGCTTTGGGAAGCCAGCACTCTGCCTGAGCTCAATTTAATCAACAGAACCGGGGGTTCACCGGGAGCCATAAGACCCCCACCCCCAAATCTAGCTGGGAAATTCAAAGGCAGGCTTCAGTGTGAAGGGGCTTTAAAGCTTGTTATTCCTGGGGAATGCGAGAGGCATCTTAGCTAAAAAGGGTTGAGAGGTAATTTCAGTTAGAGGCGAGAGCAGGATGCCAAGGCTCCTAGGCCTGGAAACGGGAAGGAATATAAATACTGCCCCGAGATTGACCAGACTGGTGAGCAGCCAAAGACCTGTTCAAAGGGTGTGTGTGGGTCAGGGAGGAAGCTCCTCGGTATCCCCCCAACCCGGGGTTCCTTGGCGTGTGTCCTAACGAGTACTTGGAAGCTCACAGCAGGCATGTGGGGAGGCCTTTGTTCTGGGTGAGCGTTCAGCCTCCCAGGGCAAACACGCAAACACCGGTTGCAGAGCTGGGTGTTCACAGCAAGACAGTCTGCTGGGCAGATGCCTCTGGAATCCACAGAATTCTGAACAATAGCCGTGGTGGAGGGGGGGTCAGAATCCCTGTCGTGCTGGGACCTCTAGCTGCAGCCAGGAATGTCCAGGCCCCACCCCGGGGAGGAGGCGGCTGAGGAATGCCACGGCTTGTCATTCTGGACCTTGCTCGCCCCCCGGTATGGCAGGCATTCCTCTGCAGTGATAAAACCAAGCGAAATCTCAGCAGCCCAGGCAGCCACCGGCAGGGGAGTGCGGAGGTCGCACAGATACTAACTTGTAATCTGCCGTCCACGCTGCGGGCTGTGGAAGGTGCAGAGAGCCCTCCATCCACCCTATTCTTCCCGCTGTGCCTGCAGAGGGAAGGAGACAGTACCACCATGGCTGGACAAACTCACCGAGTGCTCACTGAGTCCTCCCCTAGATAGCTTCTTGTGCAATAGGGTAGGTGCCAGTTAGGAGCAAGGTTAGAGATTATAGGGCCAGATTTTTTGCTTAGGTTCAACTACGCAAAATAAAAATAGACTTTGCATGCATTTCAGGCACTGGGCTGACGACCGGCCACCAGGGAGGCTCCGCCCCACTTCTTAGCTTTGGCCCCAACGTTAGTCTTGTTGCTGCTCTCAGGCGTGCTCTGCGTGTGAAAGATGACTTGGAGGCTGGGCGCGGTGGCTCACGCCTGTAATGCCAGCCCTTTGGGAGACCAAGGTGGGAAAATCTCTTGAGCCCAGGAGTTCAAGACCAGCCTGGGCAACATAGGGAGACCCCGTCTCTACAAAAAATACAAAAACTAGCCCAGCGTGGTGGTGGTGCACCTGTAGTCCCAGCTGCTGGGGAGGCTGAGGTAGAAGGATCACCTGAGCTGGGGAAGGTTGAGGCTGCAGTGAGCTGAGATCACGCCACTGCACTCCAGCCTAGGCGACAGAATGAGACCGGTCTTTTTTTTTTTTTTTTTTTTTTTTTTTTGAGACGGAGTCTCGCTCTGTTACCCAGGCTGGAGTGCAGTGGCGCGATCTCGGCTTACTGCAAGCTCCGCCTCCTGGGTTCACACCATTCTCCTGCCTCAGCCTCCCAAGTAGCTGGGACTACAGGCGCTCACCACCATGCCCGGCTAATTTTTTGTATTTTTAGCAGAGACGGGGTTTCACGGTGTTAGCCAGGATGGTCTTGATCTCCTGACCTCGTGATCCCCCCGCCTCGGCCTCCCAAAGTGCTGGGATTACAGGCGTGAGCCACTGCGCCCGGCGAGACTGGTCTTGAAAAAAAAAAAAAAGATGACATGGAAGCAACAGTAGGAGCCGGGGTCAGAGTTCAGGCCCGTCCATCCGTGGATGATGGATAAACCCAGCGTAGTCCGCCATCCCTTGGAGAGTCATTCAGCTGCACACAGGAAGACGCGCTGCAATGTGCAGGACCCCTGAAAACACTGGGCTGCGTGAAAGGGTCAGTGACCACGGGTTGTATGATTCCGAGTGCACGAATGTTCAGGACAGGAGGATCCAGAGAGACGGACGAGATTCGTGGCTGCTTAGGGCGGGGGGAAGGGGCGATGGAGAGTGAGGGCTGAGTGGATGGGGTCTCTCTTTGGGGTGATAAAATGTCTTGGAACTAGATGATGGGGATGGTTGCCCAACACTGGGAGTGACTTAAACACCACGGATTTGTACGTGTTTAAATGACTAACGGTTAATGTTATGTTATGTGTGAACTATACATCCAAAAGATAAAAGCAGTTCAGGCCTAGAATCGAACGGTCCTGGGTTCAGATCTCACCTCTACCACTTGCTGGTTAATGTGGCACCAGGCGAGTGACTCGGCTCAGCTTTCAAAGTCTCAGTTTCCTCTTCTGTGAAGCAGGGAGACACCTGCGCCCGCCTCCTGGGGACCAGCAGGTAGAAGACCCTGAGCCGCTGGCATTGCCATCACTGCAGAACTGTGCTCCCAGGGCTGGCAGGTGGAGGACCCTGAGCCTCTGGTGTCATCCTCACTGCAGAACTGTGCTCCCGGGGCTGGCGGGTGGAGGACCCTGAGCTGCTGGTGTTGCCGTCACTGCCGAACTGTGCTCCCAGGGCTGGCCGAATGCCTGGCTTCCACCCTCAGACTTTCTTTCCAATGTGTGCAGAGGGAACACGGAGGGACAGCAGTTGCAGCAGCCCACACTTGCTGTGTCGGGCATGGTCTCAGTGGCTGGAGCGTGAAGATGGAGGCGGGGATGGGAGTGGGCGGCTCTGAGTCAAGGGACACCTGGAGCCCCCAGAAGCTGGAAGAGGCAGGAGGGGTCCTGGAGCCCCCGAGGGAGTCTGGCCCTGCCACCACCTTGATGTTGGCCTCTGGCCTCCGGGACTGTGAGAGAAGAAAGGGCTGTTGTCCTAAGCCCCTGTTTGCAGACAAAGGGAATAATCTCAACATTGAAAAAATATGGCCTTAATCTTTAGTGCGTAGGTGGCAAACTTACCTTCAGGATGGCAGAGACAGATCTTTTTTTCCTGTTGACAGGCATTTTAACATTTCCAGAGACACAGGAGCCAGGTTCTCCTGCTTGGCCTCTGCAGTATGAGCCAAACCTGCCTATTGTTAAGTGATTGAATGAGTTGATGCTCACCTTGAACTTTCTTCCACTCTACCCTGGATTACAAGAAGAATTCATTGCTCAGCCCACGTCCCAGCATGAGGCTGGAAGCAGCTGTGAATTTTGTAGAGACTGGAGGGCCCTGCACTCTTTGCAGCTGCCAGCTTCAGCGCTGCTTTCTTCGGCTACTTTGCCCCGCCTCTCAGTTTTGGGGACAGTGGCTGCAGGGCAGATGCCATTCAACCAGGTCAAATTTCCATGTGAGGATGGAAATTTGTAGGTTATAATTCAATTCTCTATTTTGAAAAATATCCAGGTGGATATTGTTTACCACCAAAACAATGACTTCTATTGTGTGGGCCCGAAAACCAGGCTGATGCATGCTACGGCATGGGTGTGTGGTGCCTGCTCCGTGTGTGAACCATGCTGCTCCGTGTGTGAACTGTGTCTGTTCCATGTGTGAACTGTGTCTGTTCCATGTGTGATCCATGCTGCTCCATGTGTGAACCATGTCTGTTCCATGTGTGAACTATCTGTTCCATGTGTGAACCATGTCTGTTCCATGTGTGAACCATGTCTGTTCCATGTGTGAACCATGTCTGTTCCATGTGTGATTCATGCTGCTCCATATGTGATTCATGCTGCTCCATGTGTGATCCATGCTGTTCCATGTGTGAGCCGTGTATGTTCCATGTGTGATCTGTGTCTGTTCCATGTATGGTCCATGCTGTTCCATGTGTGAACTGTGTCTGTTCCATGTGTGAACCATGTCTGTTCCATGTGTGAACTATCTGTTCCATGTGTGAACTATCTGTTCCATGTGTGAACCATGTCTGTTCCATCTGTGAACCATGTATGTTCCGTGTGTGAACCATGTCTGTTCCATGTGTGATTCATGCTGCTCCATATGTGATTCATGCTGTTCCATGTGTGAGCCGTGTATGTTCCATGTGTGATCTGTGTCTGTTCCATGTATGGTCCATGCTGTTCCATGTGTGAACTGTGTCTGTTCCATGTGTGAACCGTGTCTGTTCCACATGTGGTCCATGCTGCTCCATGTGTGAGCCATGTCTGTTCCATGTGTGATCCATGTCTGCTCCATGTCTGATCACACCTGCTCCCTGTCACTCATTTTGTCTAGACTTCTCAATGATGACAGCCCCCAGTTAACTGGATTTAAGGTAGTTTCTAAACATTTGTAGCCAGATCCATCTAGTATCCTGCAATTCATTCATTGACTCAGCAAACATTTCACAATAGCTAGACATACGCCTGGCTTTGTGAGAATGCATGTCCTCATGACACCCCAGCCTGCGGGTGACCCTTTCATGTGCACCCCTGTGATAACGTGGGATGTGCAGGAGCCTGGGTGTGGGGGGAGGGGATGCTGCTGCCTGGGGCTGGCACTGACGAAGGAGGATGAGCCCAGGAGAGGGAGCAGCGCCTGGAGGCCCAGGGGCAGTGCACAGCAGTCCCCGAGCTTACAAGTGGGAGCACTGCAGCCCATGGCGCCTGACCGCGTTTATTCTGTGCCATGGGCAAGCAGAATGGTTGAGGATCCCGCCCCTGGGGGCTCACATTCCAGAGGAGGATGCAAGCATCATGCAGCAACACATGCCTGATGCCAACAGCTGGGGAGGGGACACAGGGAGACCGTGGTTGGGACAAGTGTCTGAGAGCTGGTTGAGGATGGAAAGGAGTGACTGTGAAGCAGCCGTGGGGACAGCAACCCCAGCCAGAGGCCCACACACACAAGGTGACGTGGAAGAGGGCCAGGCTGCGAATCTTGCTGGGAGAAGCTCGTGCTCGATCCCAAGCCTAGTGGAAAGCCTCAGTTTTGAACAGGGCAGCAGAATGGCCAAGTGTCGGTTTCTCAAAAAAACCCACTGTTAAAAGAAAAAGGGATTTGAGGGAAGAGGGGAAGAGGCTGGAAAGGAAGTGGCTAAACTGGAAGCCCAGCTTGTCACTCAGGCTGCAGCAGAAGGGACAGAGAAAAGTGGACGGACTTGGAATAGGCAGCAGTTTGAGGGTCCTCCAGCAGAGCGTGCTGCTGCCCTGGGTGCAAGGAGTGAGGGGAGAGGAGGGCCCAAGGGGGCTCCCGAGATTGCCTGTGGCGTCGGGTGGATGGAGGAACCATTTATCAAGACGGGGTTGGTGGGCACAGAGTTGGGGATGCAGCAGTGCATGGACAGCCCACCTTTCAGCAGGAGGGACAAGTGTCAAAAAATGACAGCTCCGTTACTGCTGGGCACCGCTGTGTGCCAGGTGCCATCTGGGGGCTCAGCTCAGGCTGAGGGAACAGGAGGAGCAGGTGTTGAGCAGGTGGTGTGGGGCGGGCGGGGAAGGGTGCCCTCAGGTCCATCAGAACAGCCACAAGAGCCCTGGGGTGGGAGGGGGCCGATATTCTGGTCGGCACAGAGTGGGCTGCCAGGAGAGGGTGGGGGCGGAGGGGCAGGAATGTGGATTCTGTCTCAGGGGGGCAAGGCTGAGGGGATGTAGCTGGGCACATGGCCTGCTCTGAATTGAGCTTGGTTCTCTGGAGGGTCGATGGGAAGGATGTGCTGGGGATGGGGAGGAAGCGGAGGAGGAGGAGGCGGTGGCAGCTGTGAACAGGCAATGCTTCTCACACAGGTGTATCTTTATTAAACAAGAAAATAACATAAAAGCAAAGGGAGGAAGCCTTGAACCTTAAAAGCTGGGCCAGAAATTCTACAATACAATCAGAAGCCACAATCTGGTCACAGTGAGAGCCCTTCCCGCAGAGCCGCAGACATTGGCCGCTGCCCCTGGGGCGGGAGGGAAGCCTCCTGTTTGTTTTTTGTCCCGTTGCTTTGAGGGCTGGAATCAATGTCATTTTCTCTCCGAGTGTTTCTGGTTTCATCTCAGTGTGTCCAGGCTCGGATGTCTTCCTGGGAGTATCTCCGTGTCTCAGGATTAACACCAGTTTTTAAAAATAACTGACAAAGGCCATTTTTCAGGAGACAAAGATGTTGGTGCGTGCAGAGGGCCCCCTGTGTTGATATGGAAAATGAAGGTCAGCCACTCCCTGCTTCTCTTGGTATCTTGTTGGACACGATGTCAATGTGGGGCTGGTAGAACTGGAGCCCAGGGCCCCTCTGGCCGCTTGGGCCTTTCTCTGTCTCCAGGTCCCCATGGAAATGGGCAGCCCATGGAGAATGGCTGAATAGCTGCTGTCTGCCCCCATCCCAAGCTCCAGGTTCAGAGACCACCCCCTCCATTGACTGTGTCACCCCTTCCCCACCAGAGGAGCGGGCTATTCTCACAGCGCTGCAGGAAGCCCAGCCAAGTGCCTTCCTCTGGCTGCTGCTTCCATCAGCGTGAACTGCCCGGCATTGTAGGATAAGTTTTCTCCTGGGTTTTAAGGTTCAGGACTCTCTCTTTGCTGCACTTTTTCCTTGACTAATTGCACAAATAAGAGAAGGCAAGAGTGAAATGCTGCGTATCCCTTGGCCTAGCGGGTCAGCGACAACTTTCTCAACTTGTCAAGTGAGCCTCAGTTTCCTTATTAAAAACCAGGGATGATTTTGTAGAACTTGTCGCAACTCAGTGGGAGTGCCGTGGCCCTTATGCCCAATGACACCATCCTGTCACTTCAGGAGTTTCTCATAAAACACCATTCCCCAGACCAATGGCGCTGCGAGCTTCTGGGGCGTGGGCTGGGCCCAGCATGTCAGTGCGACCCACAGCGGGGCTGGAGCTGCTGAATGTGCACAACACACTTCACCCCGGGCCTGGTTCAGGAGCGGGCAAGGCAGCTGTACACCCTGTCCTTCAGCAAACTCCTCTTGATCGATGGAATCGAAGTCAGGAGCATCACCTTAGACGCAGAACAGAAACGTGCCCATTTCCCAGCTTGGTGCTTTCCCACTTCTACTTTGACTCCTTCAACCCAATCCTCTTTCACCCGCATCACCACCAAGTGTGATCTCCTTTAAAGAGCCAGACACTTTATTTTGGGGGGGCATGGAGGGGTGGAGTCTCACTCTGTTGCCCAGGCTAGAGGGCAGTGGCACAATCTCAGCTTATTGCAACCTCCACCTCCTGGGTTCAAGCGATTTCTGGCTAGATTTTGTTTTGTTTTGTTTTGAGACGGAGTCTCGCTCTGTCACCCAGGCTAGAGTGCGGTGGCCGCCATCTCGGCTCACTGCAAGCTCCGTCTCCCAGGTTCAAGCGATTCTCCTGCCTCAGCCTCCACAGTAGCTGGGATTATAGGTGCATGCCAACACGCCCGGCTAATTTTTCTTTGTATTTTTAGAAAAGACAGGGTTTCACAATATTGCCCAGGCTCGTCTCAAACTCCTGACCTCATGATCTGCCCACCTCAGCCTTCCAAAGTGCTGGGATTACAGGCGTGAGCCACCGTGCCTAGCCTTAGTTTTTTTTTTTTTTTCTTTTTGAGATGGAGTCTCACTCTGTTGCCCAGGCTGGAGTACAGTGGCACGATCTCGGCTCACTGCAACCTCCACCTCCTGGGTTCAAGCAATTCTCCCTGCCTCAGTCTCCCGAGTAGCTGGGACTACAGGTACATGCCAGCACACCCGGCTAGTTTTTTGTACTTTTAGTAGAGACGGGGTTTCACCGTGTTAGCCAGGATGGTCTTGATCTCCTGACCTCATGATCTACCTGCCTCAGCCTTCCAAAGTGCTGGGATTACAGGCGTGAGCCTAGTTTTTGTATTTTTTTTTTTTTGGAGGCGGAGTCTCACTCTGTCGCCCAGACTGGAGTGCAGTGGCACAATCTTGGCTCATTGCAACCTCTGCATCCCGGGTTCAAGCAATTCTCCTGCCTCAGCCTCCCAAGTAGCTGGGATTACAGGTGCCTGCCACCATGCCCGACTAATTTTTTGCGTTTTTTTTTTTTTTTTAGTAGAGACGGGGCTTCACCATGTTGCCCAGGCTGGTCTTGAACTCCTGACCTCAGGTGATCTGCCCACCTCAGCCTCCCAAAGTGCGGGGATTACAGGCGTGAGCCACCGCGCCTGACCTAACCTACTTATTCTTTATCTCCCCGGAATGAAACGGCTTTTATCACCTTGGGAAACAGATTAGCATCTGCTTATTTTTCTGTGCTTATCTGACTGTAAGGTGACATTGGAAGATAATTTAATTAGGTTGATTGTAAAACTTTCTCTCTTCTGGGAGGAATATTTTTTAATGCTATGAAAATAAAAATACTGGGCCAGGCACGGTGGCTCATGCCTGTAATCCCAGAACTTTGGGAGGCCAAGGTAGGCAGATCACCTGAGGTCAGGAGTTCGAGACCAGCCTGACCAACATGGTGAAACCAAATCTCTACTAAAAATGCAAAAAAAAAAAAAAAAAAAATAGGCTGGGCGCAGTGGCTTGCGTCTGTAATCCCAGTACTTTGGGAGGCTGAGGCGGGCGGATCACCTGAGGTTGAGAGTTCAAGACCAGCCTGACCAACATGGAGAAACCCCATCTCTAGTAAAAATACAAAATTAGCCAGGCGTGGTGGCCCATGCCTGTAATCTCAGCTAATTGGGAGGCTGAGGCAGGAGAATTGCTTGAACCTGGGAGGCAGAGGTTGTGGTGAACCAAGATGGCATCAATGCACTCCAGCCTAGGCGACAAGAGCAAAACTCTGTCTCAAAGAAAAAAAAAAAATTTGCTGGGCGTGGTGGCGGGTGCCTGTAATCCCCGCTACTCGGGAGGCTGAGGCAGGAGAATTGCTTGAACCCGGGAGGCAGAGGTTGCAGTGAGCTGAGATCATGACATTGCACTCCAGCCTGGGTGACAGAGCGACACTCCATCTAAAAAAAAGGAAAAGAAAAACACTGTACTGATTTTGGATTTTTTCCAAGCAAGTAATAGGTAAAAAGAAACCCAAACTGGCTTACATGAAAGGGCACCTATTGGCTTGTGTAACTGATCAGGTGCAACCATTGCTATAAGCTTGATCCAGACCCGACGCGGTGACTCATGCCAGTAATCTCAGCACTTTGGGAGGACGAGGCAGGCGGATCGCCTGAGGTCGGGAGATCGAGACCAGCCTGACCAACATGGAGAAACCCCGTCTCTGCTAAAAATACAAAATTAGCCAGGCACAGTGGTGTACGCCTGTAATCCCAGCTACTTGTGAGGCTGAGGCAGGAGAATCACCTGAACCCGGGAGGTGGAGGTTGCAGTGAGCCAAGATTGCGCCACTGCACTCCAGCCTGGGTGACAAAGCAAGACTCCATCTCAAAAACAAAACAAAACAAAAAACAACAAAAAAAAAGAGGGTGAAAGGCAGCCCCAGAGTGGGAGAAGAGATTTGTAAAATGGACAAAGGCCTTATAATTGGAATATATAAAGAACTCCTAAAAATCACTAAGAAAACCACAGACAGCCCAAGAGAAAAATGGGCAAATGGCTCAAGTAGGTATCTGGTGAAAGAGGATATGCAGATGGCCAATGAATCTGCACAAAGTGCTCCACATCATTAATCATTAGGGAAGTGCAAATTAAATCCACAGGAGACACCTGGGCACACCCTCCAGAAAGCACACAATGACCTGCTGGCAAGGACAGGAACGACCACTTTGGAAAACTCTTTGGCAGCACAGCCAAACTGAGCCTTTCCACTCGAAAATGCCCTTTGCTCAGAACCCAGCAGCAGCTCCAAAGTCTCCACCCAGCCTATGGGGCCCCAGTACCCACCCTTGCCTCCCATGCCTCTCTCCTCACCCCTGCACTTGGCTGCCCTCACCCTCGGGCTGCACCTTGAACACCAGAAGGGTGCTCCTGCCTCCAGCCTCTGCCTGGAATTCTCTGCCCTCGGGTAGCCATGTGGTTCACTCCTCCTTTGGTCTCTGCCCAAATGGCCCCTGTAGAAGAGACCTCCCCACCCAGCCATGTCCTCTCCCTGTGACTTACCACCCCAGACTTTCTGTGTTGATGCATCATGGTCTACCTCCTTCCATCAGAACGTGAGCTCCGAGGCAAAGGCTCTTCAGACCTGAAACAGTCTAGGCTCTGTCCCCAGAGTCTAGAATAGAGCCTGCCACGTAATTGGCACTCAATAAATGTTACATGAATTAATGGAAACCATCCTGGCACAAGTGGTAGCTCTCTTTCCACAAAAAGAATGAGCTTGCCAAGAGAGAGACAACATCACGAAAGAGAGACAGAAAAGCCACACTCAGACCCAACATTGAGTTCTGGATCAAGTCTTTTTTTTTTTTTTTTTTTTTTTGAGACAAAGTTTTGCTCTTGTTTCCCAGGCTGGAATGCAATGGCGCGATCTCGGCTCACTACAACCTCTGCCTCGCGGGTTCAAGCAATTCTCCTGCCTCAGCCTCCCGAGTAGCTGGGATTACAGGCATGCACCACCAAGCTCGGCTAATTTTGTATTTTTAGTAGAGATGGGGTTTCTCCATGTTGGTCAGGCTAGTCTGGAACTTGGCCTCCCAAAGTGCTGGGTTTACAGGCGTGAGCCACAGCGCCTGGCTCCTATGTTATTTTTTAGGAGCTTTATTGTTTTACCTTTCCTATTTAGATCTATAGTCTGTCAGGAATTAATTTTTGTGTGTGCTGTGAGGTAGGGGTGTGAGGTATGGTGAGAAAAAAGATTCATGGTTCCCCATTTGGATATCCCGTTGGCTCGGTGGGGTGGCTCATGCCTGTAATCCCAGCACTTTGGGAGGTCAAAGCAGGAGAACTATTGGAGCTCAGGGGTTCAGGACCAACCTGGGCAACATAGTGAGACCCTGTGGATCGACAGATGAATTGATCGATCAATCAATACATAGATAGATAAGTATCCAAATGATCCAAAACTATTCACAGAAAAGCCCATCCATTCCCTACAGCATGACTCAGGGATCACAAATGTGTGGAACCTTCTAGACATGCTATTCTTTTTCATTGGTTGATTTGTCCTTCTCTGACAGGTACCACATTATCTTAATTAATATAGCTTTTTATTTTTATTTATTTATTTATTTTATATGGAGTCTCGCTCTGTCGCCCAGGCTGGAGTGCAGTGGCATGATCTCAGCTCACTGCAAGTTCTGCCTCCCAGATTCAAGCGATTCTCCTGCCTCAGTCTCCTGAGTAGCTGGGATTACAGGCATGAGCCACCGCACCTAGCTAATTTTTGTATTTTTAGCAGAGACAGGGTTTCGCCATGTTGGCCAGGCTGGTGTCGAACTTCTGACCTCAGGTGATCTTCCCACCTCGGCCTCCCAAAGTGCTGGGATTACAGGCATGAGCCACTGCGCCTGGCCTACTATAGCTTTTGAAATAGGTCTTGACATCAAATTGTGTATGTTTTCTGGTTTTATCCTGCCAGATTACTTTTGGTTGTATTTTTGGTAGAGACGGAGTTTCACCATGTTGGCCAGGCTGGTCTCAAACTTCTGACCTCAAGTGATCCACCTGCCTCAGCCTCCCAAAGTGCTGGGATTACAGGCGTGAACCACTGTGCCTGGCCTCACAAGAATTCCTTTTTATTTTGAGACGGAGTTTTGCTCTTGTTGCCCAGGCTGGAGTGCAATAGTGCAATCTTGGCTCACTGCAACCTCTGCCTCCCGGGTTCAAGCAATTCTCCTGCCTCAGCCTCCCAAGTAGCTGGGATTACAGGCACGCACCCAGCTAATGTTTGTGTTTTTTATAGAGACAGGTTTTCACCGTGTTGGCCAGGATGGTCTCGATCTCCTGGGTAACAACGCTTCCTTCCTTCAAAGTCAGTTCTGCTATTCATGTGGACCTAATGTCTCTAGGATCTTGTGCCCTCATTAGTGGCCTGGAAGGACGCCCAGACCTTCCAGTTCATCAGGGGTTGAAGTGGGCGATAGTTGTTCACCATCATCTTCTTCTCTTCACCAAGTGCAGAAAACAGGAGAGTATGAAATGCAGAGAGCTGGAATAGAGGGCAGCCAGGGTGAGCTTGGTATGAGTGCAGGGTGAGCCAGCCCCCGGGTGTCCCTCAGGCCTTGTGTGGTCTCCTCCCATGCTGAATCAGGATGGCCTGAAATGACCAGTAAAGATGGTGGAAGTGATGGTGTGTGCAGGGCCAGGTTATAAAAGGCATTGCCGCTTCCGCCTTGGTCTTTAGGATCACTTGCTCTGGGGGGAAGCTGGTCACCATATTGGGAGGGTACTCAAGCAGCCCCGAGGAGAGGCCCACAGGGAAAGGAGCTGAGGCTCCCAGCCAACTGCCAGCGCCAACTTGCCATCCACTTGAGAGGGCCAACCTTGGAATGAATCCTCTAGCCCTAGTTGAGCTTTCAGATCGCTACAGTCCCAGCTGACACTGGGCTACAATTCATGAAAGATGGTAAGCCAGAGCCACCCAAATTCACAACCCAAGGAAACTATGGGAGATAATAAATGATTGGTTTTTGTTGTCGTTGTTGTTGTTTGAGACAGTGTTTCGCTCTTGTTTCCCAGGCTGGAGTGTCATTGGCAAGATCTCAGCTCGCTGCAACCTCCGCCTCCCAGGTTCAAGCGATTCTCCTGCCTCGGCCTCCCGAGTAATTGGGATCACAGGCATGAGCCACCATGCCCGGCTAATTTTTTTTTTTTTTTTTTGAGATGGAATTTTGCTCCTGTTGCCCAGACTGGAGTGCAATGGTGTGATCTTTGCTCACCGCAACCTCCGCCTCCTGGGTTCAAGGGATTCTCCTGCCTCAGCCTCCTGAGTAGCTGGGCTTACAGGCATGCACCACCACGCCCGGCTAATTTTGTATTTTTAGTAGAGATGGGGTTTCTCCATGTTGGTCAGGCTGCTCTCAAACTCCTGACCTCAGGTTATCCACCTGCCTCGGCCTCCCAAAGTACTGGGATTATAGGCGTTAGCCACTGTGCTCAGCCTAATTTTGTATTTTTAGTAGAGACAGGGTTTCACCATGTTGGTCAGGCTGGTCTTGAACTCCTGACCTCAGGCGATCCACTCGCCTCGGCCCCCAAAGTGCTGGGATTACAGGCATGAGCTACTGCACCCGGCCCAAATGATTGTTTTCTAAAGCCACTATGTTTTGGAGCTATTTGTTACACAGCAATAGATAACTAACACCTATAATGTAAATGCTAAAGTAACATTTGAATTTACTTTTCACTCAAGGAACTAAAAGACTACTTTTTATGGCTGGATGCAGTGCCTCATGCCTGTAATCCCAGCACTTTGGGAGGCCAAGGTGGGTGAATCACCTGAGGTCAGGAGTTTGAGACCAGCCTGGCCAACATGGAGAATCCCCATCCCTACTAAAAATACAAAATTAGCCAGATGTGGTGGCTCATGCTTGTAATCCAGCTCCTCGGGAGGGTGAGGCAGGAGAAGCGCTTTAACCTGGGAGGTGGAGCTTGTGGTGAGCGAGATCACGCCATTGCACTCCAGCCTGGGCAACAGGGAAACTCTGTCTCAAAATAAATAAATAAATGAAAAATAAAAAAAGACTTTTTATGTATTATCTCACTTGTTCACAGAATATACTTATGAACTCTGTGAGGCAACTCACGCATTTAATTAAATTCAGAAGTGAGATTATGTCTACATGCTGACAGCATACTGGGCCAGTTAGCCCTGCATGATGATCCAGCGCCCCCTAGAATTGCGCGCGCATGGTGCACGTGGCCTCCTGGGCCATGACCACAGTGTGCTCATCCACATTTGTGGTCTGCACATTTGTTGACTGTCTCAGAAAGGCAGCCTTTCTCCTCCCCTGGAAAACTCCCCGCCTTCCAGGACATGTGCCTCCCTGGCTCCCCTGCTCAGGATAAGGAGCTCCTGCCCTGCATTTTTATATGACACCGGCCACCCTGGCTTAATACTATTGGCTTCGTTTCTACTTTCCTGCCAGACAGCAGTATTCTGAGACGAATGCCCTGTTCCTGTGCCGCCCCTCCACACCTGCCCCCCTCCCACCCTCTCTTGGTGGCACAGACCCAGAATGGGCACTTGTCACATATATGCTTGTTGAGTAGCATAAGGGCCTTGCTGACAAGGGGCCACCTTCAACAAAAGCCTTCCCCATGTCCAACAGCTCTGGTTTGGAGGTAGGCAGATATTCTGCATCCCACATCTCCACGTGCAAATGACATCATGCCATGGTTTGTATATAAGGGAATATTTTCACAGGCCCAGGAGACTGAAAGACCCTCTAAGAGCTCACCTGGAGCCCTCAGAAAGAGATGAGCCAGAGATGCTAAGTCCTGCTGCGACTGCTGAGAAACGTCTGCCGGGCGGGGGCGGGGCATAGGCAGCATGCCTGTGGCTCTGAACTGCCTTGGACAGACAGAATTGCTATAGATTCTTAAGATTTCCAGAAAAAAATGATAGTATAACTTTTATTTATTTTTTATTTTATTTTTTTGAGACAGTCTCACTCTGTCGCCCAGGTTGGAGTGCAGTGGTGCCATCTCAGCTCACTGCAACCTCCGCCTTCCAGGTTCAAGTGATTCTCCTACCTCAGCCTCCCAAGTAGCTGGCACTACAGGCACACGCCACCATGCCCGGCTAATTTTTGTATTTTTATTTATTTATTTATTTGAGATGGAGTTTTGCTCTTGTTGTCCAGGCTGGAGTGCAGTGGTGCGATCTCGGCTCACTGCAGCCTCCACCTCCCGGCTTCAAGTTATTCTCTTGCCCCAGCTTCCCAAGTAGCTGATATTACAGGCGTGCACCACCACGCCTGGCTAATTTTGTAGATTTAGTAGAGACGGGGTTTCACCATGTTGGTCAGGCTGGTCTCGAACTCCTGGCCTCAAGTGATCTGCCTGTCTCAGCCTTCTAAAGTGCTAAAATTATAGGCATGAGCCATGACGCCCAGCCCAATAGTATAACTTTTAAAAATGTATACAAGGATTATTAACTAATTTTCGAAAAAAAAAAAAAGCAATGAAACTATTTAGATAAGAAAAAGGAGGCCGGGCTCGGTGGCTCATGCCTGGAATCCCAGCACTTTGGGAGGCCAAGGTGGGCAGATCACCTGAGTTCAAGACCAGCTTGGCCAACATGGTGAAACCCCGTCTCTACTAAAAATACAAAAATTAGCCAGGCGTGGTGATGGGTGCCTGTAATCCCAGCTACTCGAGAGGCTGAGGCAGGAGAATTGCTTGAACCCAGGAGGTGGAGGTAGTAGTGAGCTGAGATCGAGCCACTGCACTGCAGCCTGGGCGACAGAGCGAGACTCTGTCTCAAAAAAAAAAAAAGGAAAGAAAAGAAAAAGGAAGAAAACAAAAACCATGCAGACCCATGACGCTGGGACAACTCCCATGGATGCCTTGTGTGTCTGTGTGTGATAGATTAGGGCGTTGCTCAGAACATGCTCGCTGTGATCACTGGAACCGCTGTCCAATCTCAACAAGCTCCTACTTCAATTGGAACTTTCTTCTTGTGTAAGAACACCCCAAATGCATGAAAGAATATATATAACTCCTCAAGGCTCTTATGCAGCATCTTAGTGACGCTGCCAAGCAAGAGAGACGCCTTCCATGAAGCGCCATCATGCCAGTTACGGGCACGGCTCACTTGGCTTGGGGCCACTTCAACGGGCTCCTTCTGGATGATCCAGGTGACCGACTCGGTCAGCGGCGGGGTGGTGAGCGAGCCCACATAGGTCCAGTAATCCCAGCAGGTGGGCAGCAGAGCGGAGGGGTCGAAGGGGCGCATGGCCGCCTGCGCGTCCTGAGAGACCGAGAAGCACAGGCCGTATCAGTCCTCAGGTGGGACTAGGAGCTTCCATCTTGTCTCAGCACGGGAGGCCTTCATGGTGCTTGGAAGGAAGTGCTTTCCCCGAGATAAGGCCATGAGGCCACTGCTGTCACACTTGGAAGCAGTGATAAGAAAATGTGAGCCTTCTATACAGAGCAAGGATTCCTGCCAACTTACATTGGTGGGAATTACATTACATTACACCAGCTTATGTTGGTGCTTACATTTTTCCTTTTGAAGTCATTTCTTGGGGCGCAGTAGCTCACCCCTGTAATCTCAGCACTTTGGGAGGCCGAGGCGGGTGGATCACTTGAGGTCAGGAGTTCGAGACCAGCCTGGTCAACATGATGAAACCCTGTCTCTACTAAAAATACAAAAATTATCCAGATGTGGTGGTGGGCGCCTGTAGTCCCAGCTACTCAGGAGGCTGAGGCAAGAGAATTGCTTGAGCCCAGGAGGCAGAGGTTGCAGTGAGCTGAGATCACGCCACTGCACTCCAGCCTGGGCAACAGAGTGAGACTCTGTCTCAAATAATAATAATAATTAATAAATAAATAATAAAAAATTAAAAAGCCATTTCTTTTAGCATACCTTGGCTGCAAAAAATATTACTTTTTATTGTGATAAAATATACATAACATAAAATTTACCGTCTTAACCTTTTTTTTTTTTTTGAGATGCAGTTTTGCTCTTGTTGCCCAGGCTGGGGTGCAATGGTGCGATCTTGGCTCACTGCAACCCTTCGCCTCCCAGGCTCAAGTGATTCTCCTGCCTCAACCTCCTGAGTAGCTGGGATTACAGGCACCCGCCACCACATCTGCTAATTTTGTATTTTTAGTAGAGACGGGGTTTCTTCATGTTGGTCAGGCTGGTTTTGAACTCCCAATCTCAGGTGATTCACCTGCCTCAGCCTCCCACAGCGCTGGGATGAGAGGCATGAGCCACCATGCCCGGCCCATCTTAACCATTTTGAAGTGTAAAATTTGATGGCGTTAAATGCAGTCACATTGTGGTGCAACCATCTCCACCATCCGTCTCCAGAACTTTTCCATCATCCCAAACTCAAATTCTGTCCTGACCCCACTAAACACTATGTCCAGCTTCCTCCCCCAGGCCTGGCACCCACCATTCTGCTTCCATCTCTCTGAATCTGAGGACTCTGGGGACCTGATGTGGGTGGGATCCTGTGGTTTTTGTCTTTTGTGTCTGGCTTATTTCACTGGGCATAATGTCCTTCAGGTTTATCCACATTGGAGCATGTGTCAGGAGTCCCTGCATTGTTGCTTTTTTTTTTTTTTTTTTGAGACAGAGTCTCGCTGTGTCACCCAGGCTGGCGTGCAGTGGTGTGATCTCGGCTCACTGCAAGCTCCGCCTCCTGGAGTTCAAGACCAGCTTGAACTCCTGGGTTCATGCCATTATCCTGCCTCAGCCTCCCCAGTAGCTGGGACTATAGGCACCCGCCACCACGCTCGGCAAATTTTTTGTATTTTTAGTAGAGACGGGGTTTCACCATGTTAGACAGGATGGTCTCGATCTCCTGACCTCGTGATCCGCCCACCTCGGCCTCCCAAAATGTTGGGATTACAGGCATGAGCCACCGTGCCTGGCTTGCCTGGAGACATTTCTACTGCTACCTTACCGATCAGGGTATCCAGTATCTCCGTGATTACCTTCATCTGTCCCTGGAAACTGTGCCTGCCACCCTACGCTGCAGCCGTCCAGGGACTGGCAGGCCTCGGCCTAAAGGTCTGGAGGGTGGGCGACCTGCAAGACTCACAAGAGGGGAAGCCGACAGACATACCTACAGACGGAGTGCTGTGCCCCTGGTGCCGATAAGAAAGCTGAGGCTCGGGCTGGGTCAGCAACCGAATTCCAGTTTAGAGGCAGATTTGGTCGTGGACATGGCCAGCCACCTCCGTAAAATTAGAGAGGATTATTTTGCATTGAATACACTCACAGCCAAAAAACAAAAAAAAAAGAGTCAGGGTCTTACTTTGTCAACTAGGCAGGAGTGCAATGATGCCATCATAGCTCACTGCAGTCTCTAATTCCTGGGCTCAAGCGATCCCCCCGCGTCAGTCTCCCAAGTAGCTAGGACACCATACCAGGGTTTAAAATTAATTGTTTGTAGCCAGGGGGTCTTGCCATCTTGCCCAAGCTGTTCTCCAACTCCTGGGCTCCAGTGATCCTCCTGCCTTGGCCTCTCAAAATATTGGGATTACAGGCATAAGCCACTGTGCCCAGCCAGCTCTTTTGGATATATACCCAGAAGTGTGTGATTGCTGAATCATAGGGTAGTTCTATTTATAACTTTTTATTTTTTTTATTTTTTTGAGGCAGAGTCTCACTCTGTCTTCCAGGCTGGAGTGCCGTGGCATGATCTCGGCTCATGGTGGTTGGGCCTGGCCGCAACACAGCCCTCATCAGCGTCCCATGCCAACCAAGCACAACTCTGCACCTGTCCCTGGCCAGCACTGTGGGACAAGAGTCCAGTCCAAAGTGACAGAGTCTCTGTCTGGAAGGAAGATGGCCTCCCTGCTCAGCCACATCACATCACCTTGACTTTGCTGGGCCCTGGCCTTCCAAGGTGGAAGCCAGCAACCTAGATGCCTTGGGCTTGTCTCCTAACATCAAGCAGTGAGGGTCAGGGTCAAGAGAGGCGGCTGAGCTACCAGAAGGAAGCCCAGGAGTGTCCACGCCGGCAGACACATGCATCAGTTCTGTGCACACGTGTTCACGTTTATAATTATCCAGTTAATTAAAAAAAAAAAACAGCATTATAGGCTGGGCACAGTGGCTCATGCCTGTAATTGCAGCACTTTGGGAGGCCAAGGCAGGCAGATCACCTGAAGTCAGGAGTTCAAGACCAGCCTGACCAACATGGCGAAACCCCGTCTCTACTAAAAATACAAAAATTAGCCAGGCATGGTGGCAGGTGCCTGTCATCCCAGCTACTCGGGAGTCTGAGACACAAGAATTGCTTTAGCACAGGAGGCAGAGGTTGCAGTGAGCCAAGACTGCACCATTGCACTCCAGTCTGGGCAACAGAGAGAGACTCGGTCTCAAACAACAACAACAGCAACAAAACCCACAGCATTATTGTGATAGAATTCACATACCATGCAACTCTCCCATCTAAAGTGTACAACCTGGTTGGGCGCGATGGATCATGCCTGTAATCCCAGCACTTTGGGAGGCCGATGTGGGAGGACTGCTTGAGGCCAGGAGTTTGAGACCAGCCTAAGCAACATAACAAGAATCTGACTCTACAAAAAACACAAAAACTAGCCAGGTGCAGTGGTACATGCCTGTGGTCCCAGGTAGTTGGGAGGTTGAGGTGGGAGGATGGCTTGAGCCCCGGAGGTTGAGGCTGCAGTGAGCTGTGATCACACCAGTGCACTCTAGCCTGGGTGACAGAGTGAGATCCTTTCTTAAAATAAGTAAATAGGCCGGGCACAGTGGCTCATGCCTGTAATCCCAGCACTTTGGGAGGCCAAGGCGGGTGGATCACCTGAAGTCGGGAGTTCGAGACCAGCCTGACCAACATGGCGAAACTGCGTCTCTACTAAAAATACAAAATTGGCCAGGCGTGGTGGTGCATGCCTGTAATCCCAGCTACTCGGGAGGCTGAGGCAGGAGAATCGCTTGAACCTGGGAGGCAGAGGTTGCAGTGAGCTGAGATCATGCCATTGCACTCCAGCCTGGGCAACAAGAGTGAAACTCCATCTCAAAAAAAAAAAAAAAAAAAAACCAGAAAAAGTAAATAAAAATTGAAGTGTACAATTCTATGGTTTTGGGTATATTCACAGTTGTGCAGCCATCCCAAGTCAATTTTAGAACATTTTCAGCACCTCAAGGAGGAAGCTTGGTACTTTTTAGCTCTTCTCCCCACCCCCGCCGTGCTGCTTCTGTCTCTGTGGGTTTCATAGGAACTGAGTCATGTAACATGTGGAACATTTGTGTCTTGCGTCTGTCACTTAGTACGGTGCTTTTGAGGCTCACCCACACCGCAGCGTGAGTTAGAGCTGTGTCCTTTCTGATTGCCAAGTAATATCTCATTGCATGGTCTAGCTGGGTTGACATCCCATTGCACACTCTAGCTGGGCTGTGAAGGAGCAGGCTGCTTGTGCACATGGGTAACAGATGGATGTACAGTGAGACGTCAGTCTGTGCACATGGGTAACAGGTGGGTGCACCGTGAGGTGTTGGTCTATGCACATGGGTAACAGGCGGGTGTGCAGTGAGACGTCAGTCTGTGCACATGGGTAACAGGTGGGTGCACAGTGAGGTGTTAGTCTGTGCACATGGGTAACAGGCGGGTGTGCAGTGAGATGTCAGTCTGGTGCGCGTGGGTAACAGGCAGGTGTGCAGTGAGGCGTCAGTCTGGTGCACGTGGGTAACAAGTGGGTGTGCAGTGAGGCGTCAGTCTGTACACGTGGGTAACAGGTGGATGTGCAGTGAGGTGTCAGTCTGGTGCACGTGGGTAACAGGCGGGTGTGCAGTGAGATGTCAGTCTGTGCACATGGGTAACAGGTCGGTGTGCAGTGAGACGTTGGTCTGTGCACATGGGTAACAGGCAGGTGTGCAGTGAGATGTCCTCTCCTCCTGCCGGCCACACGTCCCCGCTCCCAGGGCACAGATGTGCCAGTCACTTTCTGAGCAACTACTTCAAATCTTCAGAACAACCCTTCAAGAAGTATTTCTAGTTTACTGATGAAGATAGACAGACAGATATAAACAACTTGCCCAAAGCCACGTTGCCAGTCAGGGCCACTGAGGCCTGGCCCGTTCCAAGGTGCGGGCTCATCTCTCCCTCCCCAGGACTGCAGGAATCAGTCGGGGGAGCGGCAGGCCCCAGCCATTCCACTGCGTGCAGGTTTCCTGCCAATTAAGCTTTCCAGCCTTGGGCTGAGAAGAGGATGCCTGTGTGTTGCCTCATCGTCCCCAGGAGTTCCTGTCCTGTCTCTAAGATGCATGAGGGCTGGAGCAGCCATGTGGTTACAGAAAGCTGCTCCCCCTCAGGGCCCCCAGAGGAAGTCAGGGCCCTTCCTTTATGCGTGTGGTGAGCCCCAGGCAGCTAGAATGGGACACCGGTGAGCACACCAATGAGGCTGAAGACCATCACATCCATTATCTGAGCACGGATGGCCCAGCTACCTGTGGAAAGCACCACAAGCCTTTGCTGGCGGAAGTGGGTTGGTGACTTGTTCCACTTTTCTCTTATTTATTTATTTATTTTGAGACGGAGTTTCGCTCTTGTTGCCCAGGCTGGAGTGCAATGGCACGATCTCGGCTCACCACAACCTCCACCTCCCGGGTTCAAGCGATTCTCCTGCCTCAGCCTCCCTAGCAGCTGGGATTACACGCATGCACCATCACGCCTGGCTAATTTTGTATTTGTAATAGAGATGGGGTTTCTCTATGTTGGTCAGGCTCGTCTCAAACTCCTGACCTCAGGTAATCCACCCGCCTCAGCCTCCCACAGTGCTGGGATTATAGGCGTGAGCCACCGCTCTGTTCCTGGTTTTGTCTTCCTTCTCTTAAACAGGACCCCGCATTTTATGAGCGTCAAGCCTCACCCAGCCTAACTCCGCCCTTGGTTTGTCCTCTTAGAGTCTCAGTTTCCCCAGGTGTACGACAGGCAGTGTGGTGGCTGTAATGGGCTTCCATCAGTGCCTGCCACATGGGCGTGGGGCTCGGTAGGTGCTGCCGCTGCTGCTGCCAAAGCTAGAAGAGCCCCCACAGGGCATAGAGCCATTCCCTGGATCCCCTGGACCTGGTGGGCTGTTTCCAGCTCCACAAGGCAGCCAATTCCCCGGTAGCCCTGACTCTTGCGAAGGGAGGGAGGAGGGGGGGCCCCAGCAGCCTGAGGAGCTTGCAGCTTGTCCAGGCATGGAGGGTGGGGACCCTCTGTGGGCAGTTTTTGCCAAAACTTCTGGCTATGGTGAGAGGGTCAAAGGCGAAGCCTCGAGGTCTCCATTCTGGGAGTGTCTGCCCAGGGTCACCGGGGCCACACTGGGGCTGGGCCTGCGTGCTGGGAGCTGAGTGCATAGTGACAGGTCAGCACTGGTAGGGGCCTGTGCAGATGGGACGGCGCTGGGGGTGGGGGTGGGGGTCCGGGCTTCCAGGCGGCGCCTAATGTGGTTTTGGTTATAGACACTGCCTGTGTTTCCCTCTAAGCTGCTGAAAAGCTCAGAAATGTGCAGCAGGGCCTGGAGCTCAGCCTGGGTTCTGACTGCATGTGGGAGGTGGGCGCTGGGACGACTGGGAGTTCAGGCTGCATGGAGCCACTTCCTGGGTTTAAAAACGGGCTCTTCACCTGCCACCTGTGTGCCCGGGCAAGGCCTTCTCTGCCTCTCTGAGCTTTGGTTTCCCTGTGTGTGCAAGACAGATGAATCACAGGCCCTGCCCCATGGAGTGATTGGAAGATTCAGTGTGATGATTTATATGGAGGGCTGTCGCTTCTTTGAACCCTTCCCACCGAGGTGTGGGGTGATGTCGCCTTGCCCTGAGCCTGGGCAGGTGCTCCTGGTGGGAGTGGTGAACAGGATGCCGCAGGAGCAGTGCTTTGTGACTCTGGAAGCCAGGGCAGAAAAGACATCGTGTCCATCTGGCTCTTTCTGGAAATGCACCCTTGGAGCCCTGAGCACTGCATAGAAGCCAGCTGGGTCCCCAGGGAATGACCGTGGCAGGCATTCCTGGAGGGTCTCTGCCGAGTCAGTCCCACATCAGGGCCCGGACCAGCCTGGAACTAGGAGAGATGATGGGGACTACGTGACTCTGGTCTTTCCTGCCCTAGTTCAGGACAGCTTGTTCCTTAACTGGAGGAAACCAGGAAAGCAGCCCAGAAGCTGCAGATGAGCCCATCCCTGGGTGAGGACTGCTGAGTCCGAGGGGGTGAGAGGCAGAGCTGGGATTTGAAGCCAAGGCCATCTGCCCTTGAGCCTGAGGCCACCACGGCCCCGTCCTGCCCTGCACTGCCCACCAATCAGGAGTTAGATTCAACCACACTTCTAGCATTTTCCATCAGAAGGCCATCATTCTAAAGTTTCATGGACTCCCAAAAGGTAATAGCTCTCTCTGGGAACCAGCTGACTGAAAGCACCCGCAGCAACAAAAAGCGACTTTAACCTTAGTGATTGGGCTGGTGGATTTTCGTTTCGTGACAGGCAGCAGCAGCCTGTGCATTCCACAGCAGACGTGTGTGTGTGAGTGTTGGCCACAGCTGGGCCTTAAACTCAACTGCACATTTCACCAAGAACCAGACATGCTCCTTATTCCATTACATGGTGAGAATGCTGCTCTAGTGTGGATTTTTTTTTTTTTTGGAGACGGATTCTCGAGCTGTCACCCAGACTGGAGTGCAGTGGCATGATCTCGGCTCACTGCAACCTCCATCTCCTGGGTTCAAGCGATTCTCCTGCCTCAGCCTCCTGAGTAGCTGGGATTACAGGAGTGTGCCACCACACCCAGCTAATTTTTGTATTTTTAGTAGAGATGGGGTTTTGCCATGTTGGCCAGGCTGGTCTTGAACTCCTGACCTCAGGTGATCTACCCACCTCGGCCTCCCTAAGTGCTGGGATTACAGGTGTGAGCCACCGCGCCCGGGCTACTGTGGATGTTTAACATCTCCATTTCACAGGCGAGGAAGCTGAGGCTCAGAGGTGCGCAGCTCAGGAGTGGTGGATCAGGGCTCTGGACCCAGGAGTCCAACTGTGGGGCTCTCTGATACACTGTGCTATGGGAGAAGCTCCCAGAAGTCCTAGGCTAGGAGCCTCTAGGCGAGAGGGTTGTTCAAGTCTCTTCCCATTCCCTGACCCGTGAAGCATAGACTCTTGCCCCCAAGGCTGGGTCTTTTACCTCCTAAGGTCTTTTTTTTTTTTTTTTTTTTTGAGATGAGTCTCGCTGTGTCACTCGGCCTGGAGTGCAGTGGCACAATCTCAGCTCACTGCAACCTCCATCTCCCAGATTCAAGCAATTCTCCCGCCTCAGCCTCCCGAGTAGCTGGGATTACAGGCACCCGCCACCATGCCTGGCTAATTTTTGTAGTTTTAGTAGAGATAGGCTTTCACCATGTTGGCCAGGCTGGTCTTGAACTCCTGACCTAAGGTGGTCTGCCTGCTTTGGCCTCCCAAAGTGTTAGGATTACAGGCTTGAGCCACCGCACTCAGCCTCTTAAGGTCTTTTAATTTCTCAAAGGTCTAACTCGGCCAGGCGCGGTGGTTCACGCCTGTAATCCCAGCAATTTGGGAGGCCAAGGTGGGCGGATCACTTGAGGTCAGGAGTTTGAGATCAGCCTGGCCAACATGGTGAAACCCCGTCTCTACTAAAAATACAAAAATTAGCCAGGCATGGTGGTGGGCGCCGGTACTTCCAGCTACTCAGGAGGTTGAGGCAGGAGAATCAATTGAACCTGGAAGGCGGAGGTTGCAGTGAGCCGAGGTCGCGCCATTGCACTCCAGCCTGGGCAACAGAGCGAGATTCTATCTCAAAAAAAAAAAAAAAAAAGAGTCTAACTCTTTATTTTCAGCTGAGGGGATGAGCCCAGAGATCAGCATCAGGACCAGAGCTCAGTCCGCGGTGGCACTTCCTCCCCTGTCCCGGGCATCATTCCTCCCCTGTGGTTTGCCTAGAAAATTCTGACTTACCCCATGGGGAAGAAATGCTCCAGAACCTTCCCCAGGAGGAAAACAGCCCTTGGGTAAAGGGTCCTTCACAGCCAGCTCTTTTCTTTCCCACCAAGAGGTGGGACCACCTGGTGTGGAAGGTGGAGGCTGGCTGGGAAAACAACCCCTCCCCAGGTTTCCTCTGGCTGTGGAGCCGCGCGGAGGAAGAGGATGGGGCGTCAGAGCTCTCAGAACCGTGGCCTTGTGAAGTTTCTGAGCAGGCAGATGGGGCGGCGGGGGGTGATCTGGTCCCAGTCCCAGGAGGCCGCCCCGAAGCCAGCATCAAGGCGAAGGCCACGTACAGATCAAACGGCTCCTTGAACCGCGAGGAAGGGCTTGCCCCAGCTCCATCTGGACCAGCCCGCACCATTGTTAACACAGGTTGAAGCCTCATCCTTCCGCACATCTGAGGCTTGCGTTGACTCCTTCTGCCCTGGAATTCTTTTGTTTGCTGCTGAATAAATAAACTACATTTCTTTGGAATTTCTCCTTCTCCCTCAAAGCCTTTTCTCAGCTGATCTTGGAGAAAGGCGACACTCTTGTCCCCGTCATCTTTTCGAGCTGTGCTGGATGCAGGGAAGCGTATGGAGAGCTGGGCGCTGGATGCAGGGAAGCGTGTGGAGAGCTGGGCGCTGGATGCAGGGAAGCGTGTGGAGAGCTGGGCCGGAGAGCCGCGGTTTGGGCAGGTTTCTCTCTGCCCTTGGGCTTGGGGTCGGACAGGGACGTTCAAGGAGATGCTGGGTGGTACATGAGTCAACATTCTTAAATGTTATTAGTTAGGGATTTGAGGTTTTTGTTTCAATCTGTTTTCAAACAAACATTATCATTAGTGAATATCATCACCCAGGACAAGGCTAAAAATTTTTCGAGCTAATCAATTTAAAGAAAAATATTAAGTAGGCTGGGCGCGGTGATTCACGCCTGTAATCCCAGCACCTTGGGAGGCCAAGGCGGGCGGATCACCTGAAGTCCCCAGTTTGAGACCAGCCTGGCCAACATGGTGAAACCCCGTCTCTACTAAAAATACAAAAATTAGCTGGGTGTGGTGGCGCACACCTATTGTCCCAACTGCATGGGAGGCTGAGGCAAGAGAATTGCTTGAACCCGGGAGGCGGAGGTTGCAGTGAGCCGAGATCGCGCCACTGCATTCCAGCCTGAGTGACAGAGGGAGACTCCTCGAAAAAATAAAAAAGAAAAGAAAAATATTCAGTAGAAAGTTGTCCCATTGGCAGGCAGATACGTCAAAGTCTTCAGGATCTTGCCTGCATGACTGAATTTTGGGAACTTCCATTGAGCCCAACACCCTTATTTTATGGAGGAGGAAACAGGGTCCCAGAGCAGTGGTGACGCATTCAAAGTCAGAGAGAGCTAGCTGTGGACACACGAGCATCAACCCTGCAGAATCCTGTTTCCAGAACTGGAATCACAGCGCCTCGGCGGGGCTCTTTCCACTATGAGATTTCTTTTTCCTTGCAAATGAATCGCTGCACTAAACAATTTTGCTTGTCAAATTATGCTGATTTCTTTCTTTTCTTTTTTTTTTTTTTTGAGATAGGATTTCACTCTTGTCACCCAGGCTGGAGTGCAACAGCGCAATCTCAGCTCACTGCAACCTCCACCTCTGGGTTCAAACGATTCTCCTGCCTCAGCCTCCCGAGTAGCTGGGATTGCAGGCATGTGCCACGACACCCTGCTAATTTTGTATTTTTAGTGGAGGCGGGATTTCTCCATGTTGGTCAGGCTGGTCTCGAACTCCCGACCTCAGGTGATCCACCTGCCTCAGCCTCCCAAAGTGCTGGGATCACAGGCGTGAGCCTCCGCGCCCGGCCTGCTGATTTCAAATATGCAGCTTACCTTATGTTTTACTTCCAGCAAGATGTCCACCAGCCTCTGCAGCATCTGATGATGGGCCCCGAGCTGCGTGGCAGACACACAAGGGGTTAGCTGAAAAGGCAATGGGTGGCGGGGGGAAGCTCACTCCACTGTAAATACACCACGTTTTAAAAGCAATCCTAGGCCAGGCACGGTGGCTCACGCCTGTGATCCCAGCACTTTGGGAGGCCGAGGTGGGCAGATACCTAAGGTCAGGAGTTTGAAACCAGCCTGGCCAATATGGTGAAACCCTGTCTCTACTAAAAATACAAAAATTAGCTGGGTGTGGTGGCACACTCCTATAGTCCCAGCTACTGGGGAGGCTGAGGCAGGAGAATCACTTGAACCCAGGAGGTGGAGGTTGCAATGAGCCGAGACCACGCCACTGCACTCCAGCCTGTGTGACACAGCGAGTCCTGTCTCAAAAAAAAAAAGCAATCCTAATGATGGATCACCACTTTCTTCATTAGATCTACACCCCAGCAAGTGATTACCTTTAAAAACACGCCTATCACAGAAAGCATTCTCTCCCACGACAGCTTCCTTGTAATTTTGGTATTTCACAGAATTCCAGTGAACTAAATGCAGCTGAAACACAATGGAAAGAGAACTTAAATTGATCAGCAAGAAATAAGACAGTCACTTCCCCTTCTGAATGGCTGACCTATGTGTCCACTTAATCATAATGAAATGGCCAGGCGTGGTGGCTCACACCTGTAATCCCAGCACCTTGGGAGGCCGAGGTGGGTGGATCACGAGGTCAGGAGATCAAGACCATCCTGGCTAACATGGTGAAACCCCGTCTCTACTAAAAATACAAAAAAAAAAAATTAGCCGGGCATGGTGATGGGCGCCTGTAGTCCCAGCTACTCAGGAGGCTGAGGCAGGAGAATGGCATGAACCCAGGAGGTAGAGCTTGCAGTGAGCTGAGATTGTGCCTCTGCGCTCCAGCCTGGGTGACAGAGCGAGACTCCGTCTCAAAAAAAAAAAAAAAGAACTAAGTTGTTGCAGCCAGATGTGTAAGATCCCAGCACCAGCAGCACCTCTGAGCTCCCAGGCACTTGACGAAGCCATGGGAAGGAAGAGCCTCAGTCTTCCTGGTGGTGGGAAAAAGGAGAGGATCATGTTAACCTCATCCAATAGAAATGGGTGGTTTCATTATTTTCTACTTCCTAGTTATCCTTGGACAAGGATTACCAGAAAAAACTCAGGCCTCGGCTGGGCGTGGTGGCTCACGCCTGTAATCCCAGCACTCTGGGAGGCCGAGGCGAGTGGATCACGAGGACAGGAGTTCAAGACCCGCCTGGCCAAGATGGTGAAACCCCGTCTCTACTAAAACTACAAAAATTAGCTGGGCGCGGTGGCAGGTGCCTGTAATCCCAGCTACTCAGGAGGCTGAGGCAGGAGAATCACTTGAACCTGGGCAGCAGAGGTTGCAGTGAGCCAAGATCGCGAGATCATGCGATCGCGCCACTGCACTCCAGCCTGGGGAACAGAGTGATACTCAGTCTCAAAAATAAATAAATAAATAAAATATCTGTTCATCAAAAACAAAGTTGCAGATAGAGATACTAAAATAAAAGGCATGTTGTTAAATGAAAGGAAGCACACAGAAGCCATTGTTGTGCTCATTCTTGGAACTATTTATAAATATGTGTATGATGATGACAATAGATATCACTCCCTATTTATAAAATGTCCAGAGGTCACCTCTGGGTGTGCGATTACAAGCAATTTTCATTTTTTGGTTTGGGTGCACTCTAGTTCCACATTAACTGCAGCATTACTTTCATAACAACAACAAGTTCAAAAAACAGAAAGAGTCCTCAACTTGAAAAAGCATCAAGAAGTCAGGTGAGTGGGTGAGCAGAGGTGTGATAAAGTGAATATGGCAAAAATGATCATCACAGGACTGAGACGTCAAACTCATAGATTCTTCTCGTTCATTTCTTTTCATTTTTTCATATGTTGCAAAAATTTCATAATAAAATATTTGGGGAAATCTATAAGGCATCACTTATCACCCAAAAAAACTACAAAAACCAATTCCCAGCATTGATCCGCACTCATTTTCTCTACTGACTCCCACTTTGGAATGTTGAAAATAAGACTGCTTTAAGAAGATGATCTTGGCTGGGTGCAGTGGCTCACGCCTGTTATCCTAGCATTTTGGGAAGCTGAGGTGGGTGGATCACTTGAGGTCAGGAGTTCGAGACTAGCCTGGCCAACATGGCAAAACCACATCTCTACTAAAAATACAAAAATTAGCAGGGCCTGGTGGCACGCACCTGTAATCCCAGCTACTCGGAAGGCTGAGGCAGGAGAATCGCTTGAGCCTGGGAGACGGAGGTTGTGGTGAGCCAAGATTGCACCAATGCACTCCAGTCTGGGTGACAGAGTGAACCCTGTTTCAAAAAAACAAAAAACAAACAAACAAAAGAAGATGATCTCTATTGCAAAGATGTTCAGCTTCTCAGCGGAGGGCCTTGTGGATTTGCTAGTCCCTACAGCTGCAAGCACACAGCTGAGTGAAGCGTGGCAAAGAGCTCAAGCTCTGACTTTGAATCCCAGCTGTCTGGCTTTGGCAAGTTCCGTAACCATTCAGAACCTCAGTCTCTTCTTCCGTTAAATGAGAGAACTTAAAGTGCCTTCTTCGTAGGAGAGGAGTGTGACTAAACGGGTGGGGCGGCCGACGGTTCTGGTTTGAGCACTGACAGTCCCAGGCCCCAGGAAATCCTTCACATCTGAGCGGCAGGCATGGCTTGTTCGCCCCCCACCATAGAGCCGGAGACATGGAAAGCGTCCAGATATGTGCCGTTAGGCCACGTCTACAAACCTCTGCGGGGTACACGTGGCCGTCCACTGTGTGCTCTGAGCCCCCCTCATTCACTGCTCCCCAGTGGAAGTGAAATTGCTTCAGTCTGTAGTGGTTTTCCAAGGGCCCGCCACTAATTCCTGGAAATAAAGGCAGCGAGACGTGTGTGTCATTTTGTCTGTTTGTTGAGCTGTGGTGTTACCTGAGGCATTGTCTACATTAGGGTTATATGAGTTCACTCGCAAGGGGTTGCTGTATGGTTGAAGTGACAAGCCAAAGGTGGGCTCCGTGAAAGGTGGGCTCTGTCTGTCCCATTCACTCTGCCCCCCGCCAGCCCAGCGCCTGCCCAGAGGTTCACAGTAAATGTGGAATGAAGGCAGGGTCCCAGTGCTGCCACTGGGTGGTGGTGAGGGCCTCATCTCCCTGCAGGCAGAAATCGATAAAGAAAGTTTCTGAGATGCCTGCCTGTCCTATAAGATTTCCAGACTTTAATTTAAAAAAAAAAGATGTCTTCCAAATATTTTTTAAAAGCAGCTTAAATCCTATCACCAAATAACATTATAAAATAACACAATGAGCAAAGTTTTTGTTTTGTTTTATTTTAAGACAGAATCTTACTCTATCGCCCAGGCTGGAGTACAATGGCATGATCTCAGCTCACTGCAACCTCCACCTCTGGGTTCTAGCGATTCTCCTGCCCCAGCCTCCTGAGTAGCTGGGATTACAGGCATGTGCCACCAGGCCAAGCCAATTTTTGTATTTTAAGTAGAGACAGGGTTTCACCATGTTGGCCAGGCTGGTCTCAAACTCCTGATCTCAGGTGATCCACTCGCCTCTGCCTCCCAAAGTGCTGGGATGACAGGTGTGAGCCACCGCTCCTGGGTGAGCAAGGTTTTTAAATAAGCAGACCCTGAGCTATAGCATCAGTCCTGATCTCTGGCAGTCCCTGCTTAATCTAGGCCCACCACAGGGCCAGCTTTTATTGGAACACTCCTTCCGTCCTAAGTCACCCTAAACACTCGCCTTGGAGTCAGCGCTCTCCACCTGCAGGACTTGGGGTGCCCCTCTCCATGGCACAGTGCCAGGTGCAGCCTCCCAGGAGCTTCCTTCTCCTGACACGTGGGGCTCAGCCATAAGCATCGCTCACTGAGGCCTCTGGCTCTGCCTCACAGAGTCATGGCTGCCATCCCCAGGTCCAGGTAGTGCTGGGAGTCTGCCTTTTAACGAGCTCCCCAGGGGTTCTGATGTGGGTGGCTTCTCCTGTGTCTAAGCACTTTGTCACTAACAGATTTCCATCAACAGCTGCTACAAATGTGGTACCTATTCCACACGTTTTCATTGAAAGGAGCACAGTGTGCTCCTGGGATGGCTGGGCAAGGCTGGAAGGCGCCAGCAGAACTGGAGCACTGATCACGAATTCGCGGTGGCCCGAGTGCCTCCCGTAGCTGTGGAGGAGCCTCGTGTCACCCGCCTTGCTCATGTCACCTCCCGCTGTGGCAAAAGCCAGGAAAGCACTGAGCGCATGACGAATGCCTTGGGGAGCTTGACACTGCTGACTCCTGGTGGTTTCCTGACACCAAAAGTACTTGGGCTGGGCGTGGTGGCTCACACCTGTAGTCCTAGCACTTTGGGAGGCCGAGACGGGTGGATCACTTGAGGTCAGGAGTTAGAGACCAGCCTGGCCAACGTGGTGAAACCCATCTCTACTAAAAATACAAAAATTAGCTGGGTGTGGTGGCGGGCGCCTGTACTCCCAGCTACTCAGGAGGCTGAGGCAGGAGAATTGCTTGAACCTGGGAGGTGGAGGTTGCAGTGAGCTGAGAACGTGCCACTGCACTCCAGCCTGGGCGACAGAGTGAGACTCAGTCTCAAAAAAAAAAAAAAAAAAGTACTCATAGTTGGAGGCACCAAGGTGTAAACTGGAAAATGGAAAATGGATTTGGCTTTGGTCCAGTCAGGGGCTAGGCAAGTGCTGGACCAAGCCACAGAGCTGCTCACTGCCCCTCTTCACTCAAAATCTCAGTGTTGGTCTGGAGCAACCTCGGAGTCATATGTAGTTTTAAAATTCTACCATTATGAGCAAGTCTTCTATTCTCCTTAAATATACACAGATGAATTACATCTCAATTTTTAAAAATACACAGAAAGAGTGCTTCACACAATCAGCACATAAAATCACTTTGTTAGGCCAGGCACAGTGGCTCACGCCTGTAATCCTAGCACTTTGGGAGGCCAAGGCAGTTGTATCACTTGAGATCAGGTGTTCAAAACCAGCCTGGCCAACATGCTAAAACCTTGTCTTTACTAAAAATACAAAAAATTAGCCAGGTGTGTTGGTGGGTGCCTGTAATCCCAGCTACTTGGGAGGCTGAGGCAGGAGAATCGCTTGAACCTGGGAGGTGGAGGTTGCAGTGAGCCGAGATCGTGCCAATGCACTCCAGCCTGGGCGATAGAGCGAGACTCTGTCTCAAAAACAAAACACAGGCGTGAGCCACTGTGCCTGGCCTCCAAAACACAATGTAAGGAACTTACAGAACCACAAAATGCAAGCACGGTGAGCTCTGTGCTCGCTTCGCCTCGGCCTGTGTCCGTGGTAGAAAGGGGGTTTGCAGCCTACCAGCCCCAGCGGCATCAAAGTGCATTGATGGGTGGCTGAGGGTGGAGCCTGCCAGGGGGTCTGCCTCTCGCTCTTGGGATGGGCTCACTCATGATAAGTTTACTGTGTGGAAATTCATGCATGTCTGTATCATCTCTTCTAGAATAGAAATGCCTAGAAGGCAGGGATGATGGATGCTTCATGGACAAGTTAGACTGGACCCAGCCTGGTAGATGTCATTTGTAAGACTGAGTTAAGTCCCATCCAGTTGCACTCTTAGGACAGAGGCTGTTTCTGGGCTGGGCATGGTGGCTCACGCCTGTAATCCCAGCACTTTGGGAGGCCAAGGTGGGAGGATCACCCAAGGTCAGGAATTCAAGACCAGCCTGACCAACATGGTCAAATCCCACCTCTACTAAAAATACAAAAAATTAGCCACGTGTGGTGGCAGGTGCCTGTAATCCCAGCTACTTGGGAGGCTGAGGCAGGAGAATTGCTTGAACCTGGTAGGCGGAGGTTAAAGTGAGCCAAGATCGCGCCACTGCACTCCAGCCTGGGCAACAAGAGCGAAACTCAGTCTCAAAAAAAACCAAAAACAAACAAACAAAAATGGCTGTTTCCGTCTGGACCATCACTGTATCAACACGACTTAGTGCAGGAAGGGGTCATTGAAGGCACACAACGAACCCTCACGGGATGAATGAATACAGGAATGAATGGGATTAGTCAGTTCATTGATTTATTCATCGAATCACTCGGTCGGTAAGCAGCTCTGTGTGTTACAGTGGAATCGAGCCTTTCCCACGGCAGTTTGGGAACCGCCTGGGATTTCTAGGAAAGTCCACAGAACACAGAAATAGTTAAAGACCTGGATTTGCAACTCAGCTCTGCTTCTAACTTGCTGTGTGACCCTGGGCAAGTAGCTTAGCCTCTCTGAGCCTAAGCCTCTCTACCTGTTAAACGAGAAGAGCGGGAAGGATAAATGGAGACAAGGCAGGAGGCATTTTGTAAAGTGTTGTCTGATGATGGCAGTGGTGGTGATTGTGCATCGCACACCATTCAGGGGCTCCGCAGCTTCATCTGTGTAAAGAGAGTTACTACACGTTTCTCCTGGTCCCAGCTCAAGCACTCTAGGGTTCTACGTAGGCACATAAATAGGGTTCCAAAGAGCGACGCCAACTGCATAAGGCATAAGTCCACTGACAGCCGATGCCTGCCAGACCCCCACCCACAAAACCTAGTAGAAAAGTCACCCTCCAGAATGTGGCCAACCAACAAGGGCCAGGAACAGGAGCTGCTGGGACCAGAAGGGACTTGTGAGCCCTGAGCCTCTGCAGGGTAAGGTGCTGTGCTAACTCTGGGGCTAGAAGACTTTCCCAAGGGTTTCCAGCAGGGCTGGAGCCCACAGGCATCTCTTCACCTTTCCCGACCCCGAGCTGTCCCAGAATTCTTCTTCTTCTTTTTTTTTTTTTTTTTTTTGAGACGGAGTTTCACTCTGTCGCCCAGGCTGGAATGCAGTGGCGTGATCTCAGCTCACTGCAACCTCCGCCTCCCGGGTTCAAGAGATTCTCCTGCCTCAGCCTCCCAAGTAGCTGGTACTACAGGTGGGCACCACCACACCCGGCTATTTTTTTTTTTTTTTGTATTTTTAGTAAAGACGGGGTTTCACCATGTTGGCCAGGATGATCTCGATCTCCTGACCTCATGATCCGCCCCCCTTGGCTTCCCAAAGTGCTGGGATTACAGGCGTGAGCCACCGTACCCAGCCTGTCACAGAATTCTTTACTGCGGCAGCCTCTGATGGGCTGGATCCTCCGCCTCTCTACTCATTGGAGTAAGAGACAAGTCAGCCCTTTCCAATCTGCCTCCTGAGGGGAACCATGGGGCCCTCGGGACATGCGGCCCCTCCTCAGGCTGGCTCGGGGCATCTGCACCCCTGTACCTGAGCAAGGGACTTGCTTGAAACGGCGGCCACCCTGGGCTGGGGACCAAGCACGCTCAGGGGAAAACCCAAAAAGGCTACTGTGTCTCACTGGCTCTATGATACGCAAATGAGGAGGGAAGCGAAACGTTCGTTCTTCTAAGAGGGTAACTGCAAAGGAAGTCTGGGCCGCTGCGTTTTCGGGAACAGCAGGTGCGGTGGCCGATGGATAACTCGGGCTGGGCTGGAGCGGCCCCTGGTGGCAGTTCGGTGAAGAGGCACCCGGAACCTGGCAACGTGGCCCGCGCGGGGCGCACGCATATCAGGAAGACACAGAGGCCTTTTTACTGAAAATGCCAGCGGGTGCGGATTCCACAGGCTCCTCTTCAGCATCAGTCTAGTGTGGGATTCATACACCTTGAGCCTCTTTCAAGGTGAAACAGAGAATCTCACTGAAAACTTTAAATCCCACTGTAAATTCCAAAATTAGACCTGCGCCGCGAAGACCGCCCACCAGCAAAATGCCAAGCGTATTTCTTTAAAAACTGGAAAGCCGTGTTTCGCTGCTCTTCCTGTAGACAATACAGCATGGGGGCAGGAGTGGGGTCTGGAGTCGGACGCACGTTCAGAGGCTGGGGTCACTTCTCCCAAACCGTGTGCAGTCGGACGCACGTTCAGAAGCTGGGGCCGCCACTCCCAAACTGTGTGCTCTAGGTCCAGCTTTTGCACCCCTCCTAGCCTCAGTTTCCCCATCTGTAAAGTGGGGATGATCCTTGAACCCCCACCATAGGACTGCTGTTACGATTAAGTCACATGGGAAATACGAAGTCCTTAGCACAACGCTTGACATAAAGGAAGCACTCTAAAACAAACAAACAAACAAACAAAAAACAACGAACTGGAAGCCACTGAAGCCTTCATGGGGTGAAACAGCTGATTAAGGGGCAAAGGCTCTCGCTGGCCAGGTTCTGGCGTGTCCCGGGCACCACGCATCCTGTCCATGAGCTCACGTCGTTGTCGTGATGGAGAAGGCTTGGTGCATACCAGAGTGCGGCGGAGGAGCTGGCCTTCACTGGGCACCTGCTACCTGCTGGGCATTGCGAGGTAACTTTATGTTCCTCCCAGGATGAACTCCTCACAATGGCCCTACAGAGCAGGTCCTGTGAGTCCAACTTTGAGATGAGGAAATTGAGACGCAGAGAGGTTCGGTCACCTGCCCCATTTTAGCCGGCAACCTCACCCAGGTCTGACGGTCCAGGCCCTCAGCTTTTGTAGTAGGGTTCAGGCCAAACTCTGCTACTTGCCTTGCCAGTAAAGTTAGGGACCCAATTTAAGGCTGCAGACCTGGATAAAATAATCTCAAAGTGACTTCTTTTTTTTTTAGGTGGAGTCTCACTCTGTCACCCAGGCTGGAGTGCGGTAGGGTGCTCTCGGCTCACTGCAACCTCTGCCTCCCAGGTTCCAGTGATTCTCCTGCCTCAGCCTCCTGAGTTGCTGGGACTACAGACAAGTGTTACCACACCCCACTAAATTTTGTTTTTGTTTTTGTTTCTTTGAGATGGAGCCTTGCTCTGTCACCTGGGCTGGAGTGCAATGGCCAGATCTTGGCTCACTGCAACCTCCACCTCCTGAGCTCAAGCGATTCTCTCACCTCTGCTTCCCGAGTAGCTGGGATTATAAGCACCCACCAGCATGCCCAGCTAATTTTTGTATTTTTAGTAGAGGCAGGGTTTCACCATGTTGGCCAGGCTGGCCTTGAACTCTTGACCTCAGGGGATCTGCTGCTTCAGCCTCCCAAAATGCTGGGATTACAAGCATAAGCCACTGTGCCAAGCCTAAAGTGACTTTTCGTAATGACAATACAATGTCAGGATATTCTCCTTAATCAAAAAAAAAAAAAAAAAGGCAAGCCCAATTCACGAAAAGGGGTCTTTAAGCTGCCAGCCCCCATCCCCCAGACTCTGCTATCGGCAGGGCTGGTCCACCGGGCAGCACTGGCCACTGTTGCCTCAGCGTTCTGTGCAAGCAGGTGCGTCAGAACCGGCTCATGGAGATATAATTGAACGATTGCCTCAGCGCGTGCCAGACTCTCCAAACATAATAACAGATGACGTTTGGGGTCGGCTCCAGGCTGTGACGTGCTGGCCCCAGAGAATATTGTCTCTGCTATTACAACAGATGCTGTTAATAGCTATCTATTTGTAGTTCGGGGCTTTTACCAAGATGAGCAGGCTTTTGGCAGGCACGGGTTGTTTGAAGGCTTAAAATTAGTACAAGAGAAGTTTGAGATGTTCTAATTACTGGAAATTTCAAATAACACGATGCCGCAAGGGACCGGTCTGCTTCCGGTGCCACTCTCGGGGGTAATGCACGTTCCCAAGCTGTAAATGGGGAAGGCTGAGGGCTTCTGTGTGCCACCTCCCCAGGCAGGCAGGGGCCGCAGCCACTGCAAGCCCCTGCCCACAGAACTCCGCGATGACGGAACCTAGACTGCTCCCTGGAAGTTAGCCTCTGAGACCATCACATATTGGCACTGGTTTGAAAGCCAGGCAAATGTGGGCTCCAATCCTGGCTTCACACGGTGGGGCTTTGCAAGTTGTTTTATAGGTCTGTGGCCCAGACTAGACATTTGTAAAAGGATAATGATGCCTATGGCAAGGATTGAGTACTGTGATGCTTACAAAGTACCTCCCTAACAGTCCCTGGCATGCAGTGAGAGCTCAAATAATGGTAGCCACTTACTATTATTATGACTGGTGTTATTGTTATTATTAAAATTACTGTCATCGCCCAGGCACGGTGGCTCACACCTGTAATCCCAGCACTTTGGGAGGCTGAGGCGGGCAGATCACTTGAGGTCAGACGTTTGAGACCAGCCTGGGCAACATGGTGAAACCCGGTCTCTACTAAAAATACAAAAATTAGCCGGGGGTGGTGGCACGCGACTGTAGTCCCAACTACTTGGGAGGCGGAGGTGAGAGAATCGCTTGAAGCCGGGAGGTGTGGAGGTTGCGTCACTGCACTCCAGCCTGGGCGACAGAGGGAGACTCCATCTCAATAAATAAATAAACAATAAAATAAAATAAAATTGCTATCATCACTGGCATCGTCATCATCTCACTACAGCAGAGATCCGCAGTTCCCCGAAACAAATACCACGAGTCTCAAGGTAAGACCTGCACGTAAGGATGTCGAAAGATAAATATGTCTTAAGAACATGTCCATGAGAAGGGGCTTTGCCAGCCATGCAAGCATAAAAGAAGAAAAGTCCCTCATTCATCCAAAAACACCCGCTGAGTTTCTCCCGCGTGCCGGGCACCACGCTCAGTACGGGGGACAGAGGGAGGAGGCTCTAGGCTCTGACTTGCCCTTGCAGAGCTTGGAATCCAGGAGTGTCAGACGGTGGTAGAGATAAAAAGCTGTGTGTCTGAGAGGTGAGGGCGTGGGCTTTGGGGCCCTAAACTTGCTTGGGACGCCCGGGAGGGCCCCCGTGGAAGCGGCGTTTCAGTGGAGCCCTGAAGATGGGTTTCTATTTGTCAGGTGAAGATAATGGCAGCTCCAGGCAGAAAGGGACGACCAGCGGAAAGGACCCTGGTGAGAGCAGCCACCACGACGGAACAGGCAGAAGCACCAGCTGGCAAAGGCACTGTCAGGGGCAGCGGGAGATGGGATTGGAAGGGCAACAGGGTTGGCGCCCGTGGTGGCAAAAGGAAGGGGGGCCTTCGCCAACAAACCCCAACAGGGTTTTTTTTTTTTTTTTTTTTTTTTGAGACAGAGTCTTGCTCTGTCACCCAGGCTGGATGCAGTGGTACAATCTTGGCTCACTGCAGCCTCTGCCTCCTAGGTTCAAGCTATTCTCCTGCCTCAGCCTCCTGTAGCTGGGATTACAGGCACGCACCACCACAACTGGCTAATTTTTGTATATTTAGTAGAGACAGGGTTTCACCATGTTGGCCAGTCTGGTCTCAAACTCCTGACCTCAGGTGATCCACCTGCCTCGGCCTCCCAAAGTGCTGGAATTATAGGCGTGAGCCACCACAACCTGGGGAGGTCAATGCTGCAGTGAGCTGTGACGCAGCACTGTAGTCCAGCCTGGGTGACACAGTGAGATCTTGTCTCAAAAAAAAAAGTATTCAGCAAAATATATATTTGAAATAAATTTCATACCTACGAGTAAGTTTTCTAATATCCAATTATTATTTTACTGTTAACATGCTCAGAACTGTATAGCTCAGGGGTATGATTCTTCCCACTGACATTTTCAAAAGATGGTTTATGATTCCTTGATACAGTTACAGAAATGTTGGTTCTGCAGGGAAGATTATTTTACTACATTTTATAGATTTATTTATTTAATAGTGACCCAAAGATATACTATCCAGCAGCCAGTGAATGTAATGGTTAAGTTTGTTGTTAATGGAGATCTATAACTGGGGTAATTAATTGGGCAAGAAAACCAACATATGATCTCTTCTAGTTATCTGGGATAAGGTACTTCATGTAGTAAAGTTAGAAATGGGTTGTCTTAATTGTTTTATACATCCAACTCATATTAAAATTTGTGCCTGGGTGCAGTGGCTCATGCCTGTAATTCCAGCACTTTGGGAGGCCTAGGCGGGCAGATGACTTGAGCCCAGGAGTTTGAGACCAGCCTGGGCAACATGGTGAGACCCCATCTCTACAAAAATACAAAAATTAGCCAGGTGCAGTGGCGCCCGCCTGTAGTCCCAGCTACTCAGGAGGCTGAGGCTGGAAAATCACGAGCCCAGGAAGCAGAGGTTGCGATGAGTCAAGATCATGTCACTGTGCCCAGGCTGGGTGACAGTGAGACCTTGTCTCAAAAAAAAAAAAAAAAAAAAAAAACTTGCAACACAAGTCCACATTTTGCACAAAGAAGAAACAATGACAATGAAGTTCTAGTATATGAAAGGAAAAGGGCTATTCCTTCCACTCAGCCCACTAAGCATGCTTGCATTCTTTCTTCAGCAAACATTTTTGAGTGCCTACTGGTATTAGCACTGAGCTGGGAACTGGGATACAAAGAGTCCTAATATATATATATATATATATATATATATATTTTAAGAGACTTGCGGTATTGCCCAGGCTGGGATGCACTGGCATGACATGATCATACCTCACTGCAGTCTCTTGGGCTCAAGCGATCCTCCCACTTCAGTCTCCCAGGTAGCTAGGACACGGGTGCATACCACCATGCCTGGCTAATTTTTTTTTTTTTTTCAGATGGAGTCTCACTCTGTCACTCAGGCTGGAGTGCAGTGGCGTGACCTTGGCTCACTGCAACCTCCACCTCCTGGGTTCAAGAAATTCTCCTGCCTCAGCCTCCTGAGTAGCTGGGATTACAGGTGTGTGCCACCACGCCCAGCTAATTTTTGTATTTTTTGTAGAGACAGGATCTCACCATGTTGCCCAGGCTGGTCTTGAACTCCTGGGCTCAAGTCATCCACCAGCCTCAGCCTCCCAAAGTGCTGGGATTATAGGCATGAGGCACCCCACCCAGCTCTTAAAACTAATTTTAAAACTGCTTTTTGAAAACAAGTGCTTTCCATATTTACTAAAGCAACAACCTGGAAATTCTCAGGCAAGAACTGGCTCCTGCTTGTTTAATGACCTCTTTTCATATTAGGACTAAATTGGTGGTTTTATGCCATGTTAAAGATTAGGCTACTTAGGGAGAAACGAGCTAATCTTATGTATTATACTTGGGGCTGGTGGACTTTGTTCTTTCAAAGTATCAATTCTGTATCATACTCTTGATTCTGCTGTAGCTCTGAAATGCTCCATTGTAAGTTTCTTATTCTTTTTCTTTGTTTGTTTTTTCTTTTTAAAGGCATGGCCTCACTGTGTTGCCCAGGCTAGAGTGCAGTGTCAGATCATAGCTCACTGCAGCCATGACTTCCGGGGCTCAAGCAATCCTCTCCTCTCAGCCTACTGAGTAGCTGGGACTATGGGAACATGCCACCATTTCCAGCTAATTATTATTATTATTATTTTTTGGTAGAGACAGGTCTCACTATGTTGCCCAGGCTGGTCTGAAACTCGTGGGTTTAAGCAATCCTCCCTCCTTGGCCTCCCAAAGTGTTGGGATTGTAGGCGTGAACCACTATGCCCAGCTGTAAATTTTTGTATTAATGTTTTTCCATATTATTGACCTATAAAGCCATTGAAGCATAGTGCCTTGAAAGGAAAGCAAAAAAGTAAAAATAATAATAATTTAAAAAACCCTCCTCTGAATTGCTCATGTAGCCTACTATTGGGTCAACTAGAAGAGTGAGAAATAGCCAGCAGTTAGAACATTCCACATATTCTGAGTGTCAAATTTTATTACTTTGGTGAGACATGACTTCCCGCTTTCAGCACTATGGGTTTTTTGTTTGTTTGTTTTCAAGATGAAGTCTTGCTCTGTCACCCAGGCTGGAGTGCAGTGGCGCGATGTTGGCTCACTGCAACCTCTGCCTCCCAGGTTCAAGTGATTCTCCTGCCTCAGCCTCCTGAGTAACAGGGATTACAGGCGCATACCACCACACCCAGCTAATTTTTGTATTTTAGTCGAGACCGGGTTTCACCATGTTGGCCAGGCTGGTCTCGAACTCCTAACCTCAAGTGATCTGCCTGCTTCGGCCTCCCAAAGTGCTGGGATTATAGGTGTTAGCCACTGTGCCCGGCCAGCACTATGTATTTTAGAAGACAATATTAAAAAACATGCACAAATTACAACTCCAAAAAATTGTGTACATATAATCGTATTCATTTGTTAGGATTGCTGAAATGAACATTGGGATAATCACTGTGTCTTTGACAAGGTTCTTTAAATTAAGTCCAGTTGCTAACTGTAATGAACATGAGTACTTGTGGCATTCTAAATTATTAAAAATATTTGGCCCAAAAGATTATGGCTCATGCCTGTAATCCCAGCACTTTGGGAGGCTGAGGCAGGAGTGTCGCTTGAGCCCAGGGGTTTGAGACCAGCCTGGGAAACATTTTTTGTAGAAACAAGGTCTCACAGTTGCCCAGGCAGGTCTTGAACTATTAGATACTTGATGGGATTTGTCAGAGGCGATCCCTTCCAGTTGAGAGTGTCTTAACTCATTTCTACTAAAAGCATATGACCATCTTCTTAGAAACTGAGGTTTTTCCTTCTGATAAATTTGTATTAGAGACACCATTTTATTTATTTTTATTTTATTTTATTTTTGAGACAGAGTCTCGCTGTTTCACCCAGGCTGGAGTGCAGTGGTGTGATCTCAGCTCGCTGCAGCCTCTGCCTCCTGGGTTCAAGTGATTCTCCTGCCTCAGCCTCCCAAGTAGCTGGGACTACATGCATGAGCCTTAATGCCCAGCTAATTTTTTTTTTTTTGTACTTTTAGTAGAGACAGAGTTTCACCATGTTGGCCAGGCTGGTCTCAAACTCCCGACCTCAAGTAATATGCCTGCCTTGGCCTCCCAAAGTGCTGGGATTACAGGCATGAGCCACCGCGCACTGCCACCATTTTATCTTGAAGAGATTTTTAGTTCATATCTAAGTAAAAAATCCTCAGCTCCAAACTCACTAGCTGTGTAACTTTGGCCAATTTAATTAACCTGTCTAAGCCTCAGTGTCTTCTTCAGGGGTGTTGTGAAATTAGTAGCAATGAGGGAAATGTTCCAACAGGGTGCTATGGATTAAATTTTGTCTTCCCCAAATTCATATGTTGAAGCCTTAAACCCTAAAGAGATGCTGTTTTGAGATGAGGCCTTTGGAGGTGATTAGGTTTAGTTGAGGTGATGAGGGTGGGCCTGCATGATGGGATTAGTGTCCTCATAAGAAGAGACATGAGGCTGAGCACAGTGGCTCATGCCTGTAATCCCAGTGCTTTGGAAGGCTGAGGCGGGTGGGTCACAAGGTCAGGAGATGGAGACCATCCTGGCCAACATGGTGAAACCCTGTATCTACTAAAAGTACAAAAATTATCTGGGCGTGGTGGGGTGTGCCTGTAGTCCCAGCTACTCAGCAGGCTGAGGCAGGAGAATATCTTGAACCCGGGAGGTGGAGGTTGCAGTGAGCTGAGATCGCACCACTGCACTCCAGCCTGAGGGACAGAGCGAGACTCTGTCTCAAAAAAAAAAAAAAAGAAGAGACATGAGAGAGCTCTCTTTCTCTCTCTTTCTCCCCCCATTCCCCTTCCTTCTCCCTCTCCCTCCTTCTCCCTCCCTCTCCCTTATCCTCTTCCCTCCTTTTCTCTCTCCCATACAAGAAGCTAGTTTCCTGTCTACAAGCCAGGTAGACAGTCTTCACTAGAATCCAACCATGCTGGCACCCTGATCTCAGACTTCCCAGCCTTCATAACTGTGAGAAATAAATGTCTGTTGTTTAAGCCACCTAGGCCGGGTCTTGGGGCTCACAATATAATCCTGGCGGTTTGGAAGGCCAAGGTGGGAGGAGGCTGAAGCCCAGAGTTCAAGACCCGCCTGGGCAACGGTGAGACCTTGTTTCTACAAAAAAAAGTTTAAAAAAATTAGCTGGGCTTGGTGGTGTGTTCTTGTAGTCCTAGCTGTTTGGGAGGCTGAGATGGAAGGCTCACTTGAGTCTGGGAGATTGAGGCTACAGTGAGCTATGATTGGTCTACTGCACTCTAGCCTGGGTGACAGAGCAAGGCCCTCTTAATAAATAAATATATAAATAGCTACCCAACCTGTACTATGATATTTTGTTATGGCAGCCCAAGCTAAGACATAGAGCCAGGCAAATAGTAAGCCTTCGATGCATCTCACACCATTATTCTTAAAAGGGACATGTCAGGCTGAGCCCAGAAAGGAGAAATTCCCTCTCTATTCTTGAAGTAGCAACAGTTTATAGGGACTCAAGTTTTCTTTTCACGAATTCGAAAGAAACTATACGGACACATTCACCTTACTGAGGTTTCTCTGGCCTTGTCCATTCTGAGCTCCTGTTTTTTCTGCAGAGGTGCTCATTGATACTGACTTGGTGATCTTGAAAGGATTCTCTGTATTTCTCTTTTTTTAAATAGAGATAGGGTCAGTCTTGCCATGTTTACCAGGCTGGTCTGAAACTCTTGGCCTCAAGTGATCCACCTGCCTCAGCCTCCCAAAGTGTTGGGATTACAGGTATGGACCACTGCGCTGGGCCAGGGTTGTCTGTTTTTATATGAATGACCATAAAGTTATTTCACTGATGCCATCAGGAAGCAACCTTATTAATTTTATGTATTTTTGAGCTGATGTTGATAGCAGAAGAGTGGAAAGGAGTCAGACTTTGCTTTAGTCTCGTGATGTAGAAGATCCTAAAGATAGGATTCAAGGTGAGAGTATGATCATTTATATGGCCCTCTTCACCTCACAGAGCTGAATTTACCAATAATTTGGCAGGTATAAGCTAGGAAAATGAAGTAAAAGGGTCCAGACAGTAATATTTTAGAATTCTGTTACCTGCGGGTGGATACTTTCTTCTTTTGAGAATAGAAGATTAGGCTGGGTGCAGTGGCTCATGCCTGTAATCCCAGCACCTTAGAAGGCTGAGGCAGGCAGATCACTTGAGTCTAGGAGTTTGAGACCAGCCTGGGCATCATAGCAAGACCCCGTCTCTACTAAAAATACAAAAAAAAAAAAGTAGCTGGCTGTGGTGGTGTGTGCCTGTAATACCAACTACTCAGGAGGCTGAGGTAAGAGAATCACTTGAACCCAGGAGGTGGAGGTTGCAGTGAGCCAAGATTGTGCCACTGCACTCCAGCCTGAGTGACAGAGCAAGACTCTGTCAGAAAAAAGAAAGAAAAGAGAGAGAGAGAAAGGAAGAGGGGAAGGGAAGGAAGGGAAGGAAGGAAGAGAGAGAGGAAGGAAGGAAGAGAGAGAGAGGAAGGAAGGAAGGAAAAGGAAGGAAGGAAGGGAACAGAAGATTAGTTGAGCATAGTGGCTCAGTGCCTGTAATCCCAGCACTTTGGGAGGCCGAGGTAGGCAGATCATTTGAGCCTAGGAGTTCAAGACCAGCCTGGGAAACATGGCAAAATCCCATCTCTACAAAAAATAGAAAAATTAGCTGGGCATTGTGGCATGCATCTGTAGTCCCAGCTACTTGTGGGGCTGATGCAGGAGGGTCACTTGAGCCCAGGAGGCAGAGGTTGCAGTGAAGTATGATTATGCCACTGCACTCCAGCCTAGGTGGCAGAGTGAGACTCTGTCTCAAAAAAAAAAAAAAAAAAAAGAAGATTGTGAGCAAAAATTGAATGCAATTTTTTTCATAAGCAGAGGTGTAATGGTTATTATTACAAAAGATGATATTAAATTTATTTATGTATTATCTCTTTGCCTCCACCAGAATGTAAGCTTTGTTGAAGGCAAGGATCATTGTTGATTTATTTACTCTGTATCCCAGGCATCTAAAACAGTAAGTGTGCAATAAATATTTGTTGAATGAATCAAAGCATAAGCAAGGCTTCAGATTCATTTTTCTATCAGAGATTCATTTAAAAATGTTAAGGAAATGAGAGGTGAAGACATCCTAAAGGCATAATACTCAAAGTAGTCAGTAGGTTCATTGATAACCCAGAGGAAAATATATAATATTATAGAGGAAAAGAAATTCTCTGAAATCATGGCATCTCTCCTAGCTTGGGATAACATTTTAGCAGAAAGACCGAAGAACTCTTCCAAGAAACATCAAGCAATTAAATGAAGTAGTAGAAAAATCACCAGTACTTTAAAGTAGATGAAGCCATTAAAATAGTTGCAGCTTCAGTAATCACCATGTAAGCCTGTAAGTGGTGGGTCTTAGACCACAACATGGTAGTTATCAAATTGCTTTATTCATCGAAATGTTCATTCTCCTGGCTGCCCTTGAACTTCCAGCCTAAGGCTTTCTCTCTGCAGGGTTGTCAGCATGCTCATGCAAGGCTTTGCCTCTGCAGATTATCAGAGGTGTACTCCATGCCCCTCTCACCATGAAAAAAGGGAGAAAAAGACAATTTCGTCTCAGAGATAGAAAATCTCCCAGAGAGAACCCCTGGCAGCTGGAATCCATTTTTTTCCCCCTGAAGCTGGAATCTGTTATAACTACAGAACACTGAAGGATAATGAGGTTCTGCTGCTAAGCAAATGCTGGGACAAAAAGCACAGAGGTGCTGCAGCCAGGCAGAGACTGGGCTTTTCATGAAACCCTGTGTCTCTGAGCACATATTGCAATAATTCTCTGACTAGCTGCTCAAGGCCTTGGCTTCGTGGCTTTTTACTCCGTTTAAAGGTCTTGATCAGGCCACTTCCGTTTTTAATGTTTGAGAAATGTCTGATTTATGCTGCTTCAAAGTGGAACTTGGGTTTCTATTACCTTTTTGGCACCTTGCACCCATTGTTGGCCTAATTCTGCTGTCTCGTCTATCTTGTGGTTCCTATCAGTAAACAAAGTCCAGGAGAGGCGTCATGCTTGTGAACACCTCCAACATCAAGTTCAAAAGTACAATCATGACCTTGTCCTGTCGTTCTCAGAATCTGGGCTCAGCTATTTCAAACCTCCCATGTCTTCACTGGTAGTGGTCAATTAGAAATCACTGAATCCTTTCCCTAGAGTGGTCAGAGACAGCCAGTTTATGGTAATTTGGGCACAAGTGCCAATTGGAAAGGTGCATTATTCAAACCACTTTGGCTACAAGTGACAGAAATTCAATGCAGGTTAGCTTAAATAAAAAAGGAATTCGGGCTGGGAACAGTGGCTCATGCCTATAATCCCAGCATTTTGGGAGGCCGAGGCGGGTGGATCACCTAAGGTCAGAAGTTCTAAACCAGCCCGGGCAACACGGTGAAACCCTGCCTGTACTATAAATACAAAAAATTAGCCAGGCATGGTAGTGCACGCCTGTAGTCCCAGCTACTCTGGAGGCTGAGGCAGAAGAATCACTTGAACCCGGGAGGTGGAAGTTGCAGTGAGCCAAGATCACGCCACTGTACTCCAGCCTGGGCGACAGTGAGACTCTGTCTCAAAAAAAAAGAAAAAAAGAAAAAAAAGGGAATTTATTGGCTTCTGTAGCTGAAAAGTCAGGCAGATTTGGATCTCAAATTATGTCATTAACTAGTTTCTCTGACTTACCCTCTGCGTTGTGTATAAGCTTTTCATCGCATGGCAGCAAGATACCTCCATGTTCACATAGGGCTAACAGCCCAAGATGGTGAGGAAACATGCACTTTTGTTCCAGTAGCACAGAAAAAGTCCCCAGGTGGACGCTAATGGGCACTGTATGAGTCAAGTGCTCATGGCTGAGGCAGTAGTTGTACCTTGACACATGAAGTCCTCTGACCAGATCTGGGCATGTACCTGACCCTGGGGATGGAAGTGAGGCAGTCCAGCTCCACCAACTCGTAAGGACTGAGACAGTTTACTAGGGAAGAGGGGAAAGCGTGTTTCTTACAGGAAGAAATGCGGGCAGACAAAACACCATATACCCCTTAAATTAGGTTTTCCACAGATAATTGAGGTGGAGCAGAAGGGTAACCACATTTTGACAGCATCATCAGTATGTGGTGAGTGGCCCAGCATTTGACCCTGGCCTCTGTGGTCATCTCAGAGCCCAGAAAGTAGCAGCAGAAGAGCAGAGCATGGGTAGGTAACCATCAGTTCTTGGATAACTGAAGGGTGATCTTGAGGAGCAGTGAGTCTGTGGGATGGCCATGCCTAACAAATGTCATCCAGTTCAGAGCACCAAGGACATTCCCAGCTATGGCTTTTATCTTTTATCTTCTTCTTCTTCTGGTTTTGCTCTGTCACCCAGGCTGGAGTGTAGTGGCATGATCTCGGCTCACTGCAACCTCTGCCTCCCAGGTTCAAGCAATCCTCCCACCTCAGCCCCCCGCGTAGCTGGGACTGCAGCTGAGCGCCACTACACCCAGCTAATTTTTGTATGTTTTGTAGAGATGGGGTTTCACCATGTTGATCATGCTGGTCTTGAAGTCCTAGGCTCAAGCAATCTGCCTGCCTTGGGCTCCCACAATGTTGGGATTACAGGCATAAGCCACCATGCCTGGCTCCAGCTGTGGCTTTTAGAGGAGGAGGTAGTGGTGGCCGGAGGTTTTGCACATGATTCTAGGCAGAACCCTCCTAGTTAATGCCTACTTGTCCTTTAGAACTCAGCTCAAATATTTCCTCTGGGGAGCATTCTCTGGCCTCCACTTGCCCAGCATGAGCCAGACCCTCTAACAATGAGCTCTCATTTAATACCTTGTTTTTCTATCATAGCACTTTCTACAGTCATCTTATATAATCATGTGTAAATCAAACTTATGACTATTTAAATAAGACCTATCTCGCACACTAGGAGGTAGGTAGGCTCCATGAAGATAGAGACTTTAGCAGTTTCACCTACCATTGAATACCCAGTATTTAGTCCAGTGCCTAGCACATTAATAATCACATGGGACCTATTTTTTTTAGATGAATAAGTTATATACAGAGGTTCTGGTAATAGCCATTGGTTCTAGTATGAAAATGTAACAAACTGCCTCCTCTTCTTCTATCATATAGTTTGACTTTTTCACATCTTTCCTCAATTGGTAGAATTAATAAGGTGCTATTTTAGATAACCCATGTCACCAAAAAGAAGCTGCAGACTGGACAATCAGCCTCTAAGTAATCAAGGGCCCCCTTTTACTGTGCATGATTTAAATGAAAAATACAATCTATCTGGAATGTAACTGAGAACCATAGGAATCTTTGGGCTTCGTGAAAGTTCTTAGCAGAAAATCAGGCCATGTCACTTCTGAATAATATTATTAACCCTGGTTTCCTCTTGTAACCTCTAAGTGTGTTGAATGGAAGTAAGTTTAGTACTAGAAAGGAATGCACAGATCCTACCACTTTGTTTAAAACCTGTTGGATGGGCCAGATGCAGTGACTCACCCCTGTCATCCCAGCACTTTGAGACGCGAAGGCGGGGGAATTGCTTGAGGCCACAAGTTTGAGACCAGCCTGGGCAACATAGCGAGACCCTGTCTCTACAAAAAATAAAAAAATTAGCTGGGTGTGGTGGCACGTGCCTGTAGTCCTAGCTATTTGGGAGGCTAAGGTGGGAGGATCACTGGAGCCCAGGAGTTCAAGGCTGCAGTGAGCCATGATTGTGCCACTGCACTCCAGCCTGGGCAACAGAGAAAGACTCAGACTCTAAAAAAAAAATAAAAACCTGTTGGATGGTAATTTCAAGATAAATTATTACAAGTACACACATGTACGTGCCTATCCTTTGTGCCTTTGTCCCCATCCTTGGTCCTCTGTTGTAGCTGTTGCATTTTTCACCAGGCATTGTGATCACAGGTTGACATGTCAGCTTCCTCTGGTATGAGCAACTGGAAGGTAGGGGTGACTCAGCTATCCATAATTTGAAAGAATCAAAACTGTTTGATAAAATATCTTACTTTTTTTTTTCTTTTTGAGACTGAGTCTTACTCTGTCACCCAGGCTAGAGTGCAGTGGCACAATCTTGGCTCACTGCAATCTCCACCTCCTGGGTTCAAGCAATTCTTCTGCCTCAGCCTCTGGAGTAGCTGGGATTACAGGTGGCTGCCACCACACCCGGCTAATTTTTATATTTTTAGTAGAGACGGGGTTTTACCATGTTGGCCAGGCTGGTCTCGAACTCCTGACCTCAAGTGATCCATCCGCCTTGGCCTCCCAAAGTGTTGGGATTACAGGCATGAGCCACTGTGCCTGGCCAAAATCTCTTACTTTTTAAATGGTTTCATAGATAAAACTTTTCCGAATCCTTTGTTAAACAAATTTGAATTAATAAGAAGCCATTGGAGAAACTATGTTCTCTATCTTCTTTCCCCCCTAGTGCAGTTTTAGATCTTCATGATGCTATGTTTAGTTTGATTTGCCTGGTCCCACTGGGCATTGCAATAATTCATATTCTGGCGTGGAGCCCATTTTCAGTCAGAAACAAGACAGACTACATGGGGACTCTTCAAGGCCAACACCGGCTGTTATGGGATTCAAACAAAACTTCAAGTGTTTGTTCTTATAGAGTTTACATCGTACCAGAAGGCAAAACTGTTCATTTTAACCTCTAATTTGTTTAGAAAACAAAGCAAATAAAACAAAAAAGAAATCCTACAAGTTTTAGAGCTTTTTGACTCTAAATTAGAAAGTTAAATATCAGGTGTAAGGCCTGTCCGTTGGCTATTTCCAAGCAGTCTTGTAGCTTGGACACAGCTGTAACTCTTCATCAATGAATTTCCATATGTGGATTGGTTTGGGTTTCCCAGAGCCCACTGGGAAAACCAACCACATGGGCTGTGCATGCCACTTCCTTTTATTTTATTTATTTTTTTATTATTTATTTATTTTGAGACAGAGTTTCACTCTTGTGGCCCAGGCTGGAGTACAATGGCGAGATCTTGTCTCACTTCAACCTCCGCCTCCCAGGTTCAAGCAATTCTGTCTCAGCCTCCCGAGTAGCTGGGATTACAGGTGCCGGCCACTACGCCTGGCTAATTTTTGTATTCTTAGTAGAGACGGGGTTTCACCATGTTGGCCAGGCTGGTTTTGAACTCCTGACCTCAGGTGATCCACCCACCTTGGCCTCTCAAAGTGCTGGGATTACAGGCATGAGCCACTGCACCCACCCTATTTTTTATTTTTTTGAGAAAGAGTCTTGCTCTGTCACCCAGGCTAGAGTGCAGTGGCACAATCTTGGCTCACCGCAACCTCTGCCTCCCAGGTTGAAGCAGTTTTCATGCCTCAGCCTCCCGAGTAGCTGGGACCACAGGGGTGTGCCACCACAACTGGCTAATTTTTTAAAATTATTCTTCTATTTTTAAAATTTTTATTTTATTAATTTATTTTTCAGAGACAAGGTCTCGTGCTGTTGCCCAGGCTGGAGTGCAGTGGTGCGATCACAGCTCACTGCAGCCTCAATTTCCCGGGTTCAAGAGATCCTCCCACCTCAGCATCACAAAGTGCTGGCATTATAGGCATGAGCCACCATGCCCAGCCCCTTTTATTTTTTAAACCTCATGTTGCTTCTCTGACCAATTTTATTAGTGAGACAACAGTTTTTTGTTTTTCATTAATGCTGCATCATCATCATCTGTAGATTCACCTGTGATTTTATAGCGGAGAAGGTCACCACACAACGTGATTTCAAAATAAATTATAAACTATTGTAATCAAGACAGCATCGTGCTGACATAAAAACAGACCAGTGGGCTGGGTGCTGTGGTTCACACCTATAATCCCAACACTTTGGGAGGCCGAGGTGGGTGGATCACCTGAGGTCAGGAGTTTGAGACCAGCCTGGCCAACGTGGTGAAACCCCATCTCTAATAAACATACAAAAAATTAGCCAGGTGTGGTGGTGCATGCCTGTAATCCCAGCTACTGGGGAGGCCGAGGCAGGAGAATTGCTTGAACCTGGGAGATGGAGGTTGCAGTGAGCAGAGATCATGCCATTGCACTCCAGCCTGGGCAACAAGAGCAAAAACGCCATCTCAAAAAAACAAAAACAAAAACAAAAATGAAAAACAAACAACAACAACAACAACAACAACAAAACCCCAGACCAATGGAATAGGATAGAAAGCCCAGAAAAAAACACAGGCATTTACAGTCAATTGATTTTCAACAAAGGTGTCATGAACACACAACAGGGAAAGGACAGTCTCTTCAATAAATGGTGACGGGAAAACTGGATATCCACATCCAGAATGAAATTGGACCCTTTGGCCAGGCACAGTGGCTCATGCCTGTAATCCTAACACTTTGGGAGGCTGAGGCGGGCAGATCATGAGGTCAAGAGATCGAGAGCATCCTGGCCAACATGGTGAAACCTCGTCTCTACTAACAATACAAAAATTAGCCGGGCGTGGTGGTGCATGTTTGTAGTCCCAGCTACTCGGGAGGCTGAGGCAGGAGAATCACTTGAACCCAGGAGGCAGAGGTTGCAGTGAGCCAAGATCACGCTACTGCACTCCAGCCTGGTGACAGAGGGAGACTCTGTCTCAAAAACAAACAAACAAACAAAAAAACCCCAGAAATTAAACCCTTAGCTCTCACCGTATATAAAAATCAACTCAAAATGAAGTAACAACTTAAACATAAAGCCTGAAACTGTAAAACTGCCAGAAAAAAACAAAAGAGAAAGCTGCAGAACATTGGTCTGGTCAATTATTTCTTGGGTAGGACTCCAAAAGCATAAGCAGCTAAAGCAAAAATAGACAAAAGAGATTAGGTCAAACTAAAGAGCTTCTGCACAGCAAAGGAAATAATTAACAAAGTGAAGAGACAATCCACAGAGTAGGGTAAAATATTTGCAAACTATATATCTGACAAGGGGCTAATATCCACAATATATAAGGAACTCAAAAGAACTCAATAGTGAGAAAACATGACTAAAAAATGAGCAAAGGATGTGAACAGATTTTCTATTTCTCAACAGAAGACATATGAATGGCCAACAGATATATGAAAAAAATGTTCCACATCGCTAATTATCAAGGAAATACAAATTAAAACCACAATGGAGGCCAGGTGTGGTGGCTCATGCCTATAATCCCAGCACTTTGGTAGGCTGAGGGCAGGCGGATCAACTGAGGTCAGGAGTTCTAGACCAGCCTGGCCAATGTGGTGAAACCCCCGTGTCTACTAAAAATATAAAAATTAGCCAGGCGTGGTGGCGGGCACCTGTAATCCCAGCTATTCAGGAGGCTGAGGCAGGAGAATTGCTTGAACCCGGGAGGTGGAGGTTGCATGAGCCGAGATCATGCCATTGTACTCCAGCCTGGGTGACAGAGAAAGACTCCATCTCAAAAATAAATAAATAAATAAATAAATAAATAAATAAGTCCACAATGAGGTATCACGTCACACCTATTAGAACGGCTATTTTGGCTGGGCGCAGTGGCTCACGCCTGTAATCCCAACACTTTGGGAGGCCAAGGCAGGCGGATCATGAGGTCAGGAGATTGAGACCATCCTGGCCAACATAGTGAAACCCTGTCTCTACTAAAATACAAAAAATTAGCTGGGTGTAGTGGCAGATGCTGTAATCCCAGCTACTCAGGAGGCTGAGGCAGAGGAATCGCTTGAACTAAGGAGGCAGAGATTGCAGTGAGCCAAGCTCATGCCACTGCACTCCAGCCTAGGTGGCAGAGCAAGACTCCGTCTTAAAAAGAAATGGCTATTATCAAAAAAGTAAGAGGTCAGCATGGTGCCTACGCCTGTAATTTCAGCACTGGAAGGCTGAGGTGGGCAAATCTGCTTGAGGCCAGGAGGTCAAGACCAGCCTGGGCAAAATTACTAAACCCAGTCTCTACAAAAAGAAATAATAATACAAAAAATTGGCCAGGCATGGTGGTCCATGCCTGTAGTCCCAGCTACTCAAGAGGGTGAGTGGGAGGATCACCCAAACCCAGGAGTTCGAGGCTGCAGTGAGTTGTGATCAAGCCACTGTGCTCTAGCCTGGGCCACAGAGTGAGACTTCTACCATGGTCAGTTTCAAGATATCAATGTGATATCACTGAACACAAATTTGGAAATTGATGAGTAGTCACATACCATTATAAAGTATTTCCACCACGCTGTCTCAAAAGAAAAAAAAAAATGACAGGCCAGGCGCGGTGGCCCATGTCTATAATCCCAGCACTTTGGGAGGCCAAGGTGGGTAGATCACTTGAGGTCAGGAGTTCAAGACCAGCCTGGCTCACACCTGTAATCCCAGCATTTTGGGAGGCCAAGGTGGGAGGATCACTTGAACTCAGGAGTTCAAGATCTCAGCCTGGGCAACATGGTGAAACTCCATCTGTACAAAAAATACAAAAATTGGCCAGGCACGGTTGGTCATGCCTGCAATCCTAGCACTTTGGGAGGCCAAGGTAGGTGGATTGCCTGAGCTCGGGAGTTCAAAACCAGCCTGGGCAACAGCGCGAAACTTCATCTCTGGTAAAAACACAAAAAATTAGCCAGGCGTGGTGGCGGGCACCTGTAATCCCAGTTACTCAGGAGGCTGAGGCAGAAGAATCGCTTGAACCTGGGAGGCAGAGGTTGCGGTGAGCCAAGATCGTGCCATTGCACTCTAGCCTGGGCAACAAGAGTGAAACTCCAACTCAAAAAAAAAAAAAAAAAATTAGCCGGGCATGGTAGTGCACATCTGTAGTCCCAGCTACTCTGGAGGCTGAGGCAGGAGGATTACTTGAACCCAGGAGACCGAGGTTGCAGTGATTGGAGATCACGCCACTGCACCCTAGCCTGGGCAAGTGAGACTCCATCTCAAAAAAAAAGAAAAAAAAGAAAAAGATCAGATTTGGGAAATTCAAGACCAGAATTAGAGAATAACCCAGATTTATATGGCACACTCTTAGGGTCAAGAAAAGGGAATTCAATTTCAGTGATTTTAAAGAGGTTTTTTGGAAGTATATAGTAGGCAAACTCATAGGCATCCAGGAACAGGAAATCATGGTTAAGCTATACAAAGACTGGAGTGGGAAAGCAGGGACTGAGGTGACTTTTGCTGTTTCTGACACCTCTGCTTCATTTCTCTGTCTCTCTTTTTCTTCTTCTCCCATTTTTTTTTCTTTTTTTTTTTTTTTGATAGAGTCTCACTCTATTGCCCAGGCTGGATGAAGTGGCATAATCTAGGCTCAATGCAACCTCTGCCTCCTGGGTTCAAGCCATTCTCCCACCTTAGCCTCCCAAGTAGCTGGGATACATGTGTGCAATTGACCACATCCAGCTAATTCTTTTGTATCTTTAGTAGAGATGGGGCTTCACCATGCTGGCCAGGCTGGTCTCGAACTCCTGGCCTCGAATGATCCACCCACCTCACCCTCCCAAAGTGTTGGGATTACAGGCATGAGCCACTGCACCTGGCCCCTTCCCCCACCCCACCAACACACGAGTTCAGTCGCCCACCTTCATCTAACTGATTCAGATTCTCTGTGCCTGTTCAGATTTTCTTAGCCAAGAGTGATCATCAGCTCAGATGGACATGTGTAGACATTGGTGTGCTGGAAATGCTTAAAACTGACTCTTCGAAAAAAAAATATTATGCATTCTATACATATGTAACTTACTATAAATTTTACGAATCAACAGAGTCACAAAATCCAGACTGAATAAATGCTTGATTACTATTCAAGTTACTCCTGTCATTGACCAAGGAGTGTAGTTCCAACCTAAATGTTGTTTTATATTTTTGTTTATCTTAATGAGTAAGACAAAAGTGAAACAATGAAGACCCACTTCAGAACTTCACTTGGTCACTAGTGATGTGAGCAACTTCTTTGCTGAATTAAATGATAGGTTTTGAATACTGGGAAGAATATTTCCTTAATTAGTTGTGCATTTGCAGTGTAATGGCTAAAGAAATGACAGTTTTGGGTTCAGTCTTTACAAGCATCTTTTTTACTACTTTCTTAAGTCTAGACCCGGGGTAGGCAAACTATAGCCTGTGGGCCAAATCCAACCCATGGCCTGTTTTTTTGTACAGCCTGAGATCTAACCACCAAAGAAGCAGAGACTGTACATGGCTCACAAAGCCTAAAATATTATCTGGCTCTTTATAGAAAAGGTTTGCTGACCCCCTTGTTCAGTCAATTAATAAACCAACACAATAATTTATACTGATTTCCATTGTATAAATACTTCTACCATGGCCAGTTTCAAGATATCAATGTGATATCACTGAACACAAATTTGGAAATTGATGAACAGTCACATACCATTATAAAATATTTCCACCAGGCTGGGCATGGTGGCTCATGCTTGTAATCAAGGAGTTCAAGACCAGCCTGGGCAGCGTAGTGAGAACTCTACAAATAAATACATAAATAAAAATTAGCGGGGTGTGGTGGCATGCATCTGTAGGCCCAGCTACTTGGGAGGCTGAGGCAGGAGGATTGCTTGAGTCAGGAGTTCAAAGTTGCAGTGAGCTGTGATCACACCACTGCACGTCAACATATATATATCAGATATTAATAACCTTTAAGAGCATAAATAGGCCAGGCACAGTGGCTCATGCCTGTCTATAATCCCAGCACTTTGGGAGGCCGAGGCGGGTGGATCACTTGAGGTCAGGAGTTCAAGATCAGCCTGACCTATATGGTGAAACCTCATCTCTATTTAAAAAAATACAAACATTAGCCAGGTGTTGTGGCGGGTGCCTGTAATCTCAGCTACTTGGGAGGCTGAAGCAGGAGAATCACTTGGACCCGGGAGGCGGCGGGTGCAATGAGCCAAGATCGCACCACTGCACTCTAGCCAGGGTAACAGAGCAAGACTCCGTCTCAAAAAAAAAAAAAAAAAAAAAAAAAAAAAAGATATAGACATGTTGGCTGGGCGTGATATCTCACGCCTGTAATCCCAGCACTTTGGGAAGCCAAGGTGGGTGAATCATTTGAGGTCAGGAGTTCCAGACCAGCCTGGCCAACATAGTGAAACCCCCATCTCTACTAAAAATACAAAAATTAGCCAGGGGTGGTGGCAGGCACCTGTAGTACCAGCTACTTGGGAGGCTGAGGCAGGAGAGTTGTTTCAACCCAGGAGGTAGAAGTTGCAGTAAACCAAGAGTGTGCCACTGCACTCCAGCCTGGGTGACAGAGCAAGACTCCATCTCAAAAAAAAAAAGAAAAAAGAAAAAAAAAAGAAAAATATAGACATGTTATCAGGCACAGTGGCTCATACCTGTAATCCCAGCACTTAGGGAGGCGGAGGTGAGAGGATTACTTGAGCCCAGGGGTTGGAGACCTGCCTGGGCAACATAGCAGGACCCTGTTCTCCCAAAAGGAAAATAAATAAATAAATAAATAAATAAATAAAGATATAGACATGTTAAAAGTAAAAAGACTTAGGTTGGGTCCAGTGGCTAATGCCTGCAATCCCAGCACTTTGGGAGGCCGAGGTGGGCAGATCACTTGAGGTCAGGAGTTTGAGACCAGCCTGGCCAACATGGTAAAACCTCATCTCTACTAAAAATACAAAAACTAGCCGGGTATGATAGCAGGCTGCTGTAATCCCAGCTACTTGGGAGACTGAGGCAGGAGAATTGCTTGAACCTGGGAGGCAGAGGTGCAGTGAGCCGAGATTGCGCCACTGAACTCCAGCCTGGGCAATAGAGTGAGACTCAGTCTCAAAAAAAAAAAAAAAGTGAAAAGACTTTAAAAAAATAACAGGCAAGGTCGGGCACGGTGGCTCACGCCTGTAATCCCAGCACTTTGGGAAGCCGAGGCGGGCCTATCACAAGGTCAGGAGTTTGAGACCAGCCTGGCCAATTGGTGAAACCCCCTCTCTAATAAAAACACAAAAATTAGCTGGGCACTGTGGCAGGCGCCTATAGTCCCAGCTACTCCAGAGGCTGAGGTGGGAGAATCTCTTGGACCTGGGAGGCAGAGGTTGCAGCGAGCCGAGATCATGCCATTGCACTCCAGCCTAGCGACAGAGCGACACTCTGTCTAAAAAAAACAAAAACAGAAACAAACAAAAAACAGGCAAACGCACTAAGCAAAGTTGCAGTAACTGTATTCATAGTAGACAAAGTAGACTTCAGAAGAAGGAATGTTATCAATGATAAAGAGGAAGACCATATTATGAAAAATGGGTCAATTAATCAAGAAGATAAAATAATCCTAAACATGTATGTGCATAACAACAGAGCTTCAAAATTCATGAAGCAAAAGCTGATAGAAGAGAATGGAGAAATAGACAAATCCACAATTACAGGTGGAGATTTCAATACTTCTCTTTTAGAAATTAACAGAAAACACTGGGCAGGGTGGCTCACATCTGTAATCCCAGCACTTTGGGAGGCCGAGGTGGGATGATAGTGTGAGCTCAAGAGTTAGAGACCAGCTAGGGCAACATAGTGAGATCCTGTCTCTACTAAAAACAACAACAACAGCAACAACAAATTAGTCAGACATGGTGGCATGTGCCTATAGTCCCAGCTACTTGGGAGGCTGAGGCAAGAGAATCATTTGAGCCCAGGAGGTTGAGGCTGCAGTAAGCAGTGATCATGTCACTGCACTCCAACCTGGGCAACAGAGCAAGACCCTGTCTCAAAAAAAAAAAAAGAAAAAACCCCACAAAGACAAAACACCAAAATCAAACAAACAAAAAAATAAATCAACGGAACAAGTAGAGAGAAAACCAATAAGTATATAGAAGATGTAAGCAATACTCTAACAAAACTTGGCCCAATTGACATTTATAGAACACACTGCCCAACCACAAGAGAATACATGTTCTTTTTCAGTCAAATGGAACATTTACCAAGATAGACCATCTTCTGGGAAATAAAGCAAACCATAACAAATGTAAAAGAATAGTAACCATATAAAGTATCTCCTTTGATCACGATGGAATTGAATTAGAAACCAATAAGAAATATACTTGGGAAATTCTCAAATATCTAGAAGTTTTAATATACACTTAGAAATAACTCATAAATCAAAGAGGAACTCACAAAGGAAATTAGAAAATGTTTTGAATTGAACAGAAGTAAAAACTTCTGTTCAAAATTCATGGGATGTAACAAAAACAGTGCACAGAGGGAAATGTTTGGCATAAAATGCTAATATTAGAAAAGGGTCTTGGCCAGGTGCAGTGGCTCATGCCTGTAATCCTAGCACTTTGGGAGGCCGAGGCAGGAGGATCACTTGAGCCCAGGAGTTTGAGACCAGCTTGGGAAACATGGCGAAACCACATCTCTACAAAAAATACAAAAATTAGCCGGACATGGCGGTGTGTGCCTGTAGTCTCAGCTACTTGGGAGACTGAGGTGGGAGGACCACCTGAGCCCGGGAAGGTCAAGGCTGCAGTGAGCTGTGATCATGCCACTGCATTGCAGCCTAGGTGACAGGCAAGACCCTGTGTGAAAAAAGAAAAAGAAGAAGCAAAACAAGAAGAAAGGGGCTCAAATCAATGATCTGTGCTTTTATTAAGAAGTTAGAAAAATGAGAAAAAGAGCAAATCAAACCCAATTTAAACAGAAGGAGGAAATAATAAGATCAGAAACCAATAACATTTAAAAAACAAAATCAATTATGCCAAAACTGTTTCTTTGAAAACACCAATAAAAGCGATAAACGTCTTGCTAGACTAGTCAAGAAAAAAAGAAGACATGAATTTCCAGTATCAGAAATGAAAAACAAGGCATCAGTCCAGATTCTGCAGATATATAAAGGATAATACGGAAATATTATGAAATCTTTATATCAATAAATCTGACAACTTAGATCTTTTCCAAGAAAACTCCAGACCCAGATGGTTTTACTGGTAAATTCTACCAAATATTTAAGAAAGAAATAATACCAATTTAACACAAACTCTTTCAGAAGATTGAAGAGAACACTTCCTAGTTCATCTTATCAGTATTACCCTGATACTTTAATCAAAGACATAAGAAAACATAGACCAGTATTCTTCATGAATATAGATACAAAAGTCTTCAACAGAATATCAGCAAATCTAATCTAGCTAATATGAAAAGGAAAATAAATACAACTAAATGGGGCTAATTGTGGAATGCAGTGTTGATTCAACACTCAATGTTGAAATCAATCAGTGTAATTTACCATATCAACAGAAAAAGAATAAAAGCCCCATGACCATCTTACGTGATGTAGGAAAAGCATTTGATGAAATGCAACATCCACTCACGCTAAAAACTGTCAGCCCACTAAGAGTAGAAGTGCAATTCCTCAACCTGACAAAGTCCTCTACGAAAAAATGTGTGGCTGATATCCTGCAGAGGTGATATTACTGAATGCTTCTGTCCTAAGATTGGGAAAAAGGCAAGGATGTTTGTTTTTTCTACTTCTATTACAAATTATACTGGAGATCCTAGCCAGTAAAATAAGACAAGAAAAATAGATTAAAGGCATACAAATTGGAAAGGAAGAAATAAAACTCTATTAGGAAATGTTTAGCAAAGTCACAAGATACAAGGTCAATATATAAAAATCAATTGTATTTCTATATACTGGGAATGAACAACTGGAAATTTATATTCGTTATTTATTTATTTGAGACGGAGTTTTGCTCTTGTTGCACAGGCAATGTCTGTCTGGGCAATTGTCGTGCAATGGCGTGATCTCGGCTCACTGCAACCTCTGCCTCCCGGGTTCGAGTGATTCTCCTGCCTCAGCCTCCCAAGTAGCTGGGATTATAGGCATGTGCCACCACACCCAGCTAATTTGTATTTTTAGTAGAGATGGGGTTTCTCTATATTGATCAGGCTGGTCTCGAACTCCCTACCTCAGGTGATCTGCCTGCCGAGACAGTATCTTGCTCTGCTACTCAGGCTGGAATGCAGTGGTGCAATCATAGCTCACTGCAGCCTCAATCTCCTGGGCTCAAGTAATCCTCCCACCTCAGCCTCGTGAGTAGCTGGGATTACAGGTGCATGCCACCATGCCCAGCTAATTAAAAAAAAATTTTTTTTTTGTAGAAATGGAGTCTCACTATGTTGCCCAGGCTGGTCTCAAACTCCTTGCCTCTGGCCAGGCGCGGTGGCTCATACCTGTAATCCCAACACTTTGGGAGGCCGAGGTGGGCAGATCATCTGAGACCAGTGGCTCAAGACCAGCCTGGCCAACATGGTGAAACTCTGTCTCTACTAAAAATACAAAAAAATTAGCAGGGAGTGTTGGTGCACGCCTGTAGTCCCAGCTACTCAGGAGGCTGAGGCAGAATTGCTTGAACCTAGGAGACTAAGGCTGCAGTGAGCCGAGATCATCCCACTGCACCCCGGCCTGGGCCACAGAGAGAGACTTAGTCCCTGCTCCAAGAAAAGAACAAAAATGAATCTCAACCCATACCTTGCACCAATGGATTTTAGACCTAAATGTAATATTTAAAACCATACATCTTTTAGAATAAAACATAGGAAAAAATCTTTGTGACTCTGGAATGAGAAAATTTTCTTAAATATGATACCCAATTGCAAATCATAAGTGAAAAAATTAGTAAGTTTGATTTCAAAATTTAAAACCTCTGATCTTTGAGAGACATGGTTAAGAAAATGAAAAATGTGAACCACAGACTGGAAGAAAATATTTACAAAACAAAATGCCTATTCGATAAAAACTTCTATGTAGAATATGTGAAGAACTGTCACAATTCAATTATAAAATGACAATCAACCTAACTTAAAAAATGGTGGTCTGGGCACAGTGGCTCTTGCCTGTAGTCCCAGTACTTTGGGAGGCTGAGGTGGGAGGATCACTTGAGGCTCAGAGTTCAAGACCAGCCTGGGCAATGTAGGGAGACATCATCTCTACAAAAAATTAACAATTAGCTAGGTATTGTGGCATACACCTGTAATCCCAGTGACTCAGGACGCTGAAGTGGGAGGACTACCTGAGCCCAGGAGTTCAAGGTTGCAGTGAGCTATGATGATCATGTCACAGAACTCCAGCCTGGGTGACAGAGGAAGATCTAGTCAAAAAAATAATAATAATAAAAATAAAGGCAAAGTTTGTAATTAGGCTTTGTTTCCCTACCCAAATCTCATCTTGAATTGTAATCCCCATAATCCCCATGTGTCAAGGGCAGACTAGGTGGAGGTATTTGGATCATGAGGACAGTTTCCCCTATACGGTTCTCATGATAGTGAGTGAGTCTCAGGAGATCCGCTGGTTTTATAACCATCTGGCATTCCCTGTGCTTGCACTCACTCCATCCTGCTGCCCTGTGAAGAAGGTGCCTACTTCTCCTTTGCCTTCTGCCATGATTGTAAGTTTCCTAAGGCCTCCCCAGCAATGTGGAACTGTGAGTCAATTAAACTTTTTCCTTTATAAGTGACCCAGTCTCGGGTATTTCTTCATAGCAGTGTGAGACCCAACTAATACAGTTTGTATTCCATGGATGACTTGAAAAAACAAAATAAAAATGGGCAAAGATTTGAACAGACACTTCACCAAAGAAGATATACAAATGGAAAGTAAGTCCATGAAAAGATGCTCAACATTATTGGTCATTAGGAAAATGTAAATTAAAGCCCTAATGAGTCACCCGTACATAACAATTAGAATAGCTAAAATAAAAACTGAATACCAAGTGCTGACAAAGGATGTGGAGCATCCAGAACTCTCATACATTCTTGGTAGGAATTAAAATGATACATCTACTTTAAAAAACAGTTTGGCAGTTTCTTTTAAAGTTAAATATACAGCTGACATATGATCCAGAAATCCCACTGCTAGCTTTTTTCCCAAGAGAAACAAAAACTTATGGCCGGGCGTGGTGGCTCACGCCTGTATTCCCATTTGAGATCAGCCTGGCCAACACGGTGAAACCCTGTCTCTACTCAAAATACAAAAATTAGCCAGGCCTGGTGGCGCATGCCTGTAGTCCCAGCTACTAGGGAGGCTGAGGCAGGAGAACAGCTTGAACCTGCGAGGCAGAGGTTGCAGTGAGCCGAGATCGTGCCACTGCACTCCAGCCTGGGTGACAGAGCGAGTCTCCGTCTCAAAAACAAACAAACAAACTAACTAACTAACAAAAACAAATGGAACAGAATAGAGAGTCCAGACATATATGAAAAATTAATATGAAATGTGACTTTCTTTTAGGTTATCTCAACATATTATTTAAAAATAATTATTTTTGGGAGGCTGAGGTGAGCAGACCACGAGTTCAAGAGATCAAGACCATCCTGGCCAACATGGTGAAACCCCGTCTCTACTAAAAAATACAAAAATTAGCTGGGCGTGGTGGTGCATGCCCAGCTACTCTGGAGGCTGACGCAGGAGAATCGCTTGAACCCGGGAGGTGGAGGTTGCAGTGAGCTGAGATTGCGCCACTGCACTCCAGCCTGGCAACAGAGTGAGACTCTGTCTCTAAATAAATAAATAAATATCTCATTAAAAATAATTTTAAGACGTTTAAGGCCAGGCGCGGTGGCTCACGCCTGTAATCCCAGCACTTTGGGAGGCTGAGGTGGGTGGATCACGAGGTCAGGAGATCGAGACCATCCTGGCTAGCACGGTGAAACCCCGTCTCTACCAAAAATACAAAAAAATTAGCCGGGCGTGGCAGCGGGGGCCTGTAGTCCCAGCTACTCGGGAGGCTGAGGCAGGAGAATGGCGTGAACCTGGGAGGCGGAACTTGTAGTGAGCCGAGATTGCGCCACTGCACTCCAGCCTGGGCGACAGAGCTAGACTCCGTCTCAAAAAATAAATATATAAAAAATTAAAAAAAAGACGTTTAAGTACTTTTTAATTATATAAATTACATATTACTTTTGCTGAAGATTCTGAATCAGTATACCTGGGATAGCCAAGGAAGCTGCATTTTAACCAGCACCACAGGTGATCCTGACGCTAGTGATCTGAGGCCTGTTTTGAAAAACACTAATGCGCTGGCCAACATGGTGAAATCCCGTCTCTACTAAAAATACAAAAATTAGCTGGGTATGGTCGCGAGCGCCTGTAATCCCAGCTACTTGGGAGGCTGAGGCAGGAGAATCACTTGAACCCAGGAGGCAGACGTTGCAGTGAACCGAGATTGTGCCACTGTACTCCAGCCTGGGTGACAAGAGCTAAACTGCATTTCAAACCAAACCAAACGAAACCAAACCAAAAAAACCACTAAGGCGGCTGGGCACAAGAAGAATTGTCTTGGGCCGCACATAGAATACACTAACACTTGCTGGGCATGGTGACTCACGCCTGTAATCCCAGCACTTTGGGAGGCCAAGGTGGGCGGATCACCCGAGGTCGGGAGTTCGAGACCAGCCTGACCAACATGGAGAAACCGCGTCTCTACTAAAAATACAAAATTAGCCAGGCATGGTGGTGCATCCCTGTAGTCCCAGCTACTCGGGAGGCTGAGGCAGGAGAATTGCTTGAACCCAGGAGGCGGAGTTTGTGGTGAGCTGAGATCACATCATTGCACTCCAGCCTGGGCAACAAGAGCGAAACTCCATCTCCAAAACAAAACAAAACAAAACAAAAACCTCTAAGATCAGACGCAATGGCTCATGCCTGTAATCCTGATACTTTGGGAGACTGAGGCAAAAGGATCCCTTGAGGCCAGGAGTTTGAGATCAGCCTGGGCAACGAGGCAAGACCATCTCTGCAAAAATATCTTTTTTTTTTTTTTTGAGATGGAGTTTCACTCTTGTTGCTCAGGGTGGAGTGCAATGGCACAATCTTGGCTCACTGCAACCTCCACCTCCTGGGTTCAACCAATTCTCCTGCCTCAGCCTCCTGAGTAGCTGGGATTACAGGCACGCACGTGCCAACACGCCTGGCTAATTTTTTGTATTTTTAGTAGAGACGGGGTTTCACCATGTTGGCCAGGCTCGAACTCCTGACCTCAGGTTATCCACCCGCCTCGGCCTCCCAAAGTGCTGGGATTACAGGGGTGAGCCACTGTGCCCGGCTTGCAAAAAAAAATTTTACAAAAGTAAATAAACACTAGGAGGCGGTAAAGCATTGTGGTGAAGAATGAGGGTTCTGCAACCCGACTGCCTAGTTTAAAATCCTGCTTCGGCCAGGCACGGTGCTGTAATTCCAGCACTTTGGGAGGCTGAGGTGGAAAGATCACTTGAGCCCAGGAATTCGAGACCAGTCTGTGCAATGTAGCAAAACCCGGTCTCTACAAAAAATACAAAAATTAGTTGGGCATGCCTGGGTATGGGTGCGTGCCTGACGTCCCAGCTGCTCAGGAGGCTGAGGTGGGAAGATCACTTGAGCCCGGGAGGTAGTGGTTGCAGGGAACAGAGATCATGCCACTGCACTCCAGCCTGGGTGACAAAGACCCTGTCTCACAAAAAAAAAAAAAAAATTCCTGCCTCAACCACTTATTTATTTATTCACTGTAAAAGCAATGGAAGCTTTCTCTGCCTTAGATTATTTTCTATAAAAAGCTGGTAATAATAGTATCCACCTCATTTGATTGTTAGGAGGATTAAAAGAGATGGCAGACCAGGCGTGCTGGCTCACGCCTGTAATCCCAGCACTTTGTGAGGCCAAGGCAGGTGGATCACTTGAGGTCAGGAGTTTGAGACCAGCCTGGCCAACATGGTGAACCCCCGTCTCTGCTAAAAATGCAAAAGTTAACCAAGCGTGGTGGTGCACGCCTATAATCCCAGCTACCCAGGAGGCTGAGGCAGGAGAATCGCTTGAACCCTGGAGGCGGAGGAGGTTGCATGAGCTGAGATCGAGCCATTGCACTGCGGCCTGGGTGACAAAGTGAGACTCTGTCTCAAAAAAAAAAAAAAAAAAGATGGCATATGGAAAGCACTAGCACAATGTCTGGCGCTTAGTGGTGCTGTCACTGTTCTAAGTGACATGCGGTACCCTTGCAGTGCTGTTGTAGGAGGCTTTCTTTCATGGAGAGTAGGCTGTGGCCCAGATCTAGAATGTCATGGAGTAAAAATATATCTATTTCCATTTCATTTCTAGAGTTGTTTTTTTTTTTCCCTCCCAGGTACTTCACAGTAGACCGGGCAAGCCTTACAGTATGAAACAGAGCAGGTGTGTGTGTGTGTGTGTGTGTGTGTGTGTGTGTGTGTGTGTGTGTGTGTGTGATGAACATACAGGGGTAAGAAAGGCAAGGATTTTTATTTCAGGTCATAAGAAGGTGATAATTTGTCAAGCACATAGTTCTCAAAGGAAAAGATCATCTCCCTTTATAAACATTGTCACAGGTATGGTACTATTTATAATAAATTCTTGTTTTACGGAGGATTATGGAACTCTGAATTTGTGAGACTTGGTTTTTTAAAGAAAACAAAGAAAATTATACCACTTCTGTTGCATTACTAAGTACAGATGTATTTATATTAGAATTTGGAAAAAATTCACATAATTCATAATTCACCAAAGAAAGTAAGCAGGTGATGGTCCATACCTTTACGCATGGGTGGTCTTGATTGATTAGTATTTATTTATTTACTTACTTTCTTTTTATTTTTTGAGACAGAGCTTCGCTCTCTCACCCAGACTGGAGTGCAGTGGCATGATCTCAGCTCACTGCAAACTCCCCTTCTGGGTTCAAGCGATTCTCCTGCCTCAGCCTCCCGAGTAGCTGGGACTACAGGTGCGTACCACCACACCCGGTTAATATTTGTATTTTTAGTAGAAACAGGGTTTCGCCATGTTGGCCAGGCTGGTCTCGAACTCCTGACCTCAAGTGATCCACCCACCTCGGCCTCCCAAAGTGCTGGGATTGTAGGCGTGAGCCACCACTTCTGGCCAATTGATTACTATTTTTAAAGACAAGGTAGTTGGGATTATGTGATTTTTCCAAAATCACGTGGAAAGTGTAAAGGAAATACTAGAATGTGGGCTTCCTGCCTCTTGATATAAATCAAGCATGTCCAACCCATGGCCTGTGGGCCACATGCGGCCCGGGATGGCTTTGAATGCAGCCCCACACAAATTTGTAATCTTAAAACTTCATGAGATTTTGGCCCGGCGAGGTGGCTCACACCTGTAATCCTAGCACTTTGGGAGGGCGAGGTGGGCAGATCACCTGAGGTCAGGAGTTCCAACTCCTGACCAATATGGCAAAACCCCGTCTCTACTAAAAATGCAGTGCATGGTGGTAACGTGCCTGTAATCCCAGCTACTCGGGAGGTTGAGGCAGGAGAATCACTTAAGCCTGGGAGGCGGAGGGCAGAAGTTGCAGTGAGCCCTGATTGTGCCACTGCACTCCGCCTGGGCAATTGTCTCAAAACTGTCTCAAAACAAACAAAACCACATTATGAGTCTTTTGCATTTTTTTTTTATGAGAAGGAGTCCCTCTCTGTCACCCAGGCTGCAGTGCAGTGGTGTGATCTTGGCTCCCTGCAACCTCCACCTCCCAGGCTCAACCAATTCTCCTGCCTCAGCTTCCCGAGTAGCTGGGACTACAGGCGTGTGCCACCATGCCTGGCTAATTTTTGTATTTTTAATAGAGACAAGTTTTCACCATGTTGCCCAGGCTGCTCTTGAACTCCTGGCCTCATGTGATCCACCTGCCTTGGCCTCCCAAAGTGCTGGGATTACAGGCATGAGCCACCATGCCCAGCAAGTGTTAGTATATTCTGTGTGTGGCCCAAGACAATTCTTCTTCTTCCAATGTGGCCCAGGGAAGCCAAAAGATTGGATACCCCTGACCCCTGATGTAAATGTTTACTCCAATGTTGATGGTAAAGATAGAGCTGGTGGCCAGGCACAGTGGCTCACACCTGTAATCTCAGCACTGGGAGGCCAAAGTAGGCCGATTGCTTGAAACCAGGAGTGTGAGACCAGCCTGGGCAACATGGCAAGACTCCATCTCTATGAAAAAATACAAAAATTACCCAGGCGTGGTGGCATGTGCCTGTGGTCCCAGCTACTCGGGAGGCTGAGGTGGGAGGATCACCTGAGCTTGGGGAAGTGGAGGCTGCAGTGGGCCAAGATCACACCATTGCACTCCAACTTGGGTGACAGAGTGAGAACCAGTCTCAAAAAAAAAAAAAAAAAATATATATATATATATATATATATCTCCCCATATGTGTATATACACACCACATATATACATCATGGAGCCATATATGTATACATACGTATATGTGTGTGTACAATAAATTTGGAGGGCTAGGCGCAGTGGCTCACACCTGTAATCCCAGCACTTTGGGAGGCCGAGGCGGGGGGATCACCTGAGGTTGGGAGTTTGAGACCAGCCTGACCAACATGGGGAAACCCCATCTCTACTAAAAATACAAAATTAGCTGGGCGTGGTGGCACATGCCTGTAATCCCAGCTACTTGGGAGGCTGAGGCAAGAGAATCGCTTGAACCTGGGAGGTGGAGGTTGCAGTGAGCCAAGATCACGCCGTTGCACTCCAGCCTGGGCAACAAGAGTGAAACTCCATCTCAAAAAAAAAAAAAAAAAAAAAGATTTGAGCAAAGACATGCAAAGTCACCTTTAAAAAAGGCAGGTCCCCCAGCAGCCCATTTTTTTTTTCCTCCCATCACATTTAAGTCATGTGTATGGGATCATGAAGGAGGTGATAATTTGGGGTTTTTTCAGTGTATGTTTCTGAGAGTGAATGGTTCACAGCTGACGAGTATCCAACAGAACCAGTTACACAGGAGATTGAGGAGTGGCTGTCATGGCTGTGACAGTGCATGATCTCAAGTTTTCAATCTGAGACCTCCTAAGGAAAAAAGGAAAAAAAAAAAAAAAAAGGCAGGCCTCAAGCCAAGACTTGACTTCAAATTGACTGAAGTATAACATAATTGTAGAAATAACAGCTCATTGCGGTTGGAGGGTGAGGAGGAGGTTGGTCAGCCATAAAAACATAATTTTTGTAATTTTTTGTAGAGACAGGATTTTACCATATTGCTCAGGCTGGTCTCAAACTCCTGGGCCTAAGCAATCCACCTGTGTCGGCCTCCCAAAGTGCTAGGATTACAGGCATGAGCCACCATGCCCAGCCTATATGTATGTTTTAAAGTGTGGTTCTCAGACAGCAATTTTATTTCTCTATTTCCAGAGATTTTTCAGGGCGATTTTATGATTAACTCCATATACAGCTTAATATGTCAAAAAGACCTGACTTAAATTTTTTTCTTGAAACAGCCTTTAACATATGTCAAAAATATAATATATTCCTGATACTTGTGTCCAAGCAGATATAAGTTCTAAATAGGGCAAAGGATCTAATGAATGCTTGATGTCCTCAAATGTGCTATGATTTACCATCTGTCAAGATGAAAATACACCCATGTATATGCAGCTATTTAAAGTATCATAGGCTGGGTGCAGTGGCTCACACCTATAATCCCAGTACTTTGGAAGGCTGAGGTGGGTGGATCACTTGAGGTCAGGAGTTTGAGACCAGCCTGGCAAACATGGCAAAACCCCATCTCTACTAAAAATACAAAAATTAGCTGGGTGTGGTGGTACATGCCTGTAATCCCAGCTACTTGGGAGGCTTAGGCAGAATTGCTTTAACTCAGGAGGCGGAGGTTGCAGTGAGCCGAGATGGCACCACTGCACTCCGGCCTGGGAGACAGAGCAAGAAAGAAAGAAAAGAACGGAAAGAAATAAAAGAAAGAAATAAAGGAAAGGAAGGAAGGAAGGATAGAGAAAGAAGGAAGGAAGGGAAGAAAGAGAGAGAAAGAAAGAAAAGAAAGAATCATAATGGGGTCAGGCGTGGTGGCTCATGCCTTGTAATCCCAGCACTTTGGGAGGCTGAGGTGGGTGGATCATGTGAGGTCAGGAGTTGGAGACCAGCCTGGCCAACATGGTGAAACTCTGTCTCTACTAAAAATACAAAAATTAGCTGGGTGTGGTCGTGGGTGCCTGTAATCCCAGCTACTGGGCTGAGGCAGGAGAATTGCTTGAACCAGGAGGCGGAGGTTGTAGTGAGCCAAGATTGTGCCATTGCACTCCAGCCCGGGTGACAAAGCAAGACTCCATCTCAAAAAAGAAAAATAAATAAAATAAAGTATCATAATGGGCTGGGAATAGTGGCTCACGCTTGTAATCCCAGCACTTTGGGAGGCCGTGGTAGAAGTATCACTTGAGGACAGGAGTTAATGTTGTCCTGAAAAGATGGGCTTCAGAGGGAATTGAAGGAGAGGAAGTTGAAGAGGAAGCACTAGTCCACATAGCAAGATCCCATCTCTGTGAGAAAAAAAAAAAAGTATAATAATGGAGAAATTCCAGCACATGAATCAAACAGGATGTTGCAGATTCTAAACATGAATCCAATGTACTGTCAAAACTGTACAAGGATAACTTAGATTTTTTTTCCTGAAGCCTTCCTTCATTGAATAATTATAATGAACATTGTAGATGTGGTAATTATCTGTAAATATGTCTCCTTATGAAAGCAAAAACTGGATATAATGAACCTAAAGCAATTTGTTTAACTTGTAAGATGTCTGTCCAAAAAGTAGCAAATTTGGCTCCACTGTCATTTATAGTTTTGGTTATAAAAATGGATTTATGTTGGACGGAGAACAGCATGCTCTACATTCACACATAACAAACTACACTTTATTGTGGTTCCTGAGCAAAGCCAGCTTCTCCATGCCCTCTGGGGTGGTGTGAGAGGGGGAAGCTGGAATCTGAATGGGAAAAATTCTTCATGGTGGGGGAGAGCTGCTAGCCTCTGATGCCTGCTGCTGTCACATCTCAAACTTCTCCAAAAGACTTGAGCGTAGAAAGCTAATGAACTTAGGCCGGGCACGGTGGCTCACACCTATAATCCCAGCACTTTGGGAGGCTGAGGCAGGTAGATCAGTTGAGCTCAGGAGTTTGAGACCAGCCTGGGCAACGTGACGATACCCTATCTCTCAAAGAAATACAAAAATTAGCTGAGTGTGGTGGCATGTACCTGTAGTTCCAGCTACTCAGGAGGCTGAAGCAGGAGGACAGATTCAGCCCAGGGGGGCTGCAGTTAGCTGTGATCATACCACTGCACTCCAGCCTGGGAGACAGAACATTACACTGGTCTGAAAAAAAAAAAAAAGAAAAGAAAAGCTAATGAACTTAGAAATAAAGTTTCTATTGTAGAAAAACTTAATAGCTGTTATCAGTATTGACTTTGTCAATTTCAAGAAACTGTATAGCACAAAGAATTCTTGGTAAGAGGAGACCATAAAGGGAGATGAAAACTGTAGCGGGAGTCTTACAATGCCACAGTTTTGGTGATCTGATAGCCAAATGCCTTTCCTCTGATTGAATGAGTTGTGCACACAATAAATTTGAGGAAGATCCTGGGCTAACTTGTAAAACAAGCTCAGATTAGCTGTGGCTATTAAAAAATCAGTCATAGTTTTCACTAGAGAAGGGAGATATTTCTGTCTGATTTTCAGGATGGTTGATTACTCAAGTATCCTCTTTCGTAAATGTATTCTTCCTCATTTTCTGATCAGTTTTGGTTGTGCAAAAAGAAAACAGTGGTTTTATTTCATGCCAGCAGAAATGTGGTTATTTTGTGGTATGTTTTACAAACACTTTAAGATCACTTATGTTTATGTATATACACATTTGGTCTATCGTAAAAAATTTACATTTTAAGTTTTAAAAGATTTCTCATAATACAGGACACTTCCCCCATGTATTTCATATAAACCATAAGTTTTAATGTTTCATATTTATAAAATAAGAAGCCTTTATAATTTCAAAATAAATACCCACGGTGAATTTGGTGGAGAGGAAGCAGTCATTTAGAAGAGCAAGCCCACATACATGCAAAAGAAAGCAATTAAGAGGCCAAGGACAGGGTTGTTTCGAAAGGATATTTAAAACTAGATGAAAGATATTTGGACCTTCAAAAATGCCCTAGAAACTGAATGAAAGCAACAGCCTTCTGTCTTTTGTCAGAGCTCTGACTCATAGACCTGTTATTGGAAGGACATTATTTAGTTGAAATATATATTTAAAAATACTTATATTCCTTTAAGTAGCTTATACTGTATGTGAAGATGTCTTTTAAGGATTCAGAAGCACAGGCAGAAGGATCTGTATAAATACAGAAGTGGGCTGGGCGTGGTGGCTCACGCCTGTAATCCCAGCACTTTGGGAGGCTGAGGCGGGGTGGATCACCTGAGGTTGGGAGTTCGAGACCAGCCTGACCTACATGGAGAAACCGCCTCTCTACTAAAAATACAAAAAAAATCAGCCAGGCATGGTGGCGCATGCCTGTAATCCCAGCTACTCAGGAGGCTGAGGCAGGAGAATCGCTTGAACCCGGGAGGCGGAGCTTGCAGTGAGCCGAGATCCCGCCATTGCACTCCAGCCTGGGTAACAAGAGTGAAAGTCCATCTTGAAAAAATAAAAATAAAAAAAAAGCACAACTTAGGTGGTACAAAACATGTGTATTAAAATGCCTAATTTAGAGGCCAGGCATGGTAGCTCATGCCTGTAATCCTGGCACTTTGGGAGGTCGAGGCAGGCAGATCACTTGAGTCCAGGAGTTCAAGACCAGCCTGGGCAACATGGCGAACTGTGTCTCTATAAGATAACATAAAAAACTAGCCGGGCATGGTGGTGTGTGCCTGTAGCCCCAGCTACTTGGGGGGCTGAGGTGGGAGGATCGCTTGAGCTAGGAGGCGGAGGTTGCAGTGAGCTGAGATTGTGCAACTGCACTCCAGCCTGGGCAACAGAGACCCTGTCTCAAAAAATAATAATTAAATAAAATAAAATGCCTAATTCACACAGTTCTGTTGGAGAAACTGATTCATTTGGTGGAGCCCAGGATTTAGGTTGAAGGACTCTCCCTAATTAATTTGTCTTATAGTAGACTAAGTTTAAAGTAGATGGCTGTTCATCTCTTGGACTGCTTAAGTAACTTGTCCAAGGAGAGCTAGGTTTACATCTGCCTTATGATTCCATAATAACCACCACAGCTACTATCTGAGAGCTGACTATATATATAGGGGATTGTGCTGACAGCTGCCCAGACAACTCATTTCGTTTTCTCCAGGACTCTGTGAGTGTATGTGAGGGACACTGGGATTCCTCACATTCTAGAAGGCTCTGATGAGCAGTCGGAGGTAGCAGGTGGGACTCTACTCCAGAGGTTGAGCTCGGACACTGGAGTGGACACTGGACCAGATTAAGAACTAGCCAAAACAGGGCCTGGGCGAAAGTAGTTTTAATCAGACATGCTCACCAGTGTGCCATGTCGATTTACCACTGCCATGGCAACACTCGACAGTTACTGTCACTTTCCATGGCAGTGATCCAATGACCTAGGAGTTACTGCCCATTCCCTAGAAATTTCTGCATAAACAGCTCTTTAATCTACATGCAATTATTTATTTATTTATTTATTTTTTGAGACAGAGTCCTGCTCCATTGCCCAGGCTGGAGTGCAGTGACATGCGATCTCGGCTCACTGCAACCTCTGCCGCCCGGGTTCAAGCGACTCCTGCCTCAGCCTCCTGTGTAGCTGGGATTACAGGCGCCTGCCACCACACCTGGCTATTTTTTGTATGTTTAGTAGAGATGGGGTTTCACCATGTTGGCCAGGCTGGTCTCAAACATCTGACCTCATGATCCACCCACCTCAACCTTCCAAAGTGCAGGGATTATAGGCATGAGCCACCATGCCCAGCCTCCCACTTTTAGTTTCAAGTACAGGCTGGGTACAGTGGCTCTCGCCTATAATCCCAGCACTTTGGGAGGTCGAGGCAGGCAGATCATGAGGTCAGGAATTCGAGACCGCCTGGCCAACATGGTGAAACCCCGTCTCTACTCAACATAGAAAAATTAGTTGGATGTGGTGGCGCATGCCTGTAGTCCCAGCTACTCAGGAGGCTGAGGCAGGAGAGTCACTTGAACCTGGGAGGCGGAGGTTGCAGTGAGCTGAGATCGTGCCACTGCACTCCAGCCTGGCGACAGAGCGAGACTCCATCTCAAAAAAAAAAAAAAAAAAAGTGGGTATAAATATGGCTACAGAACTGAACTACCCTCAGCTGCTACTCTCTCCCTATGGGGTAGCCCTGCTCTGCAGGAGCAGTCATGGAGCTGTAACACAGCCTCTTCAATATAGCTGTTTTCTTCTACCTCTGGCTTGCCTTTGAATTCCTTCCTGATAAAGCCAAGAACCCAGAGGGCTAAGCACCACTTTGGGACTTGCCTGTCCTGCACTATCTCCATTTCTGTTGTCACAATTATTGGGGATACCTGTAGTCCAGGAGGAACTTGGGAAATCTGGAAGCTTTCAAGTTTGGCAAGGGGATGTCAAAATGACCACAAAGCACATTTCCTCAAGGCAGCTTTCCCTGAACACTCTCCTTCCCTCATGCCCTCCACGCCTAATTAAGTCAGATCTGTCCAAGTTCTCGTAACAGTATACAAATCCTTTCTCGCTCTCAGCAGTTTGTAATTATGTATTCGGGTCAGTCTCCTTACTAGACGGTAAGCTCTATGAAGGTGAGACATTGTGTTTATTTTGCTTTCTATTCCCGTAAATCCAGGGCCTGGTATATTCCATGTACCCAATAAATATTTATTGCATATGTGAAAGTGGCATTTCTTTGTCTTTTGGTTAATATTGCTGACATAAACAAACAGATGTGCGAATGATGAGGGAGGAAATCATGGGAGTTCAAAAGGTTCTGTAAGCAGGTGAAATGCCCTGGCGGGTACAGACTGGGTACATAGGTGAGCCAGCTGGGAAGAATTTTATATATCAGAGGGGAAAAGACTTTCCTACTAAAAAGACAGGCATCTTTGACAAGTAGGTAACTTGAGTTTACTCCCTGAGTTTTATTTTATTTTTTGAGACATGGTCTTGTGCTGTCACCCAGGCTGGAGTGCAGTGCTGTGGTCATGGCTCACTGTAGCCTCGACCTCCCAGGCTCAGTTGATGCTCCTGCCTCAGCCTTCTGAGTAGCTGGGTGTATAGGCACACACCACCTCACCTGACTAATTTTTGTAGTTTTTTTTTTTTTTTTTTTTTTTTTTGGGTAGACACAGGATTTTGTCATGTTGCCCAGGCTGGTGTGGAACTCCTGGGCTCAAGCCATCTGCCTGCCTCAGGCTCCCAAAGTGCTGGGATTGTAGACATGAGCCACTGTGCCCAGCTGATTTTGCTTTTAGGTTTGAATTTTTTTTTTATAGTTCTGTGTTTATTTGTTTTACTTTGTTTTTGGAGACAGACTTTTGCTCTGTCAGCCAAGCTGGAGTGCAGTGGTGCGATCTCAGATCATTGCAACCTCTGCCTCCTGGGTGCAAGTGATTCTCATGCCTCAGCCTACCAAGTACCTGCACAACCACACCCAGCTAATTTTTGTATTTTTAGTAGAGATGGGGTTTCAACATGTTGTCCAGGCTGGTCTTGGATTCCTGGCCTCAAATGATCTTCCCACCTCAGCCTAGTTTTGTGTTTTATATTCTTTTCCCCACTCAGTTTGAAATGTCATGAGGATAGACACATGTGTGAAGATAGACACATTATTAAGAGATGCTATCATCATGGGTTCTAAGAGAATGTTTTACAGAGAGTAGCTTTGCAGAGACCAAAGTCTCTGACAGATCATCAGACATTAGATTCTTACAGGATGGCCACCTAGATCCCTCACGTGGGCATTTTACATTAGGACTGAGCATCTTTATTATGATAACTTTGGTTGATGTTTTGCAGTTTAAAAAACTCTCAGATCATCTAATTCTCACACACGTCTTGTGAAGCAGACAGCTCAGAACCATGGCTCTTAGTTTACAGATGAGGAAAGAGAGGCTCAGATGAGGTTGATTTACCCAAGTTAAAGTGAAAACAAATTAACATTTTTTGAGTGTTTACTAAATGTTGAGGCACTTATTAAGCCCTTTATATTTATAGTATATAACATGATATTCACTGCATCCTTATGAAATAGGTAACCATTATTATTATTTCCATTTTACAGATGAGGAAACAGACATGTAGAGGTCAAATAATTTGCCTCAAATTGCATAATCAAGAAGCATAGAGCCCAGCTTAAAACCCAGATAGTCTGGCTCAAAGTGCAGATGATAAACTACCATGCTAATGAGTAGCACTGGGAGTTCTCCAATGAAGCACACGATGTTACTTGTATTTGCTACTAACGTCTTCTTTTTTTTGAGATGGAGTCTCACTCTGTCACCCAGGCTGGAGTGCAGTGGTGTGATCTCAGCTCACTGCAACTTCCACCTCTCAGGTTCAAGCAATTCTCCTGCATCAGCCTCATGAGCAGCTGGGATTGCAGGTGCAGGCCATCACCCCTGGCTAATTTTTTTTGTATTTTTAGTAGAGACCGGGTTTCACCATGTTGGCCAGGCTGGTCTCAAACTCCTGACCTTGTGATCCACCCACCTCAATCTCCCAAAGTGCTGGGATTACAGGTGTGAGCCACCGCACCTGGCCAACTACTAACATCTTCTAACCCCTGGTTCAATTCTGCTACTTGAGGCTTTTTTTTTTTTTTTTTTTTTTGAGATGGAGTTTCACTGTGTTGCCCAGCCTGGAGTACAGTGGCATGATCTCAGCTCACTGCGGCCTCTGCCTCCTGGGTTCAAGCGATTCTCCTGTGTCAGCCTCCTGAGTAGCTGGGATTACAAGCATGAGCCATGGTGCCTGGCCTAGGCTACTAATTTTTTTTTTTTCAAAGCTGTCTGCAGTTTTGCCTTGACTTAGAATTCATCAACTGGAGCCCACAGTGATATCATTGCACAGGATTGAAGTTGTATCAACTAAATTCAGATAAAGATCTCCTACGTTAATTAATTAAACAAATTGTTGAGTACATTTGCTAATTTTGTTAGAGGTGCTCATTGCTTAATAACTACAGGACACATTCTATTGAATATACTGGGAAAAAGCTGTATCTTTCTCTGAAGGTATACAAAACAATATTAAGAAGCATAAAAAATATCTGTCCATAAAAACATGATTATGGCCAGGTGCAGTGGCTCACGCCTGTAATCCTAGCACTTTGGGAGGCTGCAGCAGGCGGATCACGAGGTCAGGAGTTTGAGACCAGCCTGGCCAACATGGTGAAACCCCATCTCTACTAAAAATACAAAAAATAGCCAGGCGTGGTGGCAGGTGCCTATAATCCCAGCTACTCAGGAGGCTGAGGCAGGAGAATTGCTTGAACCCGAGAGGCAGAGGTTGCAGCAAGCCGAGATCGTGCCACTGCACTCCAGCCTGGGCAACAGAGCAAGACTCCATCTCGGGAAAAAAAAAGTGATTATATGAGTTATTTTTATTTTTATTTTTTGATACAGGGTCACCCAAGCTGGAGTGCAGTGGCACAATCTCAGTTCACTGCAGCCTCAGCCTCCCAGGCTCAGGTGATCCTCCCACCTCAGCCTCCTGAGTAGATGGGTCTACAGGTGCATGTCACCACGCCTGTCTTATTTTTGTATTTTTTGTAGACACGGGGTTTCTCCATGTTGCCCAGGCTGGCCTTGAACTCCTGGGCTCAAGCCATCCACCTGCCTTGGCTTCCCAAAGTGCTGGGATTACAAGCATGAGCCACCCTGCCTGGTCTATATGAGTTCTTTTTAAATCATTATCTCTTCAAGGAGATAACAATCATCAATAGGTTTTGTACAGATCCAAACTCTCTGCTTGTGGATTCTCTTAACATGATACTTTGTAATTGAAAAGAGAATATGAAAATGCCAAGCTTTGTAACTTCAAAGAACAACAATAACAAAAAGCCTTTGCCTAGAGATCTAGATAGGAAAGTGATCCCGCCAAAATTTTGGGCCTGTGTACAGGGCTGTGACCCAAGTGGGACACCTGGGGTCAATGAGCAGAGTTCGGTGCAGAGGGTCATTTGTGTATCTTTTGAATATTACTAACTGCATCTCAAGATCATGTTAGAACGAGTATTGGCTATTTGGCTTTTTGTGTCATCTTGCCCCTTCCCGTCTCCATTATGGAGAATTGAGGTTTTAATATACGGTAGTGACATTCTAGTAGATGAAGGAAGGGGGCTGTCCCCAGTGGGCAATCTGAACTTCTGCTTCGTATATTTACTCTTGCTGTTTTCGTTTCTCCTCATTTGTAATTCAGGAGGCTCTCTGAGAAGAGACAGCAAAGCTTCTTAGATGGATCGAAAGACCACGAGCTGGGATACCAAGTTCTATGAAAAGGTCAGCTATTGAATTTACTCTGCTACCTTCAGGCAAATCATTTGATCATCGGATGCTCTGGTTTCTTCCTGTGCCTGCTAAATGTAAATAGCATGGGTTTGAGTGTTTGGTGGTTATTATAGAGTATTTTAAATGTATGAGTGATTTATTTTTCTAGGCCAGCTGCTCAGATATAAAACAAAATCTGCTCCTTTGAGCTGTTAGGCTTCGTGGCAGTCAACTGACCCCAAAATCCTTCTGACTACAGCAGCCATCTACTTGCTTGTTCATCTGATAACATTTTGCAGTCTCTCAGCTACAGCTATGTGGTCTCACTCTATAGCTGGGGCATACCTTTTTGTCTCCTTTGTCTTCAGAAAGGAAATATGCCATTTTATGCACTCCTGCTGCTTTCACCCCCACTTTAAAAAGATGAAGGCTTCCTTTTGTGACAGAGTTGCTTTGTCTGTTACACTGATCCTAAGAGACAGGAAGGAGAGGTGTCATAGTAAATAAACAGTTATTGGACTTGCTACCATAGTTCCTTTTTGATGACTTGGGCCAGGACCACTAGAGGTTTGAACTAGATTTAGTAAGGCTTGGGCTTTTCGGGGTTTTGGCAGGAAGCAGTCAGGGAGTATATTGGAAAGAGAGAACACAAAATACCGAACCCCACCCACCCTGTGCCTTTTTGTTTGTTGTTACAGCCTGTTACATTAGGCAACAAGATATCCTTGTTAGCCAAAGGTGCCAAGCTGAGATTCTTAAAAGCTAATAAAAGAGCTGTTGGGCCAGGTGCGGTGGCTCACGCCTGTAATCCCAGCACTTTGGGAGGCCGAGGCAGGCGGATCACGAGGTCAAGAGATGGAGACCATCCTGGCCAACATGGTGAAATCCCGTCTCTACGAAAAACACAAAAATTAGCTGGGCATGGTGGCGCGCACCCGTAGTCCCAGCTGCTCGGGAGGCTGAGGCAGAAGAATTGCTTGAACCCGGGAGGCGGAGTTTGAAGTGAGCCGAGATCGAGCCACTGCACTCCAGCCTGGAGACAGAGCGAGACTCCACTCCGTTTCAAAAAAAAAAAAAAAAAAAAGCTGTTGGGTAAGGAATGATTTTGTTCCCCATCTGTGGCTCACCACCCCACTGTTTCATAAATGAAAATCTCTGATGTGCAACGCTGAATTAACCAAAAGGCTTACTTCTTTTGTTTTGAACTTAGACACATTTACATTATTTCTGGTGCAGTTAAATTAAAAGCACTTTCCAAACAAACCTAGGAAAGTATTAAAGTTAGGGACTCCCACGAAATGTTACTCCTTAATTGTGGCTTGGATAATAGCAGGAAGAACTGCAGACAGGAACACAGTGTAACTAACCCTTCAGTTCTGAAATGTTGCTAGGTCTCCTCGTGTTATAAATGATCAAATAAATATCCGGGTTAAACACTGCTCCCAGAGCTGAGTTCACTCTTAAGAGTGTTGGGTCCAACTTCCCTGTGCTAATTCAAGGAAACAAGGCAGCCAAGGAGTCTAACTTGAGGTCTTCATTCTTGGGCAGGGCCATCAATACATCTAAAACATTACTTGTGGGTACCCCAGCTGCGGTAGCTTCCCCAAAAGGCAGAATTTTCACTCATTCTTTATAGAAACACGTAGCCAGCAACTTCTCAGGCTTGGGGAACGGGGCAGGCGGGTCGTGGTGGTGGGGAGAGTAGAGGAGGGAGTCTGGCAGGTCGGTTCTAAATGTAAACTGGAAACTACGCATCCGAGCGGGCAACCATCACTGGCACCATTCGTCTCCGGGAAGAACCTGTGTGTGTCAGGATGCACGAAAGGAATGACTCCCCTCTTTGCGCCCCCGGGGTTAACTGCACGACCCTGTCAAAGTCCCGCCGTGGAGTGGGATGAGGGTCGAGAGGTAACCCTGTCAAAGTCCCGCCGTGGAGTGGGATGAGGCGAGGAAAGACTGGAGGTCCTTCCAGCACCACCTTGGAGGGGCAGGGAGGCTGCAGTTACCGCCTTCGGAAGTGATCTCCTCAGCCCTCAAAAAAATTAAAACCACCTCCGCCATTTACTAGAGGCCAAGGCAGGGCCGGGACACGAGAACGCGCTCCGGGCGGATGCGCGCTCCCTTTGTCCCGCCTCCCAGCGGCCCGCTCATTGGACGGAGGGAGGGCGCCGGGGGAGAAAGCGACGCGGCCGCTTGTAAGTGCTCCGGATGGAAACTGGTGCAGGGGGCAGCGGCGTTCCGCGGCCGGAAGGGAAGGGGGAGGTGCCGAGGCTGCGCGCCGGCTGCTCCTCCCCACCCCCAGCCTTTGCCCTGAAGGGGGCTGGATGGGCAAGGCGGCCGCGATGGCTCGAGCTCGGGCGGTGGCGGCGGTGGCCGGAGGCGGCGGTGCCTCCTCCTCCTCGCCCCGGCGCCGGCGGTGATCCGAGCGAGCGGCCGCGGCCCCCGATGAGACTGCTGGCGGGCTGGCTGTGCCTGAGCCTGGCGTCCGTGTGGCTGGCGCGGAGGATGTGGACGCTGCGGAGCCCGCTCACCCGCTCCCTGTACGTGAACATGACTAGCGGCCCGGGTGGGCCGGCGGCGGCCGCGGGCGGCAGGAAGGAGAACCACCAGGTACGGGCTGGGGCCGGGGCCGGGGCGGGGGCGTGGCGGCCCGGCCTTCCCGCGCTGGGCCCGGCTATTGTGCGGGACGGCTCCGCGAGGGGGCGGCCCGGCCCTCGCCCCTCCGCCTCGGCCCCTTGGAAAGTTTTCCCCGCGCCTTCCCCGCCGGGCGTCGACTCCGCGAGCCCCGGGCACCCGGCCGCGGCCCCGCGAGCGCCTTTTGTTCCGCAGCGCAGGCGGGGCATGGCCTCCCGGGCCCGATCGTGAGCGGCCCGGAGCCCCGCATTGTTCCTGGGTCCCGGGCGGTGACTGCGGACGCCCGGCAGCGGGACTGGGGAACTTTGGGGCCAGAGCGTGGCTGGGGGCGCCCGCCTGGCACCGAGGCCTGAGACTGAAGAGACCCGGCCAGATCCATTACCCCGAGAAACAAAACGAAAAGCCAGCCCCTCTTGTTGTCTCGTTGAATCCCAGAACGTACAAAGGGTCGTGAAGAAATGTAACTGTACATCGCAAGCCATTGAACTCTCCAGGCTGATTGGGGTGACATTTCTCCCTAAGCACTTAAAAAATGGGTTTGACAGGTTGTCGCTCCCATCCTACGGAACCTTCCCCTCCTACCTAGCAGAGATCTCCTTTAAACTTGGATTTAGTCAGCCTGCTAGAAAGATTGTGTGTGATGAGGAGGAAGATTATGCAAGTTTTACAGGAAGGGTTTTTAAAACAGAACGGGACGGGAGGGAGTTTTAGTTATGCATCGTGAGCGTTACGCTGTGACCGGGTAGGTAGGCTTTTCATTAGCTCAGTCTTGCGCCACTTAAACGTGTACAGGTTAACTGTAGAATTAAGTGAGATATTTCGTATATGACCTTAACATAGTTTGCAGTTAATGTTAAATTCATTGAAAAGAGGCTTTTGAACTCTGCCAGAGTGTTGGCTTGTCATAGCTAGCATTTATAATACATTTTGCTTTTCCATAGAGTATTAATTATTCCCTATATCATCTTGTGTCTCATCATTTTCATATATTTCTCATTTTCCTACATTACTTTTTTATTATGCCAGGTGTTCAGAGAATTTACACCCAGGTTGATTTCATGTGTTTTAATGAGGGTAGAGAATTGTCTAAGAAGGAGATAGAGCAATTTAGAAAAGTAGCATTTAGTCTTTAGTAATATGTATATTGGGCTTTTTTCTATTGTTAAAGGAATCCTAAATTTCTGTAAATTTTTTTGAAAGCCTCCAGCCATTGCAGTTTGTTAGGTGCAATATCAGTATCATTGATCACTTGTATGATATGGTTAGGAATGTATGTAAACTTAAATTGCAAAACCACATTTATTCCTATGGATTATTTGCTTACACTAGTTCATTCTTATAGAGACAACTCAAAGGTACTGTACCGTTGACTGTACAGTTACCAGAATGTCACATATGGAACAATGGGGTAGACAATGAATTAGAAATGTCATTTTTAACATTTTTAAGCAGTTGATAGAAATAAGGTCCTGGATAGGAGAAAAAGCGATTTATCTCCATTGATGGGGGATTATGGTTGAGTCTCTTAGCTATTGGTATTTATAACACTTATCATGATTACCCCTACTGCAGCCACTTGGTAGGTTTTTAGTGCTCATAAAAGAATTGCACTTATTTTAAAATTGAAACACTATTTCAACACTGTGATGTGTATGGAGGCGGAATTGCAGCTGTAGACATAGCCTCAGAATATCTCCCAGCAGAGGATACTTTCTGACTGTACCTTTTAAAAGCTGAATCTGTTAAGTTCTAATGAAAACTAATACTGGTTTCAGATACGTTTATTTCAGATACCGTATTTATATTCTGTGTGTGTGTGTGTGTGTGTACCCCTTCACTAACAATTCAGATAATTTCTTTAGGGTGAAGACTTAATATGGTGTTTTCTGAATATTTGGGGGATGGGTCAACTCTTTTCCTTAGAATAATGAATCCAGACATTATTTTGACATGAATACATTCATATTATGAAAATAATCGTGCATGAATAAAGATTAAAAGGAACAGAAGAAAGGTGTGTAGAAACCACCATGAGATAAAGTAGGAAACTGTCCTTTCTGCACTGTGGCTGGAGTTGATAATTTGTTTTCCACTTAATATTCCAGGATCCTGGGTTTGCCTTATAACTTCGTTGCTTGTGAAGTAACTGTAACTGTTTTTCCTCCTTCAGATTAATAGTTTTATACAAGGTCTTCTAAGTGTTCAGTTGGGTGTGTGAGTTCCATAGCCAGCCACATCTGGGCCTTTTGGAGTTGCATAAAAGTAGGGTTGTGGATTTGATTGAACCATACTTAGCAAAAGTGTTCCTTCTGGTTATTTTATTAAGGAATTATGATGGAGGATTCTGTGGTTAAAAGAGAGATCTTGGGCAATGTTTATTCGTTAAAAATGGCTATTTTGTTAGTATAGTTTGGAGAGGCAAGGCTCCTTTGGGCTAAAGCTGCTCTAAAACTGTAGTAGCAGTGCCATTTTAGTAACTTGGTTTGGTGTGCTAGCTTCAAAACTGGGATTATGTTTCACTTTGGGCAAGCAAGAAGCAGGGTTTCACTTAGAGCAGGGAAGTGGCTGGGAGGCCAGACTGGTCTCACAGACTTATTTTACAGCCTATGAAATAAGAATAGTTTTATATTTTTAAATGGTTACCAAGAAAATATCAAAATAACATTTTGTAATACATGAAGTTTCATTTATGGAATTCAAATTTATTTCAGTGTCTACAAATAAAGTGTTTTTTTTTTTGAGATGGAGTCTCGCTTCGTCACCCAGGCTGGAGCGCAGTGGCCCAATTTTGGTTCACTGCAACCTCTGCCTCCCAGGTTCAAGCAATTCTGATGTCTCAGCCTCCCGAGTAGCTGGGATTACAGGTGAACACCACCACGCCCAGATAATTTTTGTAGTTTTCAGTAGAGATGGGGTTTCACTATGTTGGTTAGGCTGGTCTCAAACTCCTGACCTCAAGTGATCCTTCTTCCTGGGCCTCCCAAAGTGCTGGGATTACAGGCGTGAGGTACTACACCCAGCCCACAAATAAAGTTTTATTGAAAGAGAACTACCACATTCATTTACCTGTGGTCTATGAGCTCCCTGGCTACAATAGCAGCATATTTGCTACTGTATGGCCTGCAAGCCTAAAACATTTACTACGTGGCTTCTTACAGAATAAAGACTTTTTCCAAGAGAAATTCCCAGCTTCCTTAACAAACAGCTTTTTTTTTTTTTTGGAGACAGGGTCTCACTGTGTCACCCAGGCTGGAGTGTAGTGGCACAATCTCAGCTCACTGCATCCTCGACCTCCTGGGTTCAAGCGGTTCTCATGCCTCAGCCTCTCCATAGCTGGGATTACAGGCACGTGCCAGCACACCTGGTTAATTTTTGTAGTTTTAGTAGAGACAGGGCTTCACCATGTTGGCCAGGCTGGTCTTGAACTCCTGGCCTCAAGTGATCTTCCCACATCGGCTTCCCAAAGTGCTGGAATTACAGGAGTGAGCCACTGCAACCAGCCTCCAACAGCATATTCTTAATCACAGGTTGCAGGGTGGGTAGATTGACTCACTGGGAAGAAATAGAGGCAGGCAGTGAGAAACTAGTAGATATTGTCACTTTGCAATGTTGGCAGACTCAGAATTTAAAAAGACAACAACAAAAAACTTAGGATCTATTCTTTTTGATGCATTGCACCTAGTGCTTAAAGTTAATGCAACTATTATGGAGCTACTGAAACTTTGAAAGGACCCTTAGGCCCCAGGTTCTTGGTAATAATAGCGGTTCAGTAGCTTCTCAATTGATGGAGTGAAAAAATTGTTATAGAACTCGCTGAACCAAACCACAACGATTTCTCCGGGTGACATACTGCAAGGTTTTTTAAAAGCACAGATAACATTCAATATCTGGAATTATTAAGTTGTAACTTAAAATTGCAAGTATGTGTATATTTTTGTGACTTATTTTTTCACTTTCTTATATAAGCTCAGAACTGCGCTATGCCACAAGTGATGAAGAATTCAAGAAAGAATTAAAATCCTTTTTTTTCCCCCAAATGAAAAAATACTTGGACAGCATAGCCAGAGCCAAACACTGTGCTAAAGGACAGAGTGTTTCCTGTCCCTTTACCCCTCACTTACCCTGTGGAGGCAGACTGGAGTCAGGCATGAGTTAACAATGCTTCAAGGATAGTCAGCCAGCTAAGCCGGACAGACACTGATGGATTGGCGTCCTTCTCTGAACTGCCTTCGAGAGTCTGGAGGCCTTTGCAGCTGAATACCAAAGAGACTTCAGAAAGGATTTCTTTGCTTCCTCATAATCTGTGTTGAAACCCCAAGTGTTTGCTTCAGTTTCACAGAACACTAGAATCTCTTTCTTGTGCTGGATATACCAGGAGTCTTTATGTTTCTCTTTGAAGGTGCCCTAGAAGACCCTAATAGCTTCCAGTAAAAAGCTCTGTTGTGTAGACCCTCTGAAGCTTTGTTAAAATTTTAGGATTATCCTGTCCTATGGGGAGTGAGTATTTAGTATTTGCAATGAGGATTGCCAGTAATTGGTTATTAAATCAAAGCTGAAGCCATTTAATCTGTTTTAATTGATTCCCCTCATGGATATGAGGGTGCCTGTCACTGTACACATTGAAATCTCACATAAAGAGGTTATTGGGTTGAGTTTATATTGTTTGTGGGAAAATGGTGAATGGTCTGAATATTTACGCCTATGCTGTGCTTAAATGCAAGGTGTGCATGGTGAAATGTCTGGACTGAGTTGACTGCATTGTAAAATCTTAGAATGTGAATTTTGAATCCTTAGCTGTCAAGCTCTGTTGATGGAGTTGGTCTGGCCAACTTAGAAAAGATTCTGTGTTCATAGATCCTGAGCAGTGGAGCTTTTCTGATTGTTTTTGGTAGCCCTGAATGCCTTGGGTCTTTGATTACCCATTTCTTTTGAGAATGGCTGGATGCCTAGACCTACAGTTTGGTTTTTAGGCATTCCCTTGAACTGTACTTCTCCTCTGACCAGCCCTTGCCTTGGAGAGAAAGGGGAAGGAAATATGAAGAGCTACTGGCCTTCTATTGTGTGCCAGGCACTTCAAATATATTATCCCCAGTAGTCCACATAGAACTCTTGGAGGTTGGTGGTATCATCCGCACTTTACATACAGAAAAGTGAGGGTGAGAGAGAGAAGAGACTTGCTCACCAGCACAGAGTTAATGGATGATAGAGTTGGGCTTTGCACCCAGCTTTGGTTTCAAGGCAACACATTTTCTGCTGCTTTATGATGCCCCTCCTGGTAAACCTTGTGTTGTCTGAGGGGTGGTAAAAATAGGCTTGCCTTCTTTTTTTTTTTTTTTTTTTTTTTTTTTTGAGAAACAAGTTCTTACTCTGTCACCCAAGTTGGAATGCAGTGGCCTGATCATATCTCACTGCAGCCTCAAACTCCTGGCCTCAGTACATCCTCCTGCCTCGGCCTCCTGAGTAGCTTCTAAATCTTTTGTAGAGGCAGGGTCTTGCCATGTTGTTCAGGCTGGTCTCAAACTCCTGGCCTCAAGCAGTCCTCCTGCCTCAGTCTCCCAAAGTGCTGGGATTACAGGCGTGAGCCACTGCTCCTGGCCTAGGCTTGCCTTCTGAATAGGAAACTGCCCTCATTCTAGTGAGGCCTCTGTGTAGACACTGAAGTTAGGTAGCTGTGTGCACAATACTTGTTGAAGATTTTGTAGTTTGTGAATTAGATGAGAATAAGACAGCTGCTTGAAGTTCTGGCCTTTATCTGGTTTGTGCATGCTTTTTTTAAGGCTTAAAGTTGAAAAAAGATTCTTACATGTATTGTCATTTTTTCCTGACATCAGCCATTCTCTAATTTTCCATCACCAAGTGGGTGTTTAATTGTTCAATCCTGTTCTGACATTAACTACCTGGAGTTAGGGTCACGCTTTACAGAGTTAAGAGCTCAGTCCCACAAGACTGCCCTCACTTCAGAGGCCAGCTGGAAGTCCTGGGTTCCCAGGCTGCCAGTGCTTTTGTCCACCTTGAACAAATTTGGGAGTTCCCACAACTCTACCTTCACCCTACCCCACCCCACCCCCTAATTTCCTATAATAGAATGACTCATAGAACTTAGGAAAACACAGGTGCGGTGGCTCACGCCTGTAATCCCGGCACTATGGGAGGCTGAGGTGGGTGGATCACGAGGTCAGGAGATCAAGACCATCCCGGCTAACAGGGTGAAACCTGGTCTCTACTAAAAATACAAAAAAATTAGCTGGGCGTGGTGGCACGTGCCTGTAATCCCAGCTACTGGGGAGGCTGAGGCAGGAGAATCGCTTGAACCGTGGAGGCGGAGGTTGCAGTGAGCTGAGATTGCGCCACTGCACTCCAGCCTGAGCGACAGAGCGAGACTCCGTCTCAAAATAATAATAATAATAATAATAAACCACTTAGGTTTACTGGTTTATTACAAAGGATACAATTGGGGAACGGCCAAGTGGAAGAGGTGCATAGGGTGAGGTGTGGGAGGTGGTGTAGAGTTTCTCTTTCCTCTGATGAGCCACCCAACCATCATATCAATGTATTCAGCAAACTAAAAGCTCCCAGGACCCCATAGTTTAGGGGTGTCATTACATAGGCATGATTAGACTCAGTCTTCAACTCCTTTCTCATCCTTGGAGATTGGAAGGTGGGGCTGAAAGTTTGAACCTTATACCCACATCCTGGTCCCCATCCTGAAGCTGTCTGGGTCTCCCACCCCTATCAGGAGTCATCCTGTTAGCATACAAAAGATACTCTTATTACCCTGAGATTCCCGAAGGGTTTTAGGAACTCTCTATCAGGAACCTGGGACAAAGATCAAATATGTATTTTTTATTATACCACATCATCTAAAATCAGTCAGTTTTTAAAATTACTTTCTGACTCTGCTAGTGTGCTTAAATCCTTTGTATTTTGGGAATGTTGTATTTTGGATATGTTGTATATCACATGTTTGATTAGTTGATAAACTCCAAAAATAATTTCAGAAAAACTTTTAACCATATTTGGTCTGATTAGCAAATCTAATTTTATAGGAAAATTGCATTCCTACTTTGAACGAGTGATTCATCAACCAAGGTTATATATAAATATTAGGAGGAGTTCATGGGCTTAATGAGAAATTTTTTTTTTTTTTTTGACAGTCTTGCTTTGTCGCCCAGGCTGGAGTGCAGTGGCACACTCTGGGCTCACTACAACCTCTGCCTCTCTGGTTCAAGTGATTCTTTTGCCTTAGCCTCCCAAGTAGCTGGAATTATAGGTTCCTGCCACCACGCCTGGCTAATTTTTGTATTTTTAGTAGAGACGGGGTTTCACCATGTTGGCCAGGCTGGTCTTGAACTCTTGACTTCAAGTGATCTGCCCACCTGGGCCTCCAAATTGCTGGGATTACAGGTGTGAGCCATCGTAGCCAGCCAGGAAATTTTTAAGACAGTATGACCTAATATTTAATAACTTCGGTTGGCGAATACTGTCAGACATGCATTCAAAACGCGTGGCAGCCACCTGATTTGGCTGTTTACTGCCTGGCCAATTATTAGTATCTTTGCAGTTGTGTTGCCAGTAGGGAGAATATTGCTATTTACTGTAATTTTTAGATATCACATCCTGTTCTGTACTTGGCATCAGCAGATGACTGAATGGAATCATTCTCATTTGATTAGAATTTGTCATTTAAAAGATTCCCTTGTTTATTTAGATGAAACAACATTTGAGTGAGCTTTAAAGGCAGATGCTAATAAGATGCTTTTTCAGACATGGTAGGCTCCAGCCAAGGAGTCCAGCCTCACAGTAGAGTGGGCGTGTAGTCCTGTCAGTGTGTGAATTTAACGGGCATAGTACTTTGTTCTTGCCTGTGCACCTTTGTCTCTGTAGTCTTTAAGGAGCACACATTTAAAGAACTCACCTGCGGCTGGGCGCAGCGGCTCACGCCTGTAATCCTAGCACTTTGCGAGGCCGAGGCAGGCAGATCACCTGAGGTCAGGAGATCAAGACCAGCCTGGCCAACATGGTGAAACCCCATCTCTACTAAAAATACAAAAATTAGCCAGGCGGGGTGGTAGGTGCCTGTAATCCCAGCTGCTTGGGAGGCTCAGGCGAGAGAATCACTTGAACCCGGCAGGCAGAGGTTGCAGAGAGCCTAGATCACACCACTGCACTCCATCCTGGGCGACAGAGCAAGACTCCGTCTCAAAAAAAACAAAGAACTCACCTGCTTGAAAGTACACAGGAGCATACAGACAAGCCACCCAGTGCTGCGAGCTTAGCGTAGCTTTTTATCTAAGCTGGTTGTTTGGAGAGAGGTGAAACCAGGAGTCCTGCCCATTGGGTTAAAGGGGTTCCTGCAGATTTTTTCTCTCCTTGGTCCTTGGTATTTCACCTTAAGGGCAAGGTGACTGCTCCTTTAAGGCTCTGAAGCTCCTCGCCAAGATCATAGTCACATTACTTGTTTCCCTTGGTTTCTGATTTTATTTTCACTCTGGAATGTAAGTTCTCTGAGGCCAGCGAGTCCATCTTTTAATTCAGTCAGCTGGAGTCCCTAGACCATAGTTAGGCTGGGATAGTGGGAAACACTACTGGAGAGTCAGTACAGTGACATTTTGTGGGTAAGGCCATGTATGGGTTCTCAAGCAGTGGCAGTTTTGCCTCCCAGGGGACATTTGGCAATGCCTGGGACATTTTGGGCTGTCATTTGGGGTAGTGCCACTGTAACCTGATGGATAGGCACTAGGAATGCTGCTGAACATCCTACAATGTGCAGGTCAGCCCCTATAACAAAGGATCATTTAGCTCCAAATGTCAGTAGTGTGAAGGCTGAGAAACCCTGGCTTACAGGACTTTAGTTACTATCTAGACCAGATTATCTTTTCTCTACACACATGTAGTTCAGTTTAATTGGCAGGATAGTCCTGCTTTCTTTTCTTTAGCAGACACACTGGGTAGAGTTAAGTGAAGAGAAGCTTCTTTGAAAGAAACGCTTATAAAACAACACGTACCTGGAGCAGGAGCTTGAATCAGCTGGAGCTGCTTAGGGACCCTATGCTTCCCATTTATTCAGAAATTGCAAGGTGGTAAATGAAATGTAAAGCACATGGCTTGGTGCCTGGTGCATGATAGGTGCTCAGTTGGTGTCTTCCTTCATTGCTTGCTTCCTTGCTTGTGGTAATGCAATTTTGTGGTGAGTGGGTAGCTGTAACCACTGGTTGCAAAATTAGGTTTAAGCAAGGCCTTGCAGAGTTTGAGAAATTGACAGAAACCCCATGGCAGCGGTCTCTGTGGTTATCCTTATGTTTCCTCTAGGATTTTGTTAGAAACTCCAAATTCTGTTTAGGCTGCCTGTTGATGAACGTTTATTGTTTGTCTGTATCTGTGCCAGGCACTGAAGCCATTCATTTTCTCTGCCTTTATGAAGCTCTCAGTCTACCTGGGAAGATAGGCACTGAACATGCGATTGTCTACAATTATTCAATTCAGAGATTGTAAATATTACCAAAGGGACAAATGGGATGTATGAAAGGGTATTAGAACAGGGGGCCTAGCCTAGCCTTTCGTAGGTATATTTTCCTTTGAAAAGAAAATATACCTAGGAAATATTTAGGCTGAAGTTGAACGAACCAGGTGAAGAGAGAGTGGGTTAGGTGGTGGGAAATGTTGGGGGGCAGAGCAAATACCATGTGAGACAGCCACGGGAAAGGGGCCTTCCAGAAAAAAGAAGGAAGGGGTGGAGCTGTGTGATGGAGTGAGGGTCCAGGGGTCATGGGTTGGTAGGGAATGTCATGAGGTGAGGCTGGAGACACAGAATGAACAAAAATCGTGCAGGGCCTTATAAGCCATATTAAGCATTTTGGATGTTATCCTAAGATTCCTGTTAAGCAGGGTAGTGATGTGATCAGATTTGCATTTAAAATTTGCATTTTAAGAGGTTTTCTAGGTTACTTATGTTTTCAGGCCACTTTTAATTTCTGGAAGATCTAACTGCCACCTGCATATTTAGGGAGGGGTGTGTGTGTGTGTTTAAAAAACAGCTTTATTGGGATATAATTCACATACCATGAAATTTATCCTTTTAAAGAGTACAATTCATTGATTTTTAGTATAATCACAGAATTATGCAGTCATCACCAGTATTAATTTTGGAACATTTCATCACCCCAAAAAGAAACCTCATGTCCATTAGCAGCCACTCCACATTGTCCCAGCTCCCCAGCCCCTGGCAGCCACAATCTACTATCTACTTTCTATCTCTGGATTTGCATATTCAAGACATTTCACGTAAGTGGAATTACACAGTATGTGGTCTTTTGTGACTGACTTATTTCACTTAGCATAATGTTGTCAAGGTTCATCCATGCTGGAGCATGAAGCAGTGCTTCATTCCTTTGTATGGCAGAACATGCTATTATTTTATATGAATCTATTATCACATCTTGCTTATCCACCATTTGATGGACATTTGACTTGTTTGCAGTTTCTGACATTGCTGCTGTGAAATCGACATTTGTGTCATGCAAATGGTCAGAAAGGACATACGTTTCACCTTTCTTTTTAAAGAGAAGAGCTTTGCTCTATTTTTGTTCTGTAGCACATTCTGTTCAATAAGCAGTTTCTTTCCAGAAAGACCTGTGTGACAGTAAGGGTTCAACCACACGTGTTAATGTTGATGAATTGAGAAAAATGCTATTAAAAACTTGAGTTTTCCTCTTGGTGCTTGAAAGCACTATTTGCAGCTAATGGTGCCAGTTCCTGCTTGGTTCTAGAAGTCAGAATCTATTGTTGTTCTAGTCCATTTACAAGTGGATGCCAAGGAATTCTTAGCTCCTCTGTTTCACTTGAATGACTTCTCATCCACATTAATAAAATGTACCTGATTGCCTATTATCAAGGTGATGGCTTTCATCTTGATTAGCCATTTCAGAGAATAAAAAATAAATAAAAGTCAGAGTGGCCTCCATATTACAGAGTTCAGAACGTGCACCAGGAGGTCATGAGTATAATAAAAAACGGTTTATGACCTGCACTGGAGCATAACTTCAGGCACAATAAGTATTAAGAATTAGAAAATCATTAAGCAAGAACATTTTCAGACCAAGGGAAAAAATGTAGGCAGTGAATGTAAAAAGCTTCATAGCTTGTCATATAGAGTAGGAAAAATAAAAACAGTTTTATATATAAAGTCCAAGCAGTTTTGATAACTGTGATGAAATGGCAAATTAGCACAAATTAGTCCACAACTGGAAAGGTTTGGTTTACCCAGTTTAGGGAACAGAGTTTGTAAAATGATTAATCTCTGAAATTTAACGTGCCTGTTTGTTTGTGTTGATTTGTAACTAGTTCCTTTTAACGTTAGCATCAGGAATGTTACTTAAGATTTCACTGAACATTAGTAAGCTTAGGATGACTGTAAAGCTGGTCTACCAATTGTGCAAGCACTTATGGGACGTCTACTGCTGATAAAAGGTCGTATTTGTCAAGGGGAAGCAAATTACTCTTGGCCAATTGACTGGGAAAAATTTGTGTTTCATGGCAGATAATGGGTTAATAATAATTGATATACTTTGTAGTTTCATCACTGTACTTAAGGGGCTTATTCTTATTTCTCAGGCTATGTTAGAGGAATCTCACTGCTATTATTATTGTAGGATTCTCACTACGTGCTTTGTATTATGTTGAGGACTTGCCTGCATTATCTTGTTTAATCCTCATCGTACCCTGCCAGGATATATAGACCCCAGTGACATCTCTAGTCTACAAATGAATGGAGGCTGAGAGATTTAAGTGATTTGTCTGAGCTCACATAGGAAGGGCAGAGCCGGGACTTGATTGTGGGGCTGACGCTAAAGCTGATGTACAGTCTGCTTCCCCACCTCTCTGGTATGCTGACTCATTTATTATGAAAGATTAAATTTCATCTACAGGTGAAGCTTTTTGAATTTTGTTCTAGAATGTGGATTCTGGGTAGAGCCAATTCCTGGAAATCTGGTTCTTAGCATGTTACTATTTGGTCTTCTCGTTGATTGCAGTATGACCTTAAGTAACTTCTTAATCTTTCTTGAGCACATGTTGCCTCTGTAAGAATGTCATATGACCTATTTGTAAAGCATACCTCAAGATTTCTAAAGATCTCTTTTACATAGTCCACAAGAGGAAAGGCAACTTAATCTGGTCACTGGAGTGTTAAATTCTGTTGCTTACTTTGCTATTTGGGTTTGTTTGGTGATTTTGAGTTAAGGCATTGGATTATGTGACTGTTTTCTTGTCTAAAAACAAGGATGCTGCTAGCTGTTTGCCTTCTGATGTTGAATCTCAGTGAAAGAGAGGCCAGCAGAGCTTTCTAAATCTCGGGTACAGTGACTGAAGCACTGGGCTGGGAGTCCGAGTGCCTGAGCTGTGGTCTGGTTCTGCTGCCTACTAAGCTGAATGACCCAAAAGCCTCTCCACCCTTCCCTCACCCACTCTACCTACCTTGAGGGCTGTAAGAGAATTAAATGAGAAGTCATGTCTGAAGAAGTACTTTATATTTTATAGGTTATATGAGTATACGAAATGATTATTCTCAGAGTATCATGAGATGGTAATATTTGGAAATCTTAGATGTGATTTAGTCTTCTGGTTTTTTGTTTTTGGATTTCTTAGGTGACACTTCGGTTGTGTGTTTTAATTTTTGTTCTTTTTTTTTTTTTTTTTTTAGTGGTATGTGTGCAACAGAGAGAAATTATGCGAATCACTCCAGGCTGTCTTTGTTCAGAGTTACCTTGATCAAGGAACACAGATCTTCTTAAACAACAGCATTGAGAAATCGGGCTGGCTATTTATCCAATTATATCATTCTTTTGTGTCATCTGTTTTTAGCCTGTTTATGTCTAGAACATCTATCAATGGGTAAGTGAATCTTGGACATTTATTTTTTTCTTTATCCTTAGGTTTACAAAAGGAAAAACACAAAAAGAAAAGTTATCTTGTTCAGCATGTTGACTACCTGAGCTACAATACTTCTACTAGTCAGAACCTTGGCAGTTGGTCCAGCGTTCTATCTTTCTGTGGTTCTGCCCTTTAAATTCACCATAACGTGACAGCCTCATTAGTATGTTTATTCATAGCGGGAGTTACTTACGGTAGTGCTTCTTGGCTTTGATGTACATAGGAATCACCTGGGGGTCTTGTTAAAATGCAGATTATGAGTTAGTACATCAGGGGCTAGGTCTGAGAGTCTGCTTTTTTTTTTTTTTTTTTTTAAAGACAGTCCTGCTCTGTTTCCCAGACTGGAGTGCAGTGGCAATCTGGGCTCACTGCAGCCTCCGCCTCCCGGGTTTAAGTAATTCTCATGCCTCAGCCTCCCAAGTAGCTGGGATTACAGGTGTGCACCACCACACCTGTCTAATTTTTGTATTTTTAGTAGAGACGAGGTTTCTATGTTGGCCAGGCTGGTCTCTAACTGACCTCAAGTGATCCATCCACCTTTGCCTCCCAAAGTGCTGGGATTATGGGTGGGAGCCACTGCACCTGGAGAGTCTGCATTTTTAACAAGCTCTTAGACGATGCCAGTGATGCTGAATGCTGCTGGTTCTGGACCACAAAGTAGCAAGACTCCTGGAACCAAGCCCTGAAGCTGAGGGCTTTACGCCCTTAGGCTGAAAAGTAATATCTTTGCCTTAAACATACTTCGCAGTGGCAAATTTTTTTTGGGAGATATAATTAGTCAGCCCAACAGTGGATGATGGCTTATTTTGAGTGAAGAGTCCTGCATCTGTTCTTAAATAATGTCTAGGTTCACCAGAATTTTATGAACTTATTGTGGAATTCTCTGTCCCCAGAGTGGTTCCCTCATATAAATCCATAGAAAAAGCTTTAGGAGTTTTTTTTGTTTTTTTTTTTTTCAATCCTTTCTTGGCCATGTTTTCAAGCATTCCTAAGGACCTAGAATCTAAAATGCCAAAGAGAAAAGCAACAGGCTCAATGGTTAAGAAGCCTCATTGGACCACTCAAACCACTGGTTGGGCCCACTTTTCTTTTCCCTTGAGGTTTGGAGCAGTTTCTACTGACTGACTGGATCCCCAGTGTATCATCTGGTCCTAAGTCTTCAGGCACCGCAAGCCATTTCTCAAGATTTCTCAGTTGATTTTCTTCATTGTTTATGTGAAATTGCCATACGTTTGCTTTGGCAAACAGTTGTTATTTTTATATGGGTGGTTGAGTTGATACAACTTGGTCTGACATTTTGTTCCTTAAATTGGTTATATTGAATTTCTGTTCTATACCATTTATTCTTCCTTTGGAATTCAGATGAGTCACTGTAGCAGAGATTCTTATCCTTTCTGGGGTCCTGTAGCTCTTTGAAAGTGATAAAGGTAGGAATCCTCTCTTCAAAAAGTGCTTACATTCAACATTTTGTGTATGATTTTGGGGGCTTCAAACTTTTATTTCCCCTTTCCTCTACCCATAAGACCCTGGTTAAAATTCCGTGCTCTAGAATTTCACAGTTTGATCAAAGAGGCAATGCAGTTAATAAACCCCTTTTGGCTTCCCTTACTTAAAACTCTTCTGCTTTTTCCTTCTGATACCCACCCTGCTTTCAGTCCTTCTTGCCTTGTGTCCCATTCTCAGCTAAAAACTAAATTTTAGGGCCCATCAGTACTTTCCGGTCATGGCAGTGGGAGATAATTACTACAGGTGGCCATCTCTCACAGAAATCATTACTGTAGTACTGTCTTGTATTACCTTAGGATACTTATCAAACTTCCTTTATTTTGGAAAGGAGAAGGCCAAGTAAGGAAAGACTTAGTAGATGTTCCAGAGTTTATTTTATAAGGAAGAGGTGCATCTCTCCGTAGACTCTTAAGTCTAGAGAGAACTTAGATTGTGATCAGAGAACCTAGGATGGTTATTAAACACTAAAGTTAAACCCAAATTAGAGGGTCATATCTCTTCATGGTTTGTGTTTATGGGAAACTTTGTATTGGGCTCAGTATTTTAGGTGATACTGTTTTTCATTGTGCGAGACTGCCCCCCACACTGCAGGAAGTCTAACTTTTCTGGCCTTGCCCACTAAATGGCAGTAGTACCCCCAGGTCCTTGTGATTACTGGAAACTCTCCTGTCTACTCCCATTGCCCCCTAGAGGGCAAAATCAATCCTGGTTGATAAACACTGGGCTTGATGGATTTTGATTTATTTTTTGACAGTGTTAATCTTTTTGTAGAGCCCCTGTTGCTAATGTTCTTTCGAAATAGGACAATGCTTCCCCTCTTTCTCTAGTGCCTTCTTTCTTTCTTTTTTGGAGACAGGGTCTCGCTCTGTTGCCTAGGCTGGAGTGCAGTGTCACAATCATGGCTCACTGCAGCCTTGACCTCCTCAGGCTCAGGCAGTCCTCCTGCCTCAGTCTCCCAGGTAGCTGGGACTAGAGGCTCATGCCACCGTGCCTGGCTAATTTTTGTATTTTTTATAGAGACGGGGTTTCACCATGTTGCCCAGCTGGTCTCAAACACCTGGTTTCAAGAGATCCTCCCACCTCGGCCTCCCAAAATGCTGGGATTACAGATGTGAGCCACCATGCCCAGCCTCTAGTGCCTATAAATGTAGACCAGTCAGATGAACTTGTGAGCTCTGAGCTCAGGTGACCTCTTGTTCTAGAATTTTATAATTATCATGTCAAGATTCCTCACATCCCAAGGAGATGGCTTGGGAAGCACGCTCTGGGAAAATTTAAGCAAAATAACTATTTTGTGACTTACTTTTGGTCCTGTGGCAAGTCAGCATCAGTATTTGAAATTCGCCTCCCCTCAGCCATGCTGCCAGTAGCCTCTTTCTGCTGTGACTGGTTTCTGTGTTAAATTTTGTACAGCTACTTCAGCAAGTTCAGATTTGCTTATTTTCTTACTGTAATATATGAACAATTGAGGATTAAAACAACTTGTCTTTTATGAGACGTGATTTTCTTTGGTAAGCAGTTGTAGTCGGTAGCATCACGTTTAGTGGTCTCTGAGGTCTTTCTCCAAATTTTTAGCATTTCTATGGGGGCAGAAGATTTACTGTAAACTTGGTTAAACTCTCCTATGGCCTTAATGGGAAAAGGAAGGGGGACTTTGTTACATGAACTCCATTATTTGTATTTTTTCCTAAAACTGGTCTTACCTTGGGCACCGTGTTGCATGCATCTTTCCAGTCACTGTATAGCAGCAAACATTCTGTACCTTATGATTGTTTCCAGAGAGCAGCAGTACAGAACAGGTTTCCCTGCCACTTCCTGGACCAGTGGTCCCCAAACTGTTTTCTAGGGTCTGAGGAGGAAGTGCCTCAGGAACTGCTTCAGGCTGCAGAGAAAGGCCTAGAAGTGGGCTGGCCACAGCTCCTGGGCTCCCAACCTCATTCGAACAGCAGCAGCTCTCTTAGGATCTTATGTTATCTGTGAGTTCCACTTCATTTAAAGAAAGGGTTCTGCTGCTTAAAGGAGGGTTGAGAATCCCTGTCCTAGATAAACTAGAATTTCAGAGCTAGAAAACAAGTCCTAAATAGGGATTGCGCTTTATTTCCCAGAGTGATGCTTCCATGAGACTTGGCTGGACCTATAGTTGCTTTTCTGAGGGTTCTCTTCAATCTCCAGTTAAACTCCCCTCAGTCTCTTTTTTCAAAGGCATCACTATGGTTTTGAGTGTTTTCTAGGACCTTTAGAAATAATAGGACCCAGACAGTTGTAACCATATAAACTGACATAAGTACGAATCTACTTTAATGCATATTAACCGACATCACAAGGACCACTCTTTTCCCTCTTTTCTCTAGTGTCTCTTAAAAATCTGTTATACTAAAGCTCTTTTTTCCTGATCCATGGTTTAGTTCCATATTTGAAATCACTTTTTTTTCCTATTTGGTTTCTCTGCTACTGTGGTCTGGCTGTGTTAGCTTGTCATCTTTTTCAACTGATAAACATGTTTTCTGTTACTCCTTCCACTTTTCCTTCCTATTTTGACTTAAGTTCTTCACATTCATCTCTTACTTATTTCTTCTTCCTTCCCCTGTCATCCTTTCCACTTTCCACCTTTTATTTCCCTCCTCCCATGCTTTTTTGGGGCATTATTTGCAACTCCAAAGACAAATGGTATCTGGAGGCATTTTCTTATTTTATTAACTTTGTCTTCTAATCATAGAAATGACATAAAAGATAATATCTTTGCTGGGCACGGTGGCTCATGCCTGTAATCCCAGCACTTTGGAGGCAGAGGCGGGTGGATCACGAGGGCAGGAGATCGAGACCATCCTGGCTAACATGGTGAAACCCCTTCTCTACTAAAAATCCAAAAAATTAGTCAGGTGTGGTGGCGGGCGCCTGTAGTCCCAGCTACTCAGGAGGCTGAGGCAGGAGAATGGCATGAACCTGGGAGGCGGAGCTTGCAGTGAGCAGAGATCGTGCCACTGCACTCCAGTCTGGGCGACGGCAGAGCGAGACTCTGTCTCAAAAAAAAAAAGAAAAAAAAAAATTAGGCCAGGCGCAGTGGCCCATGCCTGTAATCCCAGCACTTTGGGAGGCCGAGGCGGGTAGATCACCTGAGGTCAGGAGTTCGAGACCAACCTGGCCGACATGGTGAAACCCTGTCTCCACTAAAAATACAAAAAATAAGCCGGGTGTGGTGGTGCATGCCTGTAATCCCAGCTACTCAGGAGGCTGGGACAGGAGAATCGCTTGAACCCAGGAGGCGAAGGTTGCAGTGAGCCGAGATCATGCCACTGCACTCCAGCCTGAGTGACAGAGTGAGACCTTGTCTAAAAAAAAAAAAAATCTTAACCATGTAATAAGTGATTATGGTTGTTGGTGCTGAGTCACTATATTCACTTTGTGTGTGTATGTGAGGGGTGCTTAATTTGCATAGACACTTCCATTTTTGTCCTTTTTTTCTTTCAGGTTGCTAGGAAGAGGCTCAATGTTTGTGTTTTCACCAGATCAGTTTCAGAGACTGCTTAAAATTAATCCAGACTGGAAAACCCACAGACTTCTTGATTTAGGTGCTGGAGATGGAGAAGTCACAAAAATCATGAGCCCTCATTTTGAAGAAATCTATGCCACTGAGCTTTCTGAAACTATGATATGGCAGCTTCAGAAAAAGAAATACAGGTATAATTTTCTTGGTTTTAGATGCATTTCTTCTTGAAAGTATATTATTTAAAGGATATGAATAAAAAATGATCTTCCATGATTAGAAATTTAAAAAATCATCTCATACATAATTAACTGGAAATGTAGAGAAATAATCTTCTGGTAGCAGTATTTTTCTGGAGCGGAGGGGTTGGCACTATAGGTAAGAAAAGCACTAGCGAGAGACAACTTGGAAAAGGCAGATCAGAAGAAGGGACTTCTTCCCTAATCAGAATGTGGCATTCTCAAAAAAAATTTTTTTAAGTAGTGGTAAAATACACATAGCATAGAATTTACTGTTGTAACTATTTTTAAGTGTACAGTTCAGTGGTATTAAGTACATTTACATTGTTGCATAATCATCACCACTATTCATCTCCAGAAATTTTTGTCTTCCGAAACGGAAACTCTGTACCCAATAAACAATAACTCCCCATTTTTCCCTCCTCGTAACCCCTGACAACCACCATTCTACTTTGTCTATGAATTTGACTATTCTGGGTATTTCGTATAAGAGGAATTATATACATTAGCTCCTTGTGACTGGCTTATCGCATGTAGCATAATGTCTTCAAGGTTTACTCATGTTGTACCATGGGCCAAAATTTTCTTTTCTTTTCTTTTCTTTTTTTTTTTGAGATGGAGTCTTGCTCTGTCACCCAGGCTGGAGTGCAGTGGCACGATCTCGGCTCACTACAACCTCTACCTCTCAGGTTCAAGCAATTCTCCTGCCTCAGCCTCCCAAGTAGCTGGGATTACAGGCATATGCCACCATGCCTGGCTAATTTTTTTGTAGTTTTAGTAGGGATAGGGTTTCACTATTTGGCCAGGCTGGTCTCGAACTCCTGACCTCAAGTAATCCAAAGTGCTGGGATTACAGGTGTGAGCCACTGCGCCTGGCCCAAAATTTTCTTTAAGGATGAATGATAATTCGCTGTATGCATGTACCACATTTTGTTTACCCATTTATCTGTCAGTAGATATTTGGGTTGTTTCTACCATTTGGCTGTTGTGAATAATGCTGCTATGAACATGGGTGTACAGATACCGACTTGAGCCCCTACTTTTACTTCTTTTGGGTATAGACCCAGAAGTGGAGTTGCTGGATCACATGGCTAAGTCTGGGTTTAATTTTTTGAGGAATTGCAATACTTTTCCATTGCTGCTGCACCATTTTACATTCCCACCAGCAATGTAGTACAAGGGTTTCAGTTTCTCCACTCCTTGACAATACTTGCTATTTTCTGTTTTGTTTTGCTTTTAGTTTATAGTCATCAGTGTGAATCTTGGTTTTAAGGTCATCTGGAGTTTGAAAGACTAGGAAGAAGGGCCTTTTTTTTTTTCTGGAGATGAAGTTTCACTTGCCCAAGCTGGAGTGCGGTGGCGTGATCTCAGCTCACTGAAACCTCCACCTCCTGGATTCAGGCAATTCTACTGCCTCAGCCTCCTGAGTAGCTGGGACTACAGGCACATGCCACTATGCCCGGCTAATTTTTTTTTTTTTTTTTTTTTTTTGTATTTTTAGTAGAGACAGGGTTTCACTATGTTGGCCAGGCTGGTCTCAAACTGCTGACCTCGTGATCTGCCTGCCTTGGCCTCCCAAAGTGTTGGGATTACAGGCGTGAGCCACTGCACCCGGCTGGAAGAAGGGTATTCTTATTTCAGTATGATTTATTGATTGGGAGATTTCTATATATTGGCTCAGTGCAGAATCAGGGAGGTAGAGCTGGAGTCAGCCTTTCTCTGTGATATTTTTGGAAGTCTGGTTAGCCTTAGAAAGAAAGGAGAAGAAATTATGTAATCACTCACTTTCCTATCCACATGTTTCTACTTTTACAGATTAATCCTAGAGATAGAGCATCAGTGTAGCTTTTGGAGCAGGACTGGTTTGAGCATTTGCAAAACATGGAGATTTTTAGCCTGGAGAAGGGAAGATTTCTGTGAACAGATACGCTGTGGGATTTTTATATGGAAGGAAAGGAATAGGTATAGTCTCTGGTGTAATCAGGCACAGCTACGCCTTAGAAGTTGAGTTACAGCTTAGGGAGATCGACCTTCCTAGCTTGAACTGTTTAAGTCCTTATCACTGTCAGTGTTTAAATTGCTGTTAGGGTTGTTATAGGAAGAGACATAAGGAAGGTGTGAGTTTGAACTGAGTGATTTGAAAGCCCCTTAGCTTTAGCAAGCTGTCTCAGATAAGGTTCTGGTGGGTCTGCATGGTGATAATTGACATGTTTTCCTTCAGTTAGAGATTAATTCGGCATTTCAAAACTTAGAATGCTTTGACCTTTGTTATAACAGTGGCTTAAGTCAGGCTGAATTCCTAATCTGATTCCACCTCCCCCCCTTAAAAAAATCCATGCTTTGAAGTGGGTCGAAGAGGAAGGTGTTAAACCCATCTTCAGATGATTGACCGCCCCAGCCTTCTTTTGCTTTGATGCTAAGTGCCTAAATGGAATTTTCAGGGAAACTTCAGATGTTTGAAATTAGTAATATATCTGGAGTGTACATGGTATGTAAAGATATCTACCACATAAAAAATACTTGGTTTAATTTTTTCCCTAATATACAGCACATAAGCCAAAAATCTGCAGTTTGACCTGCATGGGAAATTCATACTGATTGGCATTCCTTTCATAATATTAGTATGAAGTGAAAACATTTTCACAAAAGTGGTAAATTTTGTGACTATTGGTGCAGTTTGAGGTTTTAATGAGGAAGTAGTATCTTTATTTCCTAAGATTAGAGGTCACCCAATCCAAGATGGCAAGGCAGACTTTCAGCTGAATTTTACATTTTTTTCTTCCTTTTGAGATTAGAGCTATTTTCTATTTCTCTTCAATATCTGGGCCATGAAAAACAGGCTTTTTATTAATTTATATATATATATTTTTAGAGACGGGTCTCTCTCTGTCACCTGGGCTAGAGCATGTGGCGTGATTATAGCTCACTGTAGCCTTGAACTTCTGGGCTCAAGTGATCCTCTCACCTCAGCCTCCTCAGTAGCTGGGACTACAGGTGCCTGCTACCATATCTGGCTAATTTGAGAGAGAGAGTGTGTGTGTGTGTGTGTGTGTGTGTGTTTTTGTGTGTTGTGTGTGTAGAGACAGGAGTTTCATTATGTTGACCAGGCCAGTCTTGAACTCCTGGCCTCAAACAGTCCTCCTGCCTTGGCTTCCCAGAGTGCTGAGATTACAGGCATGAGCAAAACACACCTTTTTAAATAAAGGTTCTGTAATTTTTTTTTTTTTTGAGACAAAGTCTCGCTCCATCACCAGGCTGGAGTGCAGTGGCACAATCTCAGCTCACTGCAACCTCTACCTCCCAGGTTCAAGTGATTAGCCTGCCTCAGCCTCCCAAGTAGCTGGGATTACAGGCGCATGCCGCCACACCCAGCTAAATTTTTTGTATTTTAGCAGAGATAAGGTTTCACTGTGTTGCCCAGGCTGGTCTCGAACTCCTGAACTCAGGCAATCCGCCCGCCTTGGCCTCCCAAAGTGCTGGGATTATAGGTGTGAGTCACTGCGCCCAGCCAAAGTTTCTGCATTTCAAAAATAGGTCAATAAACAGAAAATGGCCAGGTTTTTCCTTTGTATTCGCAAGTTGTCATTGTTTATGCCAGAAAACCCAATTGTAAAACTAAAGGATGTGGTTTTGATTTTTACAGCAAGACAGTTTTCTTTATATTGTTAGTGTTTCATTTTTTATTTAGGAATTATCAAAATACAGATTGCTTATTTCCTAAGTTTAGAGCTCTCCCAACCCGAGATGGCAAGGCATCTTTTTTTTTGGGAGACGGAATCTCTCCCTGTTGCCCAGGCTGGAGTGCAGTGGTGCCATCTCGGCTTACTGTGCAGCCTCCGCCTCAGCCTCCCGAGTAGCTGGGACTACAGGCGCATGCTGCCACGCCCAGCTAAGTTTTTGTATTTTAGTAGAGATGGGGTTTCACTGTGTTGCCCAGCTGGTCTTGAACTCCTGAGCTCAGGCAATCTGCCCGCTTTGGCCTCCCAAAGTGCTAGGATTATAGGTGTGAGCCACCATGCCTGGCCTTTTTTTTTTTTTTTTTTTTTTTTTTTTTTTTTTTTTTTTTTTTTTTTTGAGACAGGATCTTGCTTTGTCGTCCAGGCTGGAGTGCAGTGACACAATCATAGCTCACTGTAACCTCAAACTCTTGTGTTCAAGCCATCCTCCTGCCTCAGCTGCCCAAGTAGCTTAGCTAGGACTACAGGTGTGTGCCACCATCCTTGGCTATTTTTAATTTTTTATAGAGATGGGGTCTTGTTGTGTTGCCCCAGCTGGTCTCAAACTCCTAGGCTCAAGCGATCCTCCCAAAGTGCTGGAATTACAGATGTTAGCTACTGCACCTGACTGCTTTATCATTCTCTAAGGAGAAATATATTTTACATCCTTCTGGAAGTATTAACTCATTTTCTTGAAAATAATAATCACTTGAATAGATACCCTCATTCTAGGTTTAGAAATACTGTTTTAGAAAAAGGAAAATTCTGACAACTTGTTAGGATTCCTGGGCTAATACGCAGTTTTAGTGGGGCTAAGCAATTTGTCTTCATCAGTGGAACTGAGTGAGTTTACAAATAAAAATCACAAAACAGAAGTAAGAATGCACTTGAGCTTCTATAGGTATAGATTTAACTGTCTTAGTGTTAGTCACCTTTTTGTGTTATGAGCATATATTTCTCTTCCAAAATTACCAACACAGAGGCTACCTATCTGAAACTCATTCTGAGGTAGGTTTAGTGAGATTATTCTAGATTAGAACATGCTGATGATGTTTGGCTTCTGCTTCATTGCAGATAGACATCAGATTTTTTTTGTTGTTTTGTTTTTAAAAATCAAATATATAATTTGTGTTTTACAATTTGTGTCTTTAAATTGGCTGCTTAGCTAAGGCGTTAATATATACAAATAGTCCTTTCTTTATTCATTTCCATTTTTTAGAATGGGAATTGATGACATTTTTGTTCTGAAAGTAGTCTTCTTAGTAATGTTTGGAAACTCTTGGAATGAGCTAAATTGAATTTCCAAAATTGCTATTACAGTTGACTTAGTACAACAAAGTGATTTTAAAGCCTGAATGCTCTACTTATTTCAAACAGTATTTAGTGCAATGAAACACCTGCACCAGTAAGGAATCTGACTAGTCCCTGGAAGTTTGTTAGGCTGCTATTTGGAAGAGGCTTTAGTTTGACAAAAATATAGATTGAAAAGAAAATGCAGCTAAGTGCTTTGTGTTTTTAAAATTCTGCTATTCAGAAATGCTCTAAATATCATTATGCTAATGAGGTTTTCAAAACAACCCTCATTATACTTTTAGAATTTTCTGAGCTATCTTACTGTATCTGCTCAACATTACTAAAGACTTGTTTACCAAAGATCCTTTTTTTATGTTTCCTTTTTTACCTGTCTCTATCATAACATATCTCACCTACCACATTCTGATTGGTATAACCAAGCAGGAGTAAGTAATTTGTAAAATTGCCTAATTGTGTGGCTAACAAAGACTCTTGATATAAAAACTCCCCCTTTCTAGAGATAACAACATTGTAGAGGACTGAAAATGTTCTCTGTGTTCTGTGTACGTGTGTATGAAAGTGAGAGATTGAGGATCGAGAGTGGTTTTTTTTTAAACCATGCTCTTAATGTTAATAGGATGTCCTGGGCTTTATCTTTTCTGTATAGTTTTTGTTTTGTTTTGTTTTGTTTTGAGATGGAGTCTGGCTCTGTCCTCAGGCTGGAGTGCAGTGATGTGATCTCGGCTCACTGCAGCCTCCGCCTCCCTGATTCAAGCGATTCTCCTACCTCAGCCTCCCGGGTAGCTGGGATTACAGGCACGCGCCACCACACCCAGCTAATTTTTGTATTTTTAGTAGAGACAGTGTTTCACCATGTTGGCCTGGATGGTCTCAATCTCCTGACCTCATGATCCGCCTGCCTTGGCCTCCCAAAGTGCTAGGATTACAGGCGTGAGCCACCGTGCCCGGTCCTTTTCTGTATAGTTATTCAGATATGAAGATTCTCAAGTATGAAATATGTCTTTCCTGGGAACGGAAATGTGCTCAAAGGTCATAAGTTATCAATGGAAATTATTTTATACCACTCCCAGCCATTTTTAAGAATAGAAGGGATCCTAGGAATAGAAAACATTAATTATATGATGCATTTTTTGATTAAGTTCCAATGAATGGTAAAAAGCTGGACTCTTGTTCATTAACTGATATTCAAAAGAATTTGATGTTTTAGTTTCATAACTTTGTCAGGTTACATCTTCATACTTATTAAACATGATTAGTTCTTGTAAAGGAAACTTCGTATGTGTTGAGATTTGGAAATAGGTGAAATGCTAAATTTAAAGAAATATGGGCCAGTCGTGGTAGCTCACACCTGTAATCCCAGCACTTTGGGAGGCCGAGGCAGTCGGATCGCTTGAGGTGAGGAGTTCAAGATCAGCTTAGCCAATGTGGTAAAACCCCGTCTCTACTAAAAACACAAAAATTAGCCGGGCATGGTGGCAACTGCCTGTAATCTCAGTTACTGGGGAGGCGGAGGCAGGAGAATCACTTGAACCTGGGAGGCAGAGGTTGCAGTGAGCCGAGATTGCTCTACTGTACTCCAGCCTGGGCAACAGAGTGAGGCTGTGTCTCAAAAAAGAAAAAATTTAAAAAAAAAAAAAATGGTTGCTATTTTTCTCTTCCTTGGCCATGTCATTATTGCAAACATAAATTATAACAGAAGATTTTGAACTTAATTTAGAAGACAAAGTTAAAGCCTTTATTGTCATCTCAGTTATTTTTAAAGATGTCTTTAGAGGGACTTTATGTTAATACAGTTATTTCTGATTTTTCTAGAGTCCTTGGTATAAATGAATGGCAGAATACGGGGTTCCAGTATGATGTCATCAGCTGCCTGAACTTGCTGGACCGCTGTGATCAGCCCCTGACTTTGTTAAAAGATATCAGAAGTGTCTTGGAGCCAACTAGAGGCAGGGTCATCCTTGCCCTTGTCCTCCCCTTTCATCCCTATGTGGAAAACGGTAAGTGTGGTCAGTCAGGCTAGCTCTTACTGAGGATAGCTGTTTATTGGTATTTGTGATTTTGTGCTGTGTACAATTAAATATTGTCTAGTATGTCTTATAATAGCCTGCAGTTTAAAGTAATCCAGTTAATCCATGTAAAACACCATCTTGGTTAATGTTCACCTTAAGGTGGACTTTATAGAGGTCTAGCATTCCCCTTGCAGTGGTAATAATTAATATTTAGCTGGGTCTGACTGCTTGAGATTGAAAGCTAAAAATGCAACTGTATCTCTGGTTTTAAATGGAGCTTGAACCATTTATTTATTAGCTTTACAACTGAATCGAGCAATAAACAGTGCCTTTAAATCTGGTCGTATATACTTGCTGAATGTCATGGCTGTTTTGTTTTCCGTTTTGCATCTCTTGTGCCAGACTCTAAAAATGATAAATGCTTTTATCTGTTTTTTTCTCTTTTGAAGACCATGTGTGTTGTTGCAGCATGTATCATTTCTTTCTGTAACATTTGATTTTTTGATTGCATGGTCTTGCTCTTCAGCAATATTGAATGAAGAATATGTTAGAAGAAACGGGTTGATTTCATATCACTTCATAGTTACTGTGACTTCTGGCCATTCTGACTTAATGCCACATTAAGTTATAGTTTTAGTTTGTGTGGTTTGCATTTTAGGTCATCTTGAAAGTTATGATTTTAAGTCTCCTGCATTTTCATAAGTTAATGTACATTAATATAAAATTATTTATTTTATGAATAATACAAGTTACTATTTAAAAATCTTCAGTGTTTCATTTATTTTTTTGAGACAGAGCCTTGCTCTGTCGCCCAGGCTGGAGTGCAGTGGTGCGATCTTGGCTCACTGCAACCTCTACCTCGTGGGTTCAGGCATTCTCCGGCCTCAGCCTTCTGAGTCCCAAGTAACTGGGACTTCAGGCACATGCCACTATGCCTGGCTAATTTTTGTATTTTCAGTAGAGATGGGGTTTCGCCATGTTGACCAGGCTGGTCTCTAACTCCTGATCTCAGGTGATCCTCCTGTCTCTGCCTCCCAAAATGCTGAGATTACAGGTGCGAGCCACCATCCCTGGCTGAAAAATCTTCAGATTTTCTATTTCACTGCCTCGATTGACCTTGACTTCAGAAACTCTTAAGAGCTCACAGACATTTTGAAGAAATCTATTAGGATTTTGCAAATGTCATTATTATCAAATATGAAAATCTATGTCTTAAGGAATAATGCCCGTTTCATATAACCATTGGATTCTGTGTGGATTTGTGGTGTCACAAATTAATTTAATTTCTTGTATGTGTTTTTTCTCCCCAGATCTTAGTGCCTTCAGATTTAATGCTTGTCTTAATATTTACCAAATGGTTTCAGATTTGTGTTGATAATGGGGAAAATGGGGAATTCTTTCGATATAGAAGGGTGTGGAAAAGAGCAGAGAGAACAGATCTCCCCTTTCCCATCTTAGATCTCCATTTTTATGTTCCTGTTGTCGAGTGGTTTGTCATGGTAAAGAAAAAATGCTTTTAAATGTGAGTGTATATATATCATCTATATGTTGCAAAATGTCCTCCTTCGTGATTCAGCAACCTGATCTTACTTCAGTGCTACTCCTTCCTGTGTAATTAAGCCTCAGCTCCAGCTCTCTGTATTGCACTCACTAGTCATCAGGTTGGAAGGTCCTGGGTTCCTGTGTCCTGTTGGGCAACCGCATGATAGAACTTTAATGCTACTTCCTGGCATAGCAGGAGATGAAAGAGCAGGGGGAAGAAACATCAATCTAACCACGAATTTTATTTCCTTGTGTTTCTGATGCTAAAAATGGAGAGGAAGTCAAACTAGACAAGAGGGAAGTCTCCATGAAGTGTGGAAAACAAGCTCCTTGATTGTGGATGTGCAGAGCTGCCTGTTGAGTCTGAGGAGTCTGGCATGTGACACACTGCAGACCTGAGACAAGAAGCCTTGTTGCTATGGGTGACTTTTAGTGACCTATAAATTTTGCAGGCGCGCCACGGCACTCTATTATTGCTTTCTTTCTCTGAGTCACTAATTAGATCCTGATGATTTCCATGTGAAACCATGAGGACTGGGAGATGCAAAATGGTTTTGCTGTGTAGATTCATGAATGCTGGACTGTTGGAGGATATCTGAGTGTGCTTTGCATACTTGGCTTAATTTGTTTTTTTTTAACTAAAAGTAGTTGTAGGTGAAATGATTACTTAGGTAATTGTTTTGGTAAATGGCTTGAAGTTGAACCACAGCAGTTTTGCTATTTGGAAAAAAAATGAAAAAAATACCATTCTAATTTCAGTTTATTTGGTTTACTGACCCAGTTTTGGCTAGGGGTTATTGAATCTAGTGAGAATTATTTTAAGCACCCCCCAAAGAAGGAAAGATATGAAGTCAAGAGAAGGATAATTATATTGTAAAAATAAAAATTTAATGATGTTTAATTTTTCAAAATTGTAATTTTTATTAAAAAGTAATTCAGTAATTAAAAAAAAATACTTCAAGCAACTTACTAGAGGGTTTACAATAAAAAGTTTCTGGGCTGTGCGTGGTGGCTCATGCTTGTAATCCCAGCACTTTGGGAGGCCAAGGCAGGCAGATCATGAGGTCAGGAGATCGAGACCATCCTGAGTTAACACAGTGAAACACCATCTCTGCTAAAAATATAAAAACAAAATTAGCCGGGTGTGGTGGTGGGCGCCTGTAGTTCCAGCTACTGGGGAGGCTGAGGTGGGAGAACGGCGTGAACCCAGGAGGCGGAGCTTGCCGTGAGCCGAGATTGCACCACTGCACTCCAGCCTGGGTGACAGAGCCAGACTCCATCTCAAAAAACAAACAAAACAAAAAAAGTTTCTCATCCAGTCCAGTTCCACAGTCTTGTTCAGGTTTCTTGAATATTCTTTAAAAGATAGTCTATGTAAATGTAAGTCTGTATGTACATTAAAAAAATTATACAGGCAGTTCCCAATTATAAATAACTTCTGTTGCCTTTTTCCACTTAAATGTATCTAGGAAAGTAGTTCTTACCAGCACATATGTCTCCACATGGTTGTCTACATGTAAGCTGTAGATGCTGGAGCTGGCGTGGACTGGTTCATGAGAGCTGATTGTTGTTTTGGTAGGAATTTAAGTGAACTGGTTGTTAAACATGGCCATTATTGAAATTGACCATGATGGGAGTATTTACACTATAGAAATTGGCAAACACTGCAAATAGCCATTTTCTTCTCCAAGCTGGTAGTTACACATTTACCAGCACACCACTAGATGTATAACTTTACTAGAGGAGGTCTCTAGATAGCAATTTGCTTAGTAATGTTTAAAAACAAAACACCCTCCCCTGTCCTCCCCCACTTTTTTTTCTTTCTTTCTTTTTCTTTCTTTTCTGAAAGGGACTTGCTCTGTTGCCCAGACGGGAGTGCAGTGGTGCTGTCACAGCTCACTGCAGCCTTGACCTCCTGGGCTCAAGCTATTCTCCCACCTCAGCCTCCTGAGTAGCTGGGACTACAGGTGCATACCACCACACCCATCTAACTTTTGTATTTTTTTGGTAGAGAGGGCGTCTGGCGGCGTTGTCCAGGCTGGTCTTGAACTCTTGGAATCAAGTGATTGGCCTGCCTTCGCCTCCCAGCGTGTTGGGATTATAGGTGTGAGCCACTGCACCTGGCCTTGTTTCTAACTTTAATGAAAATATTACTACTTTAAATATGATGCTAATTTTTTTTTTTTTTACTTGAAGTTGCTGTTGTTTGGCTTGAGATGTTTCTTTTTTTTTTTTTGGAGATGGAGTCTCACTCTGTCACCGAGGATGGAATGTGGTGGCACGATCTTGGCTTACTCACTGCAACCTCCGCCTCCTGGGTTCAAGTGATTTTCCTGACTCAGCCTGCTGAGTAGCTGGGGTTATAGATGTGTGCCACCACACCCGGCTCATTTTTGTATTTTTAGTAGAGACAGGGTTTCGCTATGTTGGCCAGGCTGATCTTGAACTCCTGACCTCAAGTGATGCCCCCTCAGTCTCCCAAAGTGCTGTGATTACATTTCCCTCTTAAAGTTGTGTTATAGACTGCGTGTTTGTTTGTGTTCCTCCCAGATATATATTTTGAGGCCCCCACCCCCCATCGTGATGGTATTAGGAAGGGGTCTTTAGGAGGTGATTAGGATTAGATGAGATCATGAGAGCAGAGCCTTCCTGAATGGGATGAATGCCCTTTTAAGAGTTCCGAGAGACCTTGCTTCTCTCTACCTTCTGCCATGCAAGGATACAACAAGAGGTCAGCAGCCTGTACCTAGAAAGAGGGTCCTCACCAGAACTCATAAATTTCTATTGTTCTGTGTCTGGAATTGGTGGGTTCTTGGTCTCTCTGACTTCAGGAATGAAGCTACAAACCTTTGCGGTGAGTGTTACAGTTCATAAAGGCGGCCTGTCTGGAGGTGTTAGTTCCTTCTGGTGGGTTCCTGGTCTTGCTGGCCTCAGGAGTGAAGCTGCAGACCTTTGCGGTGAGTGTTACAGCTCTTAAAGGTGGCACGGACCCAAAGCGTGAGCAGCAGTAAGATTTATTGCAAAGAACGAAAGAACAAAGCTTCCTCAGCATGGATGGGGACCCAGCAGGTTGGTGCTGCTGGCTTGGGTGGCCTGCTTTTATTCCCTTATCTGGCCCCACCCACAGCCTGCTGATTGGTCCATTTTACAGAGAGCTGATTGGTCCATTTTACAGAGAGCTGATTGGTCCGTTTTGACAGAGCGCTGATTGGTGCGTTTACACCTTTAGTTAGACACAGAGTGCTGATTGGTGCGTTTACAATCCCTTAGCAAGACACAAAAGTTCTCCAAGTCCCCTACCTGATTAGCTAGACACAGAACGCTGACTGGTGCGTTTACAAACCATTAGCTAGACACAGAGTGCTGATTGGTGTGTTTACAAACTTTTAGGTAGACACAGAGTGCTGATTGGTACATTTACAAACCTTTAGCTAGACAGAAAAGTTCTCCAGGTCCCCACCCGACCCAGAAGCCCAGCTGGCTTCACCTCTCAATGGCACTGGCTGCGGGACTTTGCGGCACCTAGCCTGGGCACTCCGACAGCCCAGTGGGAGCTTGTCCCCCGATCAAGCCCAGCAGGCGCTGGCTGGTGGCGCCAAGTGCGGGGCCTGCCGAGCCTGCGCCCACCCGGAACCCACGCTGGCTCCCGCCTGCACCTCTCCCTTCACACCTCCCTGTGAGCAGAGGGAGCCGGCTCTGGCCTCGGCCAGCCCCAGAGAGGAGGCCCCTACAGTGCAGCCGTGGGCTGAAGGGCTCCTCGAGCACAGCCAGAGCCGACGCCGTGGCCGAGGGGGCGCCGAGAGCGAGCGAGGGCTGCTAGCACGTTGTCACCTCTCAATCCCCCGTCTAAACAGGATACCCCCAACTGCTGTTGGGAATTTGGCTGATGACCACTCTAGCTACTTCCTGCTGGATAGGGGCGAAGAAGGGGCCCTGCAGTTGTAGTGTCCTCCAGAGGGGAACTCTTTAGGCCAGTGGAAGGGCCAGCGGGTTGGTCCAGGGGTCCTCGGTAGAAGTTGTTAGTTGAGCTCATTTGGGGTTCCATTTGTAAGACCATCTATAGCTTGATGGCCTCCATTCTAGAGGAAACAAATTTGACAAGAAGGTTAAAATTACAGGGCCCAAAGGTGAGTAACAGCAAGATGGCTGCCACAGGACCTAGAAAGGGGAGAAGCCATGTTGCCCAACTCCAGAGGTTGGTACAAGAGTTTGAAAGGTGGTGTCTGATTTCAGAAGCCTTTTCCTGTAAACGCTGGGCGGCATCTCGTACTATCCCTGCCTGGTTAGTGTAAAAACAACACTCTTCTCCTAAGAAGGTGCAGAGTCCTCCCTTCTCAGCAGTGAGGAGGTCTACGCCTCAGGGGTTTTGGAGAGTCACTATTGCCAGAGAGTCTATTTGGGATTGTAGAGTATGGATAGATTTTGTTATTTCTTGCAAACTATCTGAGAAATCCTTTGATAGTGTGTAATAGTAGGATAATGAAGTAGATAAACTGGCTATTCCGGTTCCTGTAGCAGTAGCCATTCCTAACCCTATAAATAGGGGTATTAGTTGTATGGCTCTGTGCTGACGGACTTGAGCTTTGAAGAGTATTGATAGGGTCTGATTTCCACAAGATTAGAAGTTAGGATAATATATGTTTACACTGTTAACTTTTAGCAAACTTTACTTTTGTTGAAAACCTTTTAAGTTTGGGATTTCAATTATTCTTTGCTATTAATAAGACCTCGTTTAGTGTATATTAACTTAGAATTGGTATAGATGGCTCCTTCCTGATTCTGTAAGTACTTTAAGGCTCAGCTGAGTGCAAACAGCTTGCAAGTTTGAGCAGACCAATTATTAGGCAATTTTCCTAACTCTGTTTCTACAAGAGTTTCCTTATCATTTACTGAATACTCATTGTGTCGTTTTTCCTTAATCGCCCGGGAGGAACCATCTATCGTCCTGTCCTGAAGGGAGTTCCTCCTATGTCTGATTGGACCTTTGTATGGTGATTAAGATTTAGATCCCCTGTTAGGAAACCTGCTGGGTTAAGGATTTTTGATAGGAAGGCTATGGGTTGTCAGTGGCCTCAGTGCTTTCGCGCTACGCCCTTGTTTACACTGACAACAAGGTGGTATTGGAGTGTTACAGGGTTACAGAGAAGACCTTCAATTATCAATTATAGGTTTTAACTTTACCCTGGCTTTTAAAGGAATAGGGTACACTGTTTTTTCTTTACTACTTCCATCTCTCTTTCTCTTTGACTTTTTCTTTGTCTCTCTCTCTCACTGACTCCCTCTTTGTCTCTGTCTCTTTGACTTTGTCTCTTTCTTTCTTTCTCTCTGACTCCCTCTGTCTCTTCCTCTCTTCCCTTTCTGCTGGTTTTTCCCTGCCTCTGCCAGCCACTTATCCTGCTGTTCTCCCCTCTCCTTCCCCTTTTGATGGCTTTGGCAGTGTAAGACTGCCGCCTCCTTGGGTTTTTGCACTGCATGCAAAAACTCCGTAATTGCCTTGTGGTATTTAATGGGGGTTCCCCCCAGAGGTTAGGAACTCCCTTTCTTTCCATATTGCAGCATTGGCATGTAGGATTACATAAGCATACTTGCTATCTGTATACACATTTATTCTTTTTCCCTTTTCCAGTTCTAAGGCTCAGGTAAGTGCCACTAGTTATGCTAACTGGGCACTGGTCCCTGGGGGAAGAGGCTTACTTTCAAGTACGGTTACATCATGAACTATGGCATAATCTGCCCTTTGTATCCCATTCTCCACAAATGAACTTCCATCGGTATATAGGTTAAGGTCAGGATTAGCTAGGGGGCCTTCTAAGAGATCATCTCGGGCCACATAAGTCTGGACTATAATTTATTGGTAGTCATGCTCGATTGGTTCCTCATCCTCTGGGAGAAAAGTGGCAGGGTTGAGGGCCACGCACATACGTATTTGAAGCACTGGTCCCTCAAGGAGTAGTGCCTGGTATCTAAGCAGGTGGTTGTCTGATAGCCATAAACTTCCTTTGGCACCTAGTATGCCACTTACATCATGAGTAGTCCAGACAGTGAGATCCTTTCCTTGTATTATTTTGATAGCCTCTGACACTAAGATGGCCACCGCCGCAACTACCCGTAAACAGGCCAGCCTTTTGCTACTACATCAATTTCCTTACTTAGGTATGCCACTGGTTGTGGGGTCATCCCACAAGTCTGAGTAAGGACTCCAAGAGCTATCCCTGCTCTCTCTGTGATGTATAAAGAGAAGTTTTGTTCTGTGGGAAGGCTTAAAGTCAGAGCTTATACTAGGGCCTGCTTTAAGGTTTTGAAGGCTATTTCTGCCTCTGGTTCCCCTTCTACTAGATGAGTATTTGCTCTCTGGGTCTCCTCGATTAGAGTATAGAGGGGCCTGGCTATCTCGCTGTATCTGGGGATCCATAGTCAGCAAAAGCCCGTGATTCCAAGGAACCCCCGCAACTGTTTTAATGTCTTAGGGCAAGGATAAGCCAGTATAGGCTGTATTTGTTCCTTGCTGAGGGCCCTCATTCCTTGCTGAGGGCCCTGGTCCCTCTGGCTAAGATTAGGTCTGGATATTTGACCTGCTGTAGGCAAAGCTGGGCCTTTGACCTAGACACCTTGTACCTTTGATTAGCTAGAACGTTCAAGAGATCTAGAGCAGCCTGCTGGCACGAGGCTTCTGAACTGGTAGCCAAAAGTAAATCATCCAAATACTGAAGGATCAGAGTGTCTGGACTTGAGAAGTGTCCTAGATCTTGGGCCAGTGTCTGACCAAACAGGTGAGGGCTATCCCTAAACCCTTGGGGCAAGACTGTCCACGTAAATTGGGATGTGTGGTCTGTGGGATCCTCAAAGGCAAAGAGAAACTGGGAGTCAGTGTGCAGGGTAATACAGAAGAAGGCATCCTTGAGGTCCAGAACAGTGCACCATTCTGCCTCCTCTGGTATTTAAGAGAGCAGGGTATAGGGGTTGGGTACAACTGGATATAGAGGAATTACTGCCTCATTGATGAGTCTAAGATCTTGCACTAGTCTCCACTGACCGTTCAGTTTCTGTATTCCTAGAATTGAGGTGTTTCAGGGACTGCTGCATTTCCATACTAAGCCTTGAGCTTTTAAATGTTTAACAGTATCCTGTAATCCTTTATGAGCTTTAGGCCTTAAGGGATAGTGCCTTTGATAAGGAAAAGTGGTGGGGTCTTTTAGCCTGATTTGGACTGGGCGGGCATTTTTTTGCCCTTCCAAATTGTCCTTCCAATGCCCAGACTTCAGGGTTGATTCCCTCTTCAAGTAGGGGACAACAGATGGGTAACTTGTTCCCCATATTCATGTAGATAATAGCTCCAGCTTTGGCTAATATACCCCTCCCTAATAAGGATGTGGGACTTTCAGGCTTAACAAGAAAGGCAAGTGAAAAGAGCAAAGTTTCCAATTACAACTGAGGAGGTGGGAGAAATACCTGGTTACAGGCTGTCCCAGGATTCCTCGGATGGTAACGGACCTTGAGGACAGTCATCTGGACAGGAGATTAACACTGAGAAGGCCACACCAGTGTCCATGAGGAAGTCAATCCTGGCACTCAATAGTTAAGCATACCTGGGGCTCAGTGAGTATGATGACATGAGCTGGCGCTTGCCCCGGGCACCCTCAATCCTGTTGTTGGATCATCCGGTTGGGGGCTTCTGACCCAGAGAACCTTTGTCTTCTGGGGCAGTGCACCTTCCAGTGATTGCCCCAGCATAGTGGACATGGATGAGGGGGCGGCTTATTTCTCATTGGACAATCTTTCTTAAAGTGTCCTTGTAAACCACATTGATAACAAGCCCTACCGGGTGATTGACCTGCCCCATTTTCTGTCCTCTCTGAACCACCAAGGTTTGTTTGTCTGAAGGCTATGACTAAGGCTGTGGCCTTTCTCTGATCTCACTTTTCCTTTTGGGCCTGTCCCTATTATAGAACACCGAGGTTGCCAGGTTAATAATGCCTCCAGATTTTGTTCAGGGCCCAGGGCTTGCTTTTGGAGCTTTCTCCTGATATCTGCAGCCGATTGGGTAATAAACTTACCTTTTAGGATCAATTGACCCTTGAGTGATTTGGGCGACGGGAGTATATTTTCTTAAGGCCTCCTGTAGCTGCTCAAGGAAGGCAGAAGGATTTTCTTCCTTTCCCTGAGTTACGGTGGACAGCATTGAATAATTCATGGGCTTTTTCCTAATTCTCCTTAGTCCTTCTAGAACACAGGTCAACAGATGTTTACGACTCCAGTCCCCATGATCTGCATCAAGGTCCCAGTGGGGATCTGTACTGGGGACGGCTGGCTGACCAGTAGGGAATTTATCCCTTTCTTCGGCTGTCATTTACTTGACTAGGATACCAGGTATCTCCAAACTCTCGGGCTGCAGCTAAAGCCGTATTCTTTTCATTAAAGGCCAGGGTTTGATCTAACAGTAGCATGACATCTCTCCAAGCGAGGTTGAAGGTTTGCCCTAGACCCTGTAGGACATCTGTGTACCTATCATGATCATCTGAAAACTTCCCCAGGTCTGCCTTGATCTGCTTTAAATCAGAGAGGGAGAAGGGGACATGTACTCAGGTTGGGCCAAATTCCCCTCCCCCTACAGCTTGAAGGGAACATAACCGATAGCCTGGGGAGGTTTGTGGTCCTTTGGAGATTTCTTTGCTTATTTCCTTCTGGGCAGGGGAGATTAGAGGAGGATTATCATTAATAGGAGGGGGAGCTATAGGGAGGCTAGGATATGGGGGGTAAGCTGAGCGGTCCTCCTGTGGGATGTAAATTGCAAGCTCTGTATAGTTGTGTATTCTCGTGTATTCTCCTTCAATGAAAAGAAAGCTTGGACATAAGGTATTTCACTCCATTTGCCTTCCTTCTTACAGAAAAGGTCAAGCTGCAGGATAGTATTGTAATTTCTACTTCCCTCAGGTGGCCATTTTTCCCCATCAGAGAGAGAATATTGGGGCTAGGCCATAGTGCAGAAAAAAATGAGCCGCTTCTTTTTCAGGGTTTGTGGGTCAAATTGGTCCCAGTGGCTTAGGATGCATTTCAAGGGTGAGCCTGTTGATGCCTGTTTCCCATCTGAAAGACAAAACCGCCTGTGTTTTTGGTTTGTTTTGTTTCTCCCCCTGCCCAAGAACCTGCAGCAGTCCCCGGACCCTGCTAATTGGAATAGTTGCGCTCACCGAAGCAGCAGCAGAAACGGTAGTTTTCCTCCCAGACCACAAGGAGGACTGAGGAAGGCCGGATTTAGTGGCCCTTACTGACGCATTCTCGAAAACCTGCACCCTTGCCTGTCCTCGTAGACCACAAAGACTGAGAAAAATTGGATTTAGTGGCCTTTACTGATGCATTCTCAAAAACCTGTTAGAGTCCTAAGCATTCTCCTGTTAGTATTGGGACCTTACCTGTGTCCTATAAAGATGTTGTGCCTCAAAAATGAAGTGGAGGGCCATACCCTGAGGGAGGGAAGGGATCTCCAGGGTTGGAAGAGTGACACCTTTTGTCCTCACTTATATGAATAGGAAGGATACAATTTCTGAGGCTCCCCATATCCTAGCTTCAGGAATAGCATTTGTTAGGCCTGCTTTTCTAAGGAGGGATCCTAAAATTCCAGAGTTCCCCCTATGACGGGGCTTTGGGCAAAAATTATGTCTTTCTGATTGGTGAGCCCAGGTGCCTAAAGAAGGGAGTAGACTCCTGGAGTTTATACTAGAAATCATCCTCATAGGAGAAACTGGAAAAGCACCAGAGACAGGGAGTGATTTTGAGAAGTGGGACTAGCCTCAGAGACTCCAAGAGGTGAGAGGAAGTTTGTCTGACAGGCGTTAGGACCCAGGAGGCAAGGGTCAGGGTAGATAGAATAGATGGGCTAGTCTCGCTTGGGCGACATTGAGAGTTCTGCTCATGGCCGCAGGGTCAACCAACTTCTTGTTGGGACCCCGGAGCTGAATGGCTTTCCTCTCTGTCGACCCTCGGTTCAGCCCAGAAGTACTGGAAAGGCGGAAGCTGGTTCCAGGCCAACCACCGCTCCCAACTCTGAAGAGTCGGGGGTTGTTAGCCCTTTCCCAGAAAGCCTGACACCCATGTCTTTAGCCCGGTGGCTGCGCTAATCACTTTTAACTGGCTGACAGGTGCCCAGTATTTAGCCCCCGAACTCTAAGGAAAAATAGGACAGAATAGCAAGTGAAAAGGGTCCGATGGTACTTACCGCTTGGCGATAGGCGATAGTCTCACCACTTGGCGATAGGTGATAGTCCCATCTGGGTCGCCAAAATGTGTCTGGAATTGGTGGGTTCTTGGTCTCGCTGACTTCAGGAGTGAAGCTGCAGACCTTTGCAGTGAGTATTACAGCTCTTAAAGGTGGCACGGACCCAAAGAGTGAGCAGCAGCAAGATTTATTGCGAAGAGTGAAAAAACAAAGCTTCCACAGTATGGAAGGGGACCCGAGCGGGTTGCTGCTGCTGGCTCTGTTGGCCTGCTTTTATTCCCTTATCTGGCCCCACCAACATCCTGCTGATTGGTCCATTTTACAGAGAGCTGATTGGTCCATTTTACAGAGCACTGATTCGTCCGTTTTGACAGAGCGCTGATTTGTGTGTTTACAAACCTTTAGCTAGACACAGAGTGCTGATTGGTGCGTTTAGAATCCTTTAGCTAGACACAAGTTCTCCAAGTCTGCTACCCGGCTAGCTAGACACAGAGCGCTGATTGGTGTATTTATAAACCATTAGCTAGACACAGAGCACTGATTGGTGCGTTTACAAACCTTTAAGTAGACACAGAGTGCTGATTGGTGCATTTACAAACCTTTAGCTAGACAGAAAAGTTCTCCAGGTCCCCACCCGACTCAGAAGCCCAGCCAGCTTCACCTCTCAATGGCACTGGCTGCGGGACTTTGTGGCACCTAGCCTGGGCACTCCAGCAGCCCAGAGGGAGCTTGTCCCCTGATTAAGCCCAGCAGGCACCAGCCAGTGGCACCGAGTGCTGGGCCTGCTGAGCCCGTACACACCCGGAACCTGTGCTGGCCCGCGTGCGCTGCGCGCAGCCCGGCTCCTGCCCGTGCCTCTCCCTCCACACTTCCCCGCGAGCAGAGAGCCAGTCCGGCCTCGGCCAGCCACAGAGAGGGGTCCCCACAGCACAGCGGCGGGCTGAAGTGCTCCTTGAGTGCGGTCAGAGCGGACACCGAGGCCGAGGAGGCGCTGAGAGCGAGCGAGGGCTGCTAGCACATTGTCACCTCTCAATAAGCCACTCAGTCTATGGTAATTTGTTTTTGCAGCTCGAAGTAAAACAAGTTGTTTCAGTATTAATTCTTTTTTAATTGTCATAGGAAACCCAAATCTAAACAGAAAGTTACAGCTTAGGCTGGGTGCGGTGGCTTATGCCTGTAATCCTAGCATTTTGGGAGGCCAAGGTGGGCAGATCACCTGAGGTCAGGAGTTTGAGACCAGCCTGGCCAACAGAGTGAAACCCCATCTCTACTAAAAATACAAAAATTAGCCAGGCATGGTGGCAGATGCCTATAATCCCAGCTACTCAGGAGGCTGAGGCAGGAGAATCACTTGAACCCTGGAGGCAGAGGTTGCAGTGAGCCGAGATCACGCCATTGTACTCCAGCCTGAGCGTCAAGAGCAAAACTCCATCTCAAGAAGAAAGAAAAAGTTGCAGTTTAATTCTTTTCTGGATGCTCAGATAGCAGGACAATTAGTACTGTTGGGGTTTGTTGAATGGTCTTTATGGAAAGGGGTGAAGCTTCATGGTGAGGGACTGAAGTATGCTACATATCTCAATTTAAATGCTGAAGGAACATTTTTCTATAGAAACATTGTTCAATTGCATTTATAGAAGGCATTTGAGGGCCTACTGTGTACCAAGTGGAAATATAAAGATAAATGAGAATCACGCTTTTGCTCTTAAAACACAGAATAGTACACAATATAGATAGAAACAGATAATGGCAGGAAATTGTGGTAAGAAATATGTCAAACTAAGTACTGAAGAATTAGAGACGAATAGATCTGTTAGCCTGTGGGTGAGTTAGGGAAGGTTTCATGTTGAGGTGAGCTGTGTTTGTAGTCTGAAGCATTTTACCAGGCTGAGGGGAACAGCATGTGCAAAAGCATGAAGGTGTGAGTAAGGTTTGTGTGGGGGTGGAGCAAGTTCAGTATGACCCGAGGATAGTTTGCAAAAGAGGCCTTTGATTGTATAGTGTAGCACTCAGTAAATAGTGTTGGCGCCTGAAATCAATGACTGTACATCCCAAACTAATCTCAAAGCTATTTCCTTTTGGTGTGGGTTTGGTTTTGTTGTTAATTTTGAAATATACTTTTGAACACTGAAATCTCTGAAACTGCTAAGATCTCTAGAAGTGTAATTGGGAAAGAAACTTGCTTGTAGCTTTAACAAAATAAGAAACTCTTCCCAAATAAAACTTATTTTGAAGTTTGAAAATATATACTTTTGGTGAGATAGATGAATAAATGAATGAATACTGTGTATACACCAGATATTCTTATATAAGACCTAGAGGAATGGAACTCTTTGCGAAAGTATATTCCGTATTTCAGCTTCAAAATCAATCTTTGAAACACGGTCCTTGCTTACATGGGAAAGGCATATTGTGAGTCAAATACTAGTTTATCTGAGGGATTTTGTCTCCTGGTTAGACAATGAACAGTGTATTTTCAGTCCTGGAATTCAGTACCAAAATGTAATGACTCCCAGAAATGAAAAGCAAATGATCGAATTCAACACTTCTGTTCATTTCGATGGTATTAGTGCTTGCCCTTTTTTGCAGTCTGGCTTAGAAGCTCATTACTTTACCTGAGCTAGTGGTCTCAGAGTGGGGAAGTACACACTGCAGAGTACACAAGACAGTTTATTTTGGAATATGGCAGGAAAGTATTAGCATTTTTTATTTATATTGCTGCTTATGCCATTGTTTAATTTGTTTTTGTGTATAAGGTACAAAGGTACATTTTCATGCATATACCGTATACAAAACACATGTGGCCCCACACATATACACATGTGCACTCACGTGTACACACAGATACACACAAAAAAATGAGGTTCCATGCTGCCTCCTTTCCCCTGCCCATTTTTCTGGGCACATAGGATCAGGAAAGTTTGATATCACTGATTTAAACCATCAATGCAAAAACACTTTCAAAGGAATCTTAAAATATTTAACAATTCTAAGTTTTATAAAGAATACACCTTAGGCAATACCAGTTTAAAAGAAACACTTTATTTTATTTATTTATTTATTTATTTATTTATTTTTGAGACAGTCTTGCTCTGTCACCTAGGCTGGGGTGCAGTGGCGTGATCTCAGCTCACTGCAACCTCCGCATCCTGGGTTCAAGTGATCTCCTGCCTCAGCCTCCCAAATAGCTGGGATTACAGGTGTGTGCCACCAAACCCCGCTAAATTTTTTTGTATTTTTAGTAGAGACGGGTTTCATCATGTTGTTCAGGCTGGTCTCGAACTCCTGATCTCATGATTCACCTGCCTCAGCCTCCCAAAGTGTTGGGATTACAGGCGTGAGCCACCACACCCGGCCTAAAAGAGACACTTTAATGAAATAAACATAGTAGGTTGTAAGGTTGTAATTTGTGTCTAATAATGAATGCATACTTATGGGCACTTTAGATTTTTTTATACCAAAGTAGCTTTCAAAGGACAATTTATATCATGTTTTCTTAGTGAAGTGGTAATGAATTCCATAAATATCCTTGTACCATGCCTCCTATCTGACATTTCCCTCCTAAATTGGTTAAAAATCAGTATTATAGACTGTGCGCGGTGGCTCACGCCTGTAATCCCAGCACTTTGGGAGGCCATTTCAGGCAGATCATCTGAGGTCTTGAGTTTGAGACCAGCCTGGCCAACATGGTGAAACCCCGTCTCTACTAAAAATACAAAAAAAAAAAAAAAAAAAAATTAGCCGGGCGTGGTGGTGCGCACCTGTAATCCCAGCTACTTGGGAAACTGAGGCAGAAGAATGGCATGAACCCGGGAGGTGGAGGTTGTAGTGAGCCGAGATTGCACCACTGCACTCCACCCTGGGCAACAGAACGAGACTCTGTCTCAAAAAAAAAAAAAAAAGAAAAGAAAAAAAATCAGTATTACAAACGTGCTTGTAAAGTAGATGTGTTGCCCACATCTTCCCTGGTGCTGTTATTTGGCACAACACTGACATCTAGAGTCCGTTGTGGCTTATTTGTTCTGAAGTTACCTCTGTTTAACCTTCAGCTTTGGATTTTCTGTATTTTGGCTTTTATGGTCTTACTCTAGCCACTATATTATTCTCATTTTGCTGATAGCATGATGTAAGTTACTTTGCATACCCTGGCAGGCAAATGTGCGTTACCCCACTGCCCCATTACAACATCAGAGGAAATAACTTTACTAAGGTGCTTTTCAAAATGAATGTCTCTAACTCAAATTTTGTCACGTTGTCCCTCCCAACTTATTTTAATTGTGCCATGATTTCCACAAACCATAAAGGTGATTCTTCCACTCAAGACTGAGGCACATGGTTTGGCTTCAGATCTTCAGGATGGCAGTCATCACACATCTCATGTTGAATGAAACAGACTCAGGATACAAGTTTAAAATAGAATTTTTTTTCTTGGCAAATTTGGAAGGTATTTTTCAGTTGCATTTTGTTGGGTTTTAGTATTTTGGTAATGACTATTAGTTATAGTTTCCTTACATTCTGACATCCTTCTTTGTAGCCAGTTGTCTTTTCAGTTTACCTTTATTTTTTTTTAAGACCTGATGATATATGTTCATTAACACTGCCATAGCTCCTGGAGTTGGATTTTCAGTGACTTCATTGAAAATTAAAACGTTTCTATGGCCTTTCATAGTTGGAAAGTACTCTTCTGTTTTCATAAGTGTTGTTATCTTTCTCCTGCAATAATAAATAAATAGAAAGCCATGTTTAAGGTTATGTAACCAATGAAGCCAACTGCCAAGGAACATGCAAACCACTGGGCCATCTTGGATTCTGGGTCCTAAGTGTCCATATGGTAATCTTAAAGGCCAGATTACCGTTTTCCCCATCCGTATTTAGAGTAGGATGTGGGAACTGAAAAATACTTTTTTTTTTTGTTTGGATGCTACTGTCAAAATCGTGGCTGGGAGCTTTACAATTCTCACTTCTAAGACTGCTTTCAGGCCACATACCTCGGCCTTGTTGTTGAAAACATGTCCCAGCCTCAGAAAGAAAAATGATTTGTAATTACTCAGCATGGCATCTTAGTAATTAGACCACCTATCTTTATGTATTCATATATACACTGTAGGATGAAACGACTACTTAGACAATATTCTTTCCTTGGCAAAAATCCTTTGTGAAAGTTAGATTTTTAGCGCTTGCTTTGGCAGCACATACACTAAAATTGGAACAATATAGAGAAGATTAGCATGGCCCCTGGGCAAGGATGACACACAAGTTCGTGAAGCGTTCCATATTTTTTTAAAAAGAAAACAATTAAAGTAAAAGTTGGACTTAAAAAAATCGCCTTATTTCAGTCTCCTGATGCATTTGCCCTCTTGGCTGCTGTTTAAGAGGAAAATATCTTTACTAGTTTATCAGTTCAGCTTATTTTGTGCTCGCTTTGGCAGCACTTACACTAAAATTGGAATGATACAGAGAAGATTAGCATGGCCCCTACACAAAGATGACATGCAAATTTGTGAAGCATTCCATAAATTTTAAAAAATAAATAAAAATAAATTAACCTTATTTTGTATACATTTTAGCTTATTTGAGCTATCTCATCATGCATCATGGAAACAAAGTATCTGTTCTATTGGCATTAAGATAATATTTTGTTTGAAGAACCTGTTTATATAAGACTTTAAAGGAATACTTTCAGGATGTATTATAGATATACATGTATTCTTTTCAGTTCAACTCCAGACACTGGAGAAATACTTGTTTTTTAATATCATTAGCTGCATCTTTTCTAATGTGAATTTATTTTTGCCTTATAAGTAACAAGTAATTTTTTTTCATAATTTGACCCACAAACATTTGCAGTATCTACTGAACGCCTACCACTGCATGCAGGATACTGTACAGAGTAGCTTTTAATCTATCCTTTTAAAGCATCATTGTCTGTATTGAAAACATTGCTCGTGTCTAATGTGTTTCTGAAAGTTTCCATGTCACTAAGATGCCAGCCTGGGGCTATTTAATATTGTATCAGATGTCTTTTGTTATGTATTTATTAAAACAGGTTCTATATAAAAATACATTCTTGTGAAAGTTCTCTTTCAGACTCTTCTGAAGGAAAACATGGTTCTTGACAGCTCCTTGGCAGCTTAGTTTTTTCAAACGTGCTTTATATCTGTATTTACATTTTTTTTTGACATTTTACACTTACAGATTGCTGATTTGTTTCCACATGTCTCTTATGGTATAGTTCTTGAGCAATTTCCTGAAAAATACGCCGAGCACTCTTCTTCTATAAAGACAAATGAGAAAAAAAAATTCTCTTTTGGGAATATAAGCGATGATAACGACGCATCATCAGAACTTTTCTTGCTCTATTGCCACCGGTCCCAAAAACTACCCCCTCCCCCAACACATATGTGCCTACAGTTAACTCTTTTGTATTTGAGAACTTTAAATATAATTTATGGTTGAGAACTGTCCAATTTAAGTCACAGTTTACCCCTTGAGATTATTTTGTCATTGAGTTTCTCAACAATAGGAAATAGTGTCTGCAGTTGAAAGTTACCTTGATATTCTGTTTAAACTTAACATTTAAATATTTAAAAGCTAAAAAATATTTCAGTTTTGAAATCGTTACAACCAGCCACAATTTAAAAAATATTTTTCAAGTGTTGGTCTGTACCTTTTGTGAGTCTTCTTTTATTTCTTTGTTTCTTAGAGGGTTGGATTTTGACTGCCAAGAAGAGAAGGAAAGTCTATGAAACATTTTATGTACTCATAACAATGGTGGCAGATATCTCATGCCCTAATAAGATTAAACTAACTTAATATTTAAGTGATATACAATGAGACTTAATTTTTACATCATTTTTGAGATGCTTTTACTCCATTAAAAACTAATTGAACAAACTGACGTTGATTGTAGGATTTATAGTAATCCTAACACAATGGTATACATCTCCCTTCTTATACACATAGCCAAAAGGTATTCTTTTTTAATAACTTTAGCCCTTTTTGAAGATTTTAAGGCGGCTTTTAGTTTCTTCATCAACCCATTTTTGTTCTTAAAGACTGTTCTTAAGGCTTTCGTAGATAACAGTAATATCTCGCCCTCCACCTGCCCACACCTCACCCCTACAGCAGAAAGATAGCATAGTGGATGGCTCTCTTCTTAATCCCATGCTACTGGGCTTTAAAGAGAAAACAGCAAACTATGTCCCCTGGCTAATAATTTCAGTGATGAGAATGTATGATGCCTTCTTCCAAAGACCTCTTCTGCAGGTGGTGTTCCCTGCAGATGCACAGGAAAATGTTAATTAGGGAGCTCTTGCTGAGGCCCATAACTTGTGGAGAGATAGAAATTATTTTTCTTTTGATAATATTCAAGGATATAGGGACATTCCATGCAAGAGGATTTGACTTACTTTGGAGAGGAGTATGAAGGCCACGCACACACCGGTCACATAGACAGAGAGCAGTGATACAAGAGCTGTCAGGAAGCTCCGCAGTTCCTTGCTGAGCAGCTTAATTTCTTAATGACAAAAACAGAAAGAAGCACATTGACTATTAAAGCCTATTCTTTCAAATACATGTGTAAAGTATCCTTCACACTGCGTTTTAGAGGTGAAACGTGAACTTACTCTGCTTGCCTATTCGTATAAAAACTAGACCTCAAAAGGTACTCAAGTATGTAATAGTTAAAGCCAGTTCATCAGTTCTTTAAATGTGTTAAACCAAAAATGTTACTCGTTTTTAAACATTAAAAAAATTCAACCAACCATTTGTCATATTGCTAAGCATCACTTTTTAGATAAAGGATTATTTGAAGTTAGATAAACATTTCCAGACAGTTTGTTCAAGGGCATCTAAAATCTCTTTTGGTAGAAACGGTTTACCAGTATCATCAAGAGTCTGCCTATGTGGTTAAGATATTTTCATATGTATTTGTTAAGGGTGATATTTATAGCCTTGGAACTAGTACACATAGCTGAAGAGTCCCATCTGTGAAAGAACCTGGGAAGGCCATACATTGAGGAGCGCAGTGCTCACTGCGTGCTTGAAAGACAGGCACTTTTGCCAAATGTGCTCTTCTTTCTTTATGATAAAATTCTGGAAATAGAGTTATTGAATCCATTTTCACATTCGGAATTTCTCTCTCCTTGCAGAAATTGTCTTGTGCTCTGGGTAGGGATTAAGTAACATGCCATGTCTTCAATTACCTGACTATTTGGAGTACAAAATACAATTAGATTTGTACTTACTGTCTGAATAGCCTGTACTTTCCAACTAAATATCCCATAGATGAGACTGAGTGTGATGGCTCATGCCTGTAATCCCAGCACTTTGAGAGGCCGAGGTGGGCAGATCACTTGAGATCAGGAGTTTGACACCAGCCTGGCCAACATGGCGAAACCCCATCTCTACTAAAAATACCAAAATTAGCTGGGCGTGGTCGCACATGCCTGTAATCCCAGCTACTCAGGAGGTTGAGGCAGGAGAATCGCTTGAACCCGGAAGGTGGAGGTTGGTTGCAGTGAGCTGAGATCACGCCACGGCACTCCAGCCCGGGCGACAGAGCAAGACTCTTGTCTTAAAAAAAAAGAAAGAAAAATCCCATAGATGCTTATCCTGTGAATGCAGTTTATGCAGCATACATTTTTATTTGTGAAACTAACAAATTAACCACATCTATACAACTAAAATAAAAAAGCTTCAGTGTGAAAATAGGAGTTCTGTAGAAGAGACAGGAAGTTGCCATGTCTGCCTTAACACTTTCAATTCTGCCTTTCACTTTCACTTCACTTTATATAAGCCTTGCAGCTTTGAGACCTTCATCTTTTTACAAGCCATTTTTCCCTTTGACTAACATGTTTTTAGAAGGCTAATGCAGTGAGACATACAAATCTCTAAAGCTGTGTGTGTTTTCATATCAGTAGCTAACATTTGTTATTTGCTATATGCCAGGCACTATTAAAAATGCTTTAAGTGCCTTAACTTATTTATAATTTAGCTGACAGATGAGAATAAACTAAGGTTAAATGACATTTGAATATCAAAAGCCCATTAGAACCCTCGTAGTTTAAAAGCACAGGTTATAATACTGGATGGTCTCCCTTCCTCAGAGTCCTATTTTGAAATCGAAGGGCTGGTTGATTTTGAGTTCATGTTTTAACAATCTCTGCTCATCATACCAGGGTCCTTCCTAAGGGAAGAGACCCCAACAAGGCGAGGAGTTGCTGCTGTTCTCTTTTTTCCTTCAGAATCATGTAAAGCTTTTTCTCTGAAATTCCCCCTTTTTTTTTCTCGGGAATGTCTTAATCTCAGTTTACTCAAGGGAATGACTTGGTGAAATTACTGATAGGATTTAGCTATGTTTGATGTCCTCGCTCGGCTGAGGAATTGTCATGGGTTTTATCAAATCTCAGGAAGTGAGAGTCATCACTTTCCGTTCACTGATGTCCAGGCAGAATGGGAAGGGTCAGGGATCCCTGAGTAGCTTCTCTCCAAATCTGTGCTTATTCTCCATGTTGCATAGTTTCTGTGGGTCCAATTTATTGATCTTTTACACTTCTCTAGTGCTTTGTTCTAGGTGGTGCATTACCAGACTAGTTCCTGAGAAAGCTGATAGTTACTCACCACAAGGTTCCCTTTGGACATGGTACTTTACACTAAATCACTGTAATATACAAAAGAGGTGAACATGGTTGGTTAAACATCACCATGTAGGGAGAATAGAGCACCCAGCAAATCACTGACTTTGTGTTAGTGGATGTTCGAGATGGATTGGAGTAGTTCTTTTGTTTTTCTGAGATGGAGTCTTGCTTTGTTGCCCAGACTGGAGTGCAGTAGTGCGATCTCGGTTCACTGCAACCTTCGCCTCCTGGGTTACAAGCGATTCTCCTGCCTCAACCTCCCAAGCAGCTGGGACTACAGGTGCATGCCACCATGCGCGGCTAATTTTTGTATTTTGAGTAGAGATGGGGTTTCACCATGTTGGCCAGGCTAGTCTTGAACTCCTGACCTCAAGTGATTCGTCCACCTCAGCCTCAAAGTGCTGGGATTACAGGTGTGAGCCACCACGCCCAGCCAGTTGGAGTAGTTCTTTAGTCCAAACCTCATGGTGACTTGTGTTCAGATCACACCCATCACTGGCTAGGGTATTAACTTAGCAAATTTATCTCCTGATTTCTACATGTGAGTGAGGTAATGATTTTACAGGCCTGAACAAGATGCAATGATGCACTGAAATAAAGCCTCGCTGACTGACCTCTTACCACCAGTGTGGTCCCTCCTCCTGTCTGTTTAGCTCTCGCTTCCGGCACACTGGGGAATGCTATTCCACAGATGTAAATTGCACTGTCATTTGAAGTCACTCTGTTTACAGTGAGGGAAACTTGGTTTTCTTTGAGGGCCTCCCTCACTGTGAACTTGTCTGCCTCACTTTTGCACCCGTCCAAGCACAGGTTCTCAGGCTGGTGAGCACCGTAGCGAAACCACAGGCATGTTGGTTGCTCAGAAGGGCATCCGGTTGCGGAGAAGGTACACTTTATGGTGACGGCCTCATGAGTGTAGTCCACTTCTAGGTACCACGGTTGTGTGACAGAGAGAGTACAGGCGCCCACAGCACCTGTGGGAGGAAGCAGATGAGTGGGTTAATGGGCCTGCCACCTCACTTTGTGCTTTTATTATATTTTTGAGGTAGGAAACCCAGCCATTCTGTTATTTTTCTTACCTTAATCCCAATATAAATAAGACTAAAAATAAACACCAGTGGTCCTCACTTGCCCCAACTCCTCCTGTTTTCTGACCTTGACCTGCTGGGTCACATGATGTCTGTTCACTGGAGGCCAGCCCTAGAGAGGCTTCAGGGGAACAGAGTCCCTGTGCAGGAGGCCTGCATAGAGGTGGCACCGTATTGGACTCAGAAGTTTGGGGTCCATCTGTGACTCTTGCTCCTTACAAGCTTTCCTTCGATCCAATCACTTAATCTCCTGCCTGCTTTCTTGTCCGCACCCTGGCCTCCCCAGAGTGCTGTGTTCAGTGTGGTAACCTGTGTCCCCAGACGAACGTTGCTGCCGCTGATGGAGCCTATGAGCAGCAGCGATGTTTGTGCTTTGTGGGAGTTGAGATCGCCAGGAATTCATGGCCATTCACAATTGTTTCTTTGTGAGCCTGGTGTCCCTTTGGGAAACATGATAAAAGGCAACATGTACACCTGTGGAAATGCAGCCCTGGCTTAGCCTACCATGTCTTTGATTACTGAGCAGGGACCATATGAGCTCGCCAGGCCATAGCTAAGCAGATTTGGTTTCTCCCTGGCGTGTGTGCTGCTTTGTAGGCCCTTGTAGCATTTATCTTATTTAATTAACAATATTGTGATAAAGAGCACAGACTTGAGTTCAAATCCTAGCTCTGCCTGTTCCCAGCATTATAATCTCAGTATCTCAGTTTCCTCATTAGAAAATGGGGATAGTATTGTTGACCTCATGCAGTTAGTGTGACGTTCAAGATGATGCCTAGGAAGTGTTTACCTGCCTAAGCTATAGTAAGTATTAAATACAAGGGAGCGATTGCTGCTGCAGCCGCCACTGCTACTGTTCCCACAGTGTCAGATGGCTGTTGGAGAGATGGTTGTGGACGTCTAGCCACAAGGTGTTCACAGAGCTGGGATTAGTCACCCACTCCAGTGTACTGTCCACCATGTGGTGCTCTTCCAAGTTATGAGGATTGAGTCCCCCACCTTGGCCTTTATATCCCAGGCATGTGAAGCTGGAAAGCCACTCGAGTGCACAAATGGAAAGACCCGCCCTAAACCCTTCTTTTGCGGCAGGGGAGGCCATAGGTAAAATAGTATTGGTTGAGACAAATTGGAATTTGTCAAGTTTTTGGTCTGAGTTCCGCCTGGTCATATATTCCCAAATGGTCCTATTTGTGTGAGTTTGTCCTTTGCTACTGTAAATGAAACTGAAAAGTCATCCAAGTGGTCTGATGCTTAATTTTCAGACAGGGGCTTTTTTCTCTTAGCGTTTCTCTTATGGATCCCCATTCATAACAGCAGAGGAATTAAAGTTAGAATCATGGCGTTTGTGATGCAAGTCTCTTCTCACCATGTTTTTTTGTTTTTGTTTTCATTTTTGTTATTGTTTTTGGACAGAGTCTCTGTCTCCCAGGCTGGAGTGCAATGGTGCAATCACGGCACACTGCAACTGTGACCTCCCAGGTTCAAGCCATCATCCTGCCTTAGCTTCTCAAAAGTAGCTGGGACTGTAGGCCTGCAGCACTGTGCCCAGCTAATTTTTGTATTTTTTGTAGAGACAGGGTTTCACCTTGTTACCTAGGCTGATCTTGCACCCCTAAACTCAAGCGACCCGCTTGCCTCGGCCTTCCAAAGTGCTGGGATTACAGGTGTGAGCCACTGCGCCTTGCTCTCTTCTCATCATGTTATATTTTAGTATTTGTGCAACATGAGATGAGCTGGGAGCTCTGTGGTGACCTGATAAATGCAAACCAGACAAGAGGGTGCAGTCACCTGGAGGAGGCCTGCAAGCTTCTCTGAGCTTCGTGTCTGTGGGAGGCCCAGCTCAGCTCCATCTCCAGCCAAGGGGATTGGATTCCCTCTCAAGTCTGAGAAATACAACCTCATGTCTCCTGCCCAGACTCAAGCACCTTACAAGTACAGTGAAACATTTTATAGTATATACTGAGTGGAAATTTAAAATGGAATTGGGTCTGCCAAAACTTAGCAAAGTTAAGCACTGTCTCAGTCTCAAGTCATCTTTCAGATAATGTTTTTATTTTTATTTGTAAAATTATTTTTAAAAAGTGGACGATTCCATTATTTACACATTTTTATTTTTGAGATAGGGTCCCACTGTGTCGCCCAAACTGGAATGCAGTGGTGTGATCTTGGCTAACTTACTGTAGCCTTTGTCTTCTGGGCTCAAGCAATCCTCTCACTGCAGCCTCTGGAGTAGCTGAGACTATAGGTGTGCACCACCACGCCTGGCTAATTTTTTTATTTTTAGTAGAGACAGGGTTTTGCGATGTTGGCCAGCCTGGTCTTAAACTCCTGGGCTCAAGCAATCCACTCGCCTCAGCCTTCCAAATTGGGTAGTGTTTTTAAAAGGGAAGCCAAAGAGCCAGGCGTGGTGGTGTGGCCATTAGTCACAGCTACTCAGGAGGCTGAGACCGGAGGCTGATTGAGCCCAGGAATTCCAGGCTGCAGTGAGCTGTGATGGCACCACTGCACTCCAGCCTGGGCAGCATTGTGAGTCCCTGTCTCTATTAAAGGAATAGAGTCTGGACGTGCACTCCAGCCTGGGCAGCATTGTGAGATCCTGTCTCTATAAAAGGAATAGAGGCTGGGCATGGTGGCTCACGCCTGTAATCCCAGCACTTTGGGATGCCGAGGCGGGCAGATCACCTGAGGTCAGGCGTTCGAGACTAGCCTGGCCAACATGGTAAAACCCCATCTTTACTAAAAATACAAAAAATTAGCCAGGTGTGGTGGTGGACGCCTGTAATCCCAGCTACTTGGGAGGCTGAAGCAGGAGAATCGCTTGAACGTAGGAGGTGGAGGTTGCAGTGAGCTGAGATTGTGCCACTGCACTCTAGCCTGGGTGACAGAGTGAGACTCTTGTCTCAAAAAAAAAAAAAAAAAAAATAGAGGTTGGGGTGGCGGGGATAGCTGACTTTCAACACTTTTCTTTAAAAACTAGTAGTATAGGATAAAAACAGGTATTTGTAACTTTGGAATTTCATATCTCTACTTATTTCCACCTTCTTCCCAATTAGGCTATGTGTGGGAGAAAACCAATTGTAATGATTTCCTCTGTGAGCAGGAACTTGTGATGAAACTGTGGTTCCCTCCCCCAACCAGTTAGGCAACCTATTAACAAAAAAGAGAAGTTTGGATATGTCACACCACAGCCTGCTTCTGTGAATGATTTCTTTTAAGAATCCTCATATTCTAGGAATTGTTTTTTAAACACAGTATCCAATGAAAAGGTTGAAGATTTATTTCCTCCATGGAGGGAATAGAAAGATTATTCTTATTATTTTAAAAAACCATATTGAGGCTGGGCATGGTGGCTCATGCCTGTAATCCCAGCATTATGGGAGGCCGAGGCGGGCGGATCACGAGGTCAGGAGATCGAGACCATCCTGGCTAACACGGTGAAACGCTGTCTCTACTAAAAATACAAAAAATTAGCCGGGTGTGGTGGCAGATGCCTGTAGTCCCAGCTACTCGGGAGGCTGAGGCAGGAGAATGGCGTGAACCCGGGAGGCGGAGCTTGCAGTGAGCCGAGATCTTGCCACTGCACTCCAGCCTGGGTGACAGAGCGAGACTCCGTCTCAAACAAACAAAAAAGCCATATTGAAAGTAGGAAGAGAACTAATTCTTGACATTTAAACAAAGCTGTCTCTCTATCTAGTAAGTAAGAAGTAAGTAAATGTCTTGCTCTGTTGCCCAGGCTGGAGTGCAGTGGCACAATCACAGCTCCCTATAGCCTGAAAGTCCTGGGCTCAAGTGATCCTCCTGCCTCAGCCTCCCAGGTGGGTGGGACTGCAGGTGCAGTGCAGGTGCCATCACGCCCAGCTATTTTTTTTTCTTGTGTAGAAATGGGGGTCTCATTATGTTGTTCATGCTGGTCTTGAACTCCTGAGCTCAAGTGATCCTCTCACCTTGGCCCCCAAAGTGCTGGGATTACAGGCATGAACCACCACGCCCAGCCCAAAGCTTTATTATATTAGATTTCAAATTTCTAACATATCAAAGTAGCGAAGTAGTACAGTCAACCCCCTGCCATCACATGGCTTCGACCCAATCTTGTTTCTTTTCTCCTCCCACCTACTCCCTCACTCCCATATTATTTTAGAGCAAATCCCAGCCATTTTATCTGCATCTTTCAGAATATATCTCTAAAAGACAGGAATTCTTCTTTAAAATAATGCTAATTAAAATAGTCTATGAAAGTAATATATACTTATTAGCAAAAAACAGGTTATTAAAAGTAGAAGCAAAAAGTCACCCATAGTCCTTTTGCCTGAAATAACTCCCATTAACATTTTGATATATTTCTTCACAGATGAGAAAAAATTAAGAACTTTCCCCCCTTCCCTGCCCTATAATCCAAATTGTGTGGGCAAATCTGAGATTACTAGATGTATTGGAAATCCTTTCTCTTTCATAGATAAAAAAACAGAAGTAGACAGAATTTTAAAAATAGATATACTATGGGATGGCTATTGGAGTCATGGCAGTTTTTTTTTTCTTAAATGAAAAGTACTTTTATAGAAATTGTTCTTTGAAAATATTCAGCAAATAATCATTTATTGCTTTCTATGTGCAGATCAAGTTTGTATGATAATTAAATTATTGATAACTTATACCTACGATTTTAAGAATATTTTCAACCCTTTGGTCAGATTGTCTCCAATTAGCATAATAGCAAAGAGACTTTTCAAGGTTAATATGAAACTTTTTCTCAGCTATTTTTTTATTGTCTATTTCTCAGGGGAAAAAGGAAACTTATCCTCTTAGGCAGTTTTCATAATGTTATACATTTAAAAATTAATCTGAAGGAGCTTAAAATATAAATGCATTAGGTGAAAAATAGCAGTTGATTTAAATAAAATGAAGGAGGAGAAGAAAAAGAACCTTACCGACACAAAATAGAATGAGATTGGTTTGCAGATGGCGAGCGATGTTGCTTCTGCTCGCAGTCCCCATTTCTGTGTATGCCGGGGCGGGTTGGGGTGTGTATTTGAAAGGAAAGTTGGCTTTCTTTTTTCAGAAGGGAAGAAGAGCTGAAGAGAGGAACCTCTTATGAAGGAACCATAATCAGGAACTTTTTGAAATTGTGCAAGGATGGCTTCACCATTTAACATTGAGATTTTGGCCTGGAGCACATTTAGAAATGTGCATATCTTTTTTTTTTCCATGGATTTTACAGTTGTCATAGGTGTTAGATGTTTCTGGGTGAGATTTTGATTTACACCTAGCACATATTTCCAGGAAGGAGTATTGTTTGACAAATAATTCGTACTTGGATTTTTCAGAACAGTTCAGTCACTGTCTAGGGTACCTGCTCTGGGTGCCACTCTGGGCCAGTAACTGCTGGGAACAAAGAACAGCAGAAGGAGAAGTGGCTTTGTGTAGAGATGAGAAAAGTTAGTAAACAACACATTCTAATGCAGCGAATAAATAAATTGTCTGTTATTAACTTTTTGTACTCCAGTTTTGAATCCAAAGACACCTGCCTTCCCCCCTTTTTTGACAGGGTCTCTATCACCCAGGCTGGAATGCAGTGGCAAGATTGCAGGTCATTGCAGCCTCAGCTTCCTGAGTAGCTGGGACTACAGGCATGCACCACCACCCCTGGCTAATTTTTTTTTTTTTTTGTAGATTCTGTGTTGTCTAGGCTAGTCCTGCCCTCAAGCGATCCCCCTGCCTTGGCCTCCCAAAGTGTTAGGATTACAGGTGTGAGCCACCATGCCTGGCCCAAAGACCCCCTTTTAATGTGTTGAGAAACAAATATGTGGGCCCTCTGTCCTCTGTGTCCTCTCCCCCAGCACTTAGTGGTGATTCAGTAAGGGTCTTCTTTGTAAAGCAGCAGAAACAGACTCAGGCTGACTTAAAAGGAAATTTATGCAAACATTTGAAGGTAGATCCTAGAGTCACTGGGAGGGCTAGTGAATCTTGTGTGGGGTCCACAGCCAGGAAGAATGCCTCAAATCACACCATAAACAGGTCTGAAGAGGATGCTACTGCCACTGCCAAACACTAGGTGCCATCAGCCCTGTTGTCAGCATCGCTCAACCACTGCCCCAGCCCCTTGGTCTCACTGCCATTGCTCCACCCCCAGAGAAGGAGAAGCTCACATCCCCACTACTCTGGGTCACTGGCTCTCCATTCCAGGGCGTGGGCAAGTGTGCCTGGCTTAGGCTGCGTGCCAGTGCCTCAGCTGCACGGCAGGCCAGGAAAGCGGCTCCCAGGCCTTGTGTCTCTCCCAGACTCTGGGCAGGCAATTCCCCAGACATGGGAAGAGCGTCATCTGCACCACTGAAAATTATGAAAAATCTCCCCACCATGATATGATGTCTGTGCCCTTGGCATCTGCTCATGATATATTTTCTCATTAACAGAAAGTTATTCTCAGTCTGTTTTGTTTTTTTTTTTTTTTTTTTTTTTGAGACAGAGTCTCGCTCTGTCGCCCAGGCTGGAGTGCAGTGGCACGATCTTGGCTCGCTGCAAGCTCCGCCTCCCGGGTTCACACCATTCTCCTGCCTCAGCCTCCCAAGTAGCTGGGACTACAGGTGCATGTTGCCATGCCCAGCTAATTTTTTTGTATTTTTTTTAGTAGAGACGGGGTTTCACTGTGTTAGTCAGGATGGTCTTGATCTCCTGACCTCGTGATCCGCCCACCTCGGCCTCCCAAAGTGCTGGGATTACAGGCATGTGCCACCACGCCCGGCCTCAATCTGGTTTTAACACTTCAACAGATGTATGTAGTTTTTGTATCACCATAGCACCTAAAAAGTACCCCCAAAGTTAAATATACTGTCATCTCTGTGTGTGTGTCTGTAGTCAGTGCCAGGTTTGTATGTGAATTTGAGGACCTTCCCTAGTCCCCTTGTCCCCCAGGCATCTCCTGCTCATAGGTTTGGAAATGACTGATAGAGGCTTCATCTCTAGTCCAAGAAATGCTGGACGGTGTATCCATCCTACTGTTCCATCTCTCTCTGGTCCTGGAGCTTAATGTTTATGAAATTGTTCTGAAAAGGCAAAGAATGAGTCAACTTCCCTAGAAAAACTCCCCAATGATCTGCTTTTCTAAATTAAAATCCTTCATGAGCCTGTTTTTATTTTCAGCCTAATAAATCTCTCTAGGTAGTAAGTTGCATAAGTTTACTATGCCAGTGGTATTTTCTTGCATTTGTCCAAAACTGTCCTTCAGATATTACATGTTGCTCTCTGTTTCAGTATTCCAGCATTTAATGACCAGTTTTCCAAACCCATTAACCATTACACCCTGCAGTCAGTCTATTGGCAGATACTACCCAAAACTGTCAGAGAAGATAACAGTGTGGGGCCTTGGATCCAGACAAACCTGGGCTTACATTTCCATACTGACACTCATTAACCTTGCAAGCGTGGGCAAGTTCTTCACCCCTTCTGAGTCTGTTCTTTATCTGCCCACCTGTCTCAAAGAGTACCTGGGAAGTACAAAAGAGGTAACTCATGAAGCCCTCAGGCTTGGAACGTACCAAGTCCTTGGTAGATATGGCTCCTCCCTGCTTCCCTCTTTAAATCACTTGTTTGTTCAAGAATTTAACTGAATGTTCTTATTTGTATTAGTAGGTGGCAAGTGGGAGAAACCATCAGAAATTTTGGAAATCAAAGGACAGAACTGGGAAGAACAAGTGAATAGTCTGCCTGAAGTTTTCAGAAAAGCTGGTTTTGTTATCGAAGCTTTCACCAGACTACCATACCTGTGTGAAGGCGACATGTATAATGACTACTACGTTCTGGATGACGCTGTCTTTGTTCTCAAACCAGTATAAACACGTGGAGGTCGAAGTCTTCAGAGTCCGCACCCTCCGGGATGTGCCCTTGGAAGAGGGTCTGTGTTCACAATTACGTGAAGGGAGGACCCTTGGGGACCGCCATTCTAAATATCATGTAGGAATTTAAAAAGCCAAAATACTAATTATTTCTTTGTAGTGTGTAAAGGAATGTTTTTAAAAGACAAAAACCCAACTCTTTGTGGATTTTTATCAACTCTTTACTCAGAGCCACTCTCCAATGCAGGTCACACTCCAATTATGATGGAAGATATTTTTTATACTTAATTGCAGTAGGGACTCATTCCCAGACAAAGCAATAGTCACGACTTCATGGAACCAATCAATGGATTGTTTTTTGAAGACTGGCAATAAAGCTGTCCATTCAATTCCAAATACTGGTTTTAAGGTATAGCCACTGATATTCTTTCATGTTTAGAAATTCTTTCTGTTATTATTCAAGAAAATGTTTTTAATCATGCTAATAAACTTTTTTGGAGATGACTTTGGCATCATGTTTGAATTCATATAAAGCTCCCCTAGCATTTTTTATTGGTTTGGCTTCAGGAGTACCCAAATAGTAGCATTATGAGAATGACGCAGACAATTTGAATAGGGGGGAAGGAAGGCTTCAGACTTGGGGGAAGGGGAGATTATTGCAAATTGCAGTGAACACTGAGTCAGTAAAAAAAAAAAACAGAAACAAAAACCCAGCCTCATTCAGATACAGAACTTCAGGGACCCCTCCCCCCACCCCCCCAGTTAATGCTGCTGTGAAAAATGCAAAATAACCTGGTTCTGACTTTGTGATCACTCATGTCCCATACACTGAACTTTGTTTTTTTCTGGACAATCTCAGGTTCTCAGAATTGAAACATTCAGTTTTGTCTACTGACAAAATGCAACTAAAAATGTTTTAATTCAACTTCTTACTCTACACTTATATACCTCTCTCCCAGAGCTTGGCTCTTCCCTGAAATCCTTAAAGGAGTTTATTATTTGCCAAGAATATGGTTTGATGAAGACCGTGTCAGACTCATGCATTCTGGAATCCGTGAGTGCCTCCAACCATAAACCCAGAAATGCTGCCATAGAGGAACCCATTAGCAAGATCAATAACCATCGTGGATATTCCAAAGAGCAGAGCATTTAACCCAGAATCTGAAATCTCAGTAATAACAGAAATGTCAATATGAGATTGTGGTTATTAACAATATGTTATCCTCACTACTTTATTTCTTTTTTCATCCAGGTGTTTCATTAAGTATTCTCATTTATATGCTCATAGAAGTCATCAGATCAACACATTCACTCCAACACCTGGGTATAAAGGCGAATTAAAACCTGAAGAATTACTTTATTATTCATTAAGAACTGCATTCCCACATCCTCACACCAATATCTTCCACTGTTACTGTGCAGTCATAATAAGAGTTGGGTTATGTGATTTATGCAAAATTGTTATTGGTGTGTTCTAATGATTTTTTTCCAGGAATTCAAGTAAGTGAAGTACAAATACTTAGCACCATAGATTGTAAAAATAGAAAGAGGAAATGAGAAAACTTAATGTCGTTCTTGTACAGTTGAGTTTTGCTTCTTTATAAACTGTCTGTTAAAATCAGGGGTTGCTGTTAGACTGTCAAGCAGAAGTGATGGATGTTCAAGGAGGCAGGTTGCCCCAAAGTGTTTTCTAACTTTCAAGTAGAGAACTTTATGCTCTAATAAGAAAAATACAACTCATTCTTAACCACCCCCCCAAAACAGAGAAAACACATACATTTATGCATTTTAAAGATAAAAAGTAGTTTCTCAAAAAAATCTGAAGTTCTCTGAAAACCAGCTTATTAAAAGTGCTGTTTTGTGGTGAAAATTGAAACCAAATCCACTCACATTTCCTATCGGGTCTTGAAATTCTTGGTGGTGTGTCACCATTCCACTAGATGGCAGTGTTGCTTACTGAGTGTCAATGGCTTTTTTCCCCGTAAATGGAATCATGTTTTTCTCCCCCAAAGTACAATAAAGCTGCCTTGTCTGCACCATTCCTCGTGTAAGTGCTTCATATCAAGTTAAGACTGTACTAGAGAAATTAAGAAGAGCTTTATTTGTGGTAAAAGCAAGCTAACCAATTGACCTTAAAGGTTGAAATGCAAGCCACACCTCTGATTCCTAGCTCCCTGCACCTGCATTTTAAGCTCCTAAAGTGCTCAGACCACTGATCTCAGAGAAGGGGAGGAAAGGAGGTACAGTGCCCTTAGTCATTTATCCCTTGTACAGAGTAGTTAAAAGCAGTACTGTATTTTCTGCCATCCAGTGTGACCTGTCATCAGTTTTTACATGGTTGGCTTTTAACAGAAAAAAGTTGAGTTGGAAAATAAAGTGTAGATGTTTCAAGTCTTCCTGAGCAAAGCTTTGTTTTCACTTGGTTCTGAGTATAGTATTAATAGGCTATACTGCGTATGTTATTTACAGTATTAATGAAGCAAGATGTTTTCATTAATTGCTTCCCACTACTTGGTTACTGATGGAGGTGTTACATGATCCTTTTTCTCCAGCAATGTCAGTATAGTATCATGGGCTTCCAGTGACTAAAGTGACCTACCATGTTAGTGCAGATGCTTAAGCACCCCCAGTTACCTTATATCCAGTGCTTCCGCCGGCTAGAAGATAGTGCATGGAATCAGGGCAGCCTGGACTGAGTTGTACTGTCTAGGAGTGCACTGAGCACAAAACTGGGCTCATAAGTAACTTGAGACAAATCAGGACTATGTTGCCTAGGCTGGTCTTAAACTCCTGGCCTCAAGTGATCCTTCTACCTTGGCCTCCCAAAGTGTTGGGACTGCAGGTGTTAGCCACTGTCCCTGGCCTAGCACTCCCTTTATCTTGCAAAACTGAAACTATGTTCATAAACACAACTCTCCATTGTCTCCACCCCACCCTCTAGCAACTATCATTCTACTTTCTGTCCCTTTGACTACTCTAGGTAGTCATGATCCGCCCCATGATCCAGTCACCTCCCATATAATTGGAATTACACAGTATTTGCCTTTTTGTGACCGGCTTATTCTTCTTTTTTTTTTTTTCCTGAGACAGAGTCTCACTCTGTTGCCCAGGCTGGAGTGCAGTGATGCAATCTCAGCTCACTTCAACCTTTGCCTCCTGGGTTCAATCAATCCTGCCTTAGCCTCCTGAGTAGCTAGGATTACAGGCGTGCACCACCACTCCTGGCTAATTTTGTATTTTTAGTAGAGATGGGGTTTCGCCATGTTGGCCAGATTGGTCTCGAACTCCTGGCCTTGTGATCCGGCCTCCTAAAGTGCCAGGATTACAGGCGTGAGCCACCGCGCCCGGCCCATGACTGGCTTATTTCACTTAGCACAGTGCCCTCAGGGTTCACCGATGTAGAGGGTGTCAGAGTTTCCTTCCTCTCTTTTTTTTTTTTTTTTTTTTTTTTGAGACGGAGTCTCTTTCTGTCCCCCAGGCTGGAGTTCAGTGGTGTGATCTCGGCTCACTGCAGCCTCTGGCTGCTGGGTTCAAGCCATTCTCCTGCCTCAGCCTCCTGAGTAGCTGAGATTACAGGCGCCTGCCACCATGCTTGGCTAATTTTTGTATTTTTAGTAGAGACGGTTACACCATGTTGGCCAGGCTGGTCTCAAAACTCCTGACCTCAGGTGATCTACCTGCCTCGGCTTCCCAAAGTGCTGGGATTATAGGCGTGAGCCACCGCACCGGCCAGAATTTCCTTCCTTTTTAAGGCTGAATAATCTATTGTATGGATAGACCATAGTTTGCTTATCCATTAGTCTGTTGGTGAACTCTTGGATTGCTACTACCTTTTAGCTGTCTGAATAACCCTGCTGTGAACATGAGTATACAAGTATCTTGTGACCCTGCTTTTAATTCCTTTGGGTATATAACCAGAAGTGAAATTACTGGATCATGTGGTAATTCTATTTTTAATTATTTGAGGAACCACAATGCTGTTTTCTGCACCATTTAACATTTTTGCCAACAGTTCACAACCGTTCCAATGTCTCCACATCTTCACCAACATTATCTTGTTTTGTTTTGGGATGGAGTCTTGCTCTGTTGCCCAGGCTGGAGCGCAGGGCATGATCTCGGCTCACTGCAAACTCCATCTCTTGGGTTCAAGTGATTCTCCTGCCTCAGCCTCCCGAGTAGCTGGGATTACAGGCACCTACCATTACACTTGGCTAATTTTTATATTTTTGGTGGAGATGGGGTTTTGGGGTTTCGCCATGTTGGCCAGGCTGGTCTCGAACTCCTGACCTCAGGTGATCTGCCTGCCTTGGCCTCCCAAAGTGCTGGGATTACAGGTGTGAGCCACCATGTCCAGCCTGTTTTGTTTTTTTAGTAGTAGCCATCCTAATCGGTGTAAGGTGGTAGCTTGTGGTTTTGATTTGCATTTCCCTAATGACTAGTGCATCATTTGTTTTTATAATACAACTTGTATGGCATTTGGCTTCATTTACTAGTAAATTGTGCTTTGTAGCTTGCTATCTATATCAGTATCACTGAATTGGACTCAGTATTCAGTGATAACAAAATACTTCTTTTTCACTGTGAAATTGTATACTTTTGGAGAACAGGGAGAATATTATTACATAACCGAACTTAAGAATTCCCTCTGGATTTGGGTCAGTATGCTGTATTCACATGAATTAAATAATATGCTTTTGTTAGAAAGTCACTTTAAAATTACTTTCAATACATGTAAAATGAAAAGTAAGTATTTTTTCTCTCAAGTAAATGCCCATGTAAATTGGGATGTCTTATATACCTGTACTTCTTAAGTTCTGGAAAATAAGAACAGATAGAGTGCCCAAATGCTATTTTCTTATATCCTGTTTAGGATTCAACACAGAACGCTGGTTTTAAACGACTGTGAACTCTCAACACTTTTCCAAATGCTAGAGTTCAAGTGAATACATTGGCAATTCTTTTTTTTTTTTTTTTTTTTTTGAGTTGGAGCCTTCCTCTGTCGCCCAGGCTGGAGTGCAGTGGTGCAATCTTGGCTCACTGCAACCTCCACCTCCCAGGTTCAAGTGATTCTCCTGCCTCAACCTCTCAAGTAGCTGGGATTATAGGCATGTGCCACTATGCCCTGCTAATTTTTCTATTTTTAGTAGAGATGGGGTTTTGCCATGTTGGTCAGGCTGGTCTCAGACTCTTGACCTCAGGTCATCCACCCGCCTCAGCCTCCCAAAGTGCTGGGATTATAGGTGTGAGCCACCTCGCCCAGCCTCCATCTTGTTTTTATTATTTATAGGGTGGCCATGACTGATCGTAAAGCCCTACTGGTTTTTCCATTATAAGTAACACGTTTGTATTAGTCCTTTCTCACACTGCTATAAAAACACACTTAAGACTGGGTAATTTATAAAGAAAAGAGGTTTAATTGGCTCATGGTTCTGCAGGCTGTATAGGCTTCTGCTTCTAGGGAGGCCTCAGGAAACTTACAATCATGGTGGAAAGTGAAGGGGAAGCCTGCATGTCTTACATGGTGGAAGGAGAACTAAGAGAGAACCAAGGAGAAGGTACCACACACTTTTAAACAACTGAGCACTCACTCACTATCACGAAAGCAGTATTGAGGGGGAAGTCAGCCCCATGATCCAATCACCTCCCACCAGACCCCTCCCCCAACACTGGGATTACAATTCCACACAAGATTTGGGTGGGGACACAAAGCCAAACCATATCAACGTTCATCGCAGAAAAAGTATAAAATGAAAATTAACTTTACTTACCCCATAAACTTGAGAGAACCACTACTGACAGTTTGGTTTATGCCTTCCAGACTTTTTTTTTTCTGTGCATGTATATATACACACATTTATAAATGTTTAAACATTAAAATATGTAAAAATGAAAAGGTCCTTTTATTGTTCTGAGATGAGTCATGTGAGACTCCTAGACACCTATATTCTAAATCAAAAATTGACAAAGGATGGAAGCCATTTCCTGTCATTTAAAGCTTGAGGTTAAGCTTTTTTTTTTTTTTTTTTTTTTTTGAGAAAGAGTCTCACTGTGTCACCCAGGCTGGAGTGGTGGCATGATCTTGGCTCACTGCAAGCTCTGCCTCCCGGGTTCATACCATTCTCCTGCCTCAGCCTTCTGAGTAGCTGGGACTACAGGCGCCCGTCACCACGCCTGGCTAATTTTTTGTATTTTTAGTAGAGACGGGGTTTCACTGTATTAGCCAGATGGTCTCGATCTCCTAACCTTGTGATCTGCCCGTCTCAGCCTCCCAAAGTGCTGGGATTGCAAGCATGAGCCACTGTGCCCGGCTGAGGTTAAGCTTTTTATTTAAAGGATTAAACAAAGACCCTGGGGATAAAAGGATGTTTTTGAGGATGCTGGACATTAGCATTATATAAATTACTATCAGATGGGCAGCAGAATGCTGCAATTGGTCATTTCTGAAGATAATGTTTTAATTGTGCCACTGACAAACTAATGTTAGCGTTGGGCATTTCAATGATTACTTTGAAATATTACGGGTATTAGATGTGTTTCGTTAAATGTGAAGGATTGCAAGGAAACTTCTTGAGTCCACAACTATTTTCATTAGGAAAGATGCAAAACAGTTATGCATAATCCTATCATGCAAAGCTAATATTTTAATGCATTGCCTACCAGATTTTTTTTAATTTTTTTTTTTGAGGCAGAGTCTCATTCTCTTGCCCAGGCTGGAGTGCAGTGGCATGATCTCAGCTCACTGCAGCCTCTGCCTCTCGGGTTCAAGGGATTCTCCTACCTTAGCCTCCTGAGTAGCTGGGATTACAGGACGTGCGCCACCATGCAAGCTCATTTTTGTATTTTTAGTAGAGATGGGGTTTTGCCCTGTTGGCCAGGCTGGTCTCAAACTCTTGACCTCAAGTGATCCACCCACCTCAGCCTCCCAAAGTGTTGGAATTAGAGGTCTGAGCCACCCCACCCAGCCTTGCCTTCTAGTTTTTTGTTTTGTTTTGCTTTGTTTTTGAGATGGAGTCTTGCTCTGTTGTCCAGGTGGGAGGGCAGTGGTGCCATCTCAGATCACTGCAACTGCCACCTCCCCAGCTCATGCAATTCTCCTGCCTCAGCCTCCCAAGTAACAGGGATTACAGGTGCCCACGACCATGCCTGGCTAATTTTTGTAATTTTAGTAGAGACGAGGTTTCACCATGTTGGCCAGGCTGGTCTCAAACTCTTGACCTCAAGTGATCAGCCTGCCTTGGCCTCCCAAAGTGCTGGGATTACAGGTGTGAGGCTCCACACCCAGCCCCTAGCTTCTAGGTTCAATAAAAGTTCAAATACATCTATTTCTTACCATTGGCTTTTTTGTTTTGGATATAAAATTATTTCCTTGTGCTAATTATGTGGTCTTTGTTAAGAACAATTTTAATGACTGTGTAATCCACAGCGTTTATGTATCCATTTATTTAAGCATTTCATTATTGGTGGACATTTAGGATGAATTTTTTTCTACCACTCTGTGTATGTATACATCTATTATAGGTCATACTATTATTTTTATTATGGAAAATTCCAAGTACATAAAAAAGAAAGGTAATAATGAATCCTCCCCAACCAGCCTCAGCAATTATCAACACATGGCCCACCTTGTTTCATCCCTACTCCCACTACTCCTTGGTTCCACTATTGCCAAGCAAATCCCAGATGTCTCATTTCAGTTTTGTAAATATATAACTGTAAAAGATAACCACTCTGAAAAGATAGCCACATTACAATTATTCATTAAGAAACCCGGCAGGGTGCGATGGCTCACGCCTGTAATCCCAGCACTTTGGGAGGCCGAGGCCGGCGGATCACCTGAGGTCAGGAGTTTGAGACCAGCCTAGCCAACATGGAGAAACCCGGCCTCTGCTAAAAATACAAAAAAATAAGCGGGGCGTAGTGATGGGCGCTTGTAATCCTCTTTACTTGGGAGGCTGAAGCGGGAGAATCGCTTGAACCTGGGGGCGGAGGTTCCAGTGAGCCGAGATCGCGCCATTGCACTCCAGCCTGGGCGACAGAGCGAGACTGTCTCAAAAAAAAAGAAAAAAGAAATGAAAGAAACCCAGCCATTAAATATCCAGCGACCACATTGCTCCAATTTTCTTATAATTTTTTTTTTTTTTTTTTTTTTTTTGAGACGGAGTCTTGCTCTGTCGCCCAGGCTGGAGTGCAATGGCACGATCTCGGCTCACTGCAACCTCCCCCTCCCGGGTTCAAGCGATTCTCCTGCCTCAGCCTCCCAAGTAGTTGGGATTACAGGCGCCCGCCACCGCGCCTGGCTAATCTTTGTATTTTTAGTAGAGCCGGGGTTTCGCCCTGTTGGCGAGGCTAGTCTCGAACTCCTGGCCTCAAGTGATCCGCCCGCCTTGGCTTCCCAAAAGTGCTGGGATTACAGGCGTGAGCCACCGTGCCCGTCCTATAACTTCTTTTAACGGTTTGAATTCAGATCTAAATAAAGGTCCCATGTAGCGATTGGTGGATAGCTCTCTAGTGCTCCCCATCCTCGCTTCCTAGCTGCCGCCCCGAAGAGTGGCTGGGGAGCAGGCATTTGTGCGTCTTGCAAGCTTCGACAGATAGGAAGTCCCAGGCGGGGACTGTGACCCCCGCCGCTGCCCTGGCTGAGTTCCCACCTGGGCCGCTGCAGGGAGGAGGTCGCAGAGCTGCCGGCTGGCGCCGCCCCGCCGCTCTCCTGCCTGCCCGCTCCCCGCATGAGCCCCGCGGCCCCGCCCTGCGCCACCCGCCCGCCCGTGGGACTCAGTGCGGCCAAGCCGGGCTCCGCAGGTGAGGCGCGCGCGGGGGCCTGGGCGGAGGACTCACGGGGCAAAGCGCTGGGGGAGCGGGTGGGCGCCCACCGCTGGGCCTCCCTAGGGAAGGGGTGCAGGTGATGGATGGCGTGGGGGACAGACCGAGAGAAAGAGGGTGGGCAAAGTGTGGGTGCAGCGGCTTTAAGGGCTCCTGGGATTGGAGGGCACTTGGAGGGGGGGGACGATGAAACTTCGAGAAAAGGGATCCAAAACTACTTAGTAATATAATAACAGCGATGACAACTGTTGCAATAACTATCACAATGATTATTTGTTATAATAATATAGCAGCAGTAAAAACAATAGCATTAGTAATAATAGCTACGATTCATTGCATTCTTATATGTGCCAGTGCTGGGCTTAGTTCTTTATGTATTTTATGTATAAAGTAATGCCTACCTCATAACAGTTGTGTGGAAGAAATGGAAAAATGCAGGTAAAGGCCGGGGCTCACACCTGTAATCCCAGCACTTTGGGAGGCTGAGGCAGGAGAATCACTTGAGGCCAGGAGTTCGAGACCAGCCTGGCCAAAGTGGTGAAATTCCATCTCTACTAAAAATACAAATATTAGCCAGGTGTGGTGGCGGGCGCCTGTAATCTCAGCTACTCCGGAGGCTGAGGCAGGAGAATCGCATCAATCCGGCAGGTGGAGGTTGCAGTGAGCCGAGATCAGGCCACTGCCCTCCATTCTGGGCGACACAGGGAGACTCTGTCTCATGAATGAATAAATAAATAAATAAATAAATAAATAAATAAATAAACAAATAAAGTTGATAGTTTTTTGCCAGGGAGGTATGAGTGCCATGCCTACTATGCAGAGGAGGAAATGCAAGCCTATAGAGGTTAAGGAATTTGCCCAATAGCACACAGCTGGTTAAGGTTTGGTTCAGGTTAAAGCTGGGGTCTTATCCCTGGGGTGGCACCTGCCACCTGGAGTTTTAGGTTCAGGGCTGCTGAGCTGACACTGGAGAGCAAAGCCAGTGAGCGTTGGAATCATTTAGCTCTGGGTTTGCCACCTGGCTGTGCATGCATAGCTGTGTGACCTTGGGCAGGTCACTTGACCTCTCAGAACCCATTTGCTCATCTGTGAAGTAGAGATAATGGTAATGCTTGCCTCAAAGATTCTACAAGAATTAAGCGAGACAATGTATGTTAGAGAGGCGTGTACTTAGTTCTGTCTCATTAAATGACTGCTGGGATTAAGGTTACTAGGGAGCCCCACAGCCCTGCATCATAACCCCCTCCCTGCCATTCGCTTGCTGTGTGATCGTTCATGTGCACTGAACTCATCTGTGAAACTGAGTACGGTAACCCTTCAAGGCTGGTGGAAAGAGTAAATGGCAGGGAGGAGGGTTTGGTGTGATGCCCGGCTCATAGAGGATGCTCAGTGAGACCAGTTTCTTCCTTTCTTTCCTTCTTTTCCTCATTGAATCCAAAGCCATTTGTTCTCCGGAGACTTAGGAGAGAAGAAGGGGAATAGCTGTGCCTAAAATCTCACTATTAGTGGCAGGGCTGGGACAGGAACTCAAGTCTGGGCATCTCTAGTCCACCAAGCTCCCATCCCCTTGACTGCTTGAATTTTTTTTTTTTCCAGCCAGGGTTTTGCTCTGTCACCCAGGCTGGAATGTAGTGACATGTGATCGCGGCTCACTGTGGCCTCGACCTCCCAGGCTCAGGCAATTCTCCTGCCTCAACCTCCTGAGTAGCTAGGGCTACAAGCATGCACCCAGCTAATTTTTAAATTATTTGTAGAAATGGAGTCTCCCTATGTTGCCCAGGCTGGTTTTGAACTTCTGGACTCAAGTGATCCTCCCACCTTGGCCTCCCAAAGTGCTGGGGTTACAGGAGTGAGCCACAAAGCCTGGGCCTACTGGACTTCTACAACCACTGTGAGCTGGGCCATTCCAACACCAAGCATTTGTAATCAGGCTGGTATTCTATAAGCCAGACACATTTACCTATTTTGGATTAATAGTCATGAAATGGCATTTTTTTTTTTTTTTTTTGGTGGAAAATCTCCCAGCTAGTGTCAGTATGCCTAGAGTTATGTGTTCATGACCCAGAGCTTAAATGGAGCAGCCTTGCAGACAGTGAAACTCCATGTAATTGTGAATTAATGGTTTGTGTCTGGGCTGGGGTGTCCCAGCAGGAGGGGAACCTCCTAGCATCTTTGCAAATTTCACAGAAGATGAAGTGACTCTGATCCATGGGTTGACCAACTCCTCCGGGTTTGCCTGTGACTTTCTGGTTTCAAAATGGAAAGTTTTGAGTCCTGGGAAACCTTTTGGTCCCGGGCAACTGGGAAAGTTGATCACCTTGCACATCCAAACATTCATAGTTTCTCAGGAAATTGTCTTCATTTCAGGTTTGTGGTTATTGTTGCTGTTTTCGAGTAGTTTTCACCACAGGGATCCTTGCCTGACTGATTTCCTCCAGTCTGCAGTGGGGGAATCTTTCAGTGGGGAAGGGGTATGGCCCATAGAGAAAGCTATCGACCTCCAAATCATCATCGCCCTGCCCAGTCCTTTCAGTCCTTTTGACCAATCTGCTAAAAAAGTGACCCAAAGTGCCTTTAATGAAAACCAGATCCTGATGGGCTGCAGTTTCTCGCTGGAAAAAGGACATTATGCACAGCAGAAAGCAAGGCGTCTGTTTCAGTAACCTGAAACCTCTCTGTAGGGTTAATAGAGGGGCCCGAGCAAAGAGCACAAGAAGCCACATTGTCTGGGAAACTGGAGAATTGTGAATGGGGCCAATGTCCCAGGGCAGCTGCCCAAAGGGAAGGGAGAAAAAAGGGTCAAAGGTTCCCCAAAGCCCCAAATGACCCAAACCAGGAAGACTTCTAATTGGAGTTGAGCATTCCAGTTACAGGATGGTGATGGTGGGCCAACACACCTACAAAGTGCTTTGGGATCAGGTTTGCTCAAAACCTGTTAGAATGCAGGGCTTTTGGTGTCTGGGAACTTCAAAAGTTTTACTGTTTTTGTCCTGGGCAGTAAAGTAAGCATAATTGTTTTCAAAGCTGGTTGTGGAGGTCCCCTTGGGGGAAAAATAATCCATTTGCATAACAAGTTAGACAATACGAGGGAAATCTGTATTAAAGAATGCTGGGATGGCGGCTGGGCGCGGTGGCTCACGCCTGTAATCCCAGCACTTTGGGAGGCCGAGGCGGGCAGATCACAAGATCAGGAGATCGAGACCATCCTGGCTAACACGGCGAAACCCTGTCTCTACTAAAAATACAAAAAATTAGCCGGGCGTAGTGGCGGGCGCCTGTAGTCCCAGCTACTTGGGAGGCTGAGGCATGGTAACCCCAGCGTGGGTAACAGAGAGAGACTCTGTCTTAAAAAAAAAAAAACAATTAAATAAATACATAAAATAAAAGAAGGGCTGGCAAGCTTTTTCAGTAAGGGAACATGGAATACATATTTTGAGCTTTGGAGGCCGTGTGGTCCCTGTCCCAAGTACTCAACTCTGCTATGGTAGCAGGAAGCTGCCATGGACAATAGGCCAATGAATGGGCATGGACATGTGCCAATAAAACTTTATTTATAGACACTTAAATTTAAATTTCACACAGGAAATTTTCATATGTCAATAAATATTATTCTTTTGGTTTTAAAAAACTATTTAAACAACCTAAAAAATCATTTTAAGCTCATGAGCCACGCAAAATCAGGTGGCCATTTCCATTTGGTCCGTGGGTGGTACTTTACTAACCCCTCCTTGAAACAATAAGGACTCCTTTAAAAATATAACCACAGTTTCATTATCAAACTTAAAACTATTAACAATAATTCTTTAAAATCTTCAAATATCTAATCAGGGGTTCAAATTTCCTCAATTGTCTCACAATTTTTTGGGTTTTTTTGAGACAGGATCTTGTTCTGTCACTCAGGCTGGAGTGCTGTGGCATGATCATAGCTCACTGCAGCCTTGAATTCTGGAGCTCAAGAGATCCTCCCATCTCAGCCTCCTGAGTGGCTAGGACTACAGGTGTGCATCACCACGCCAGGCTAAATTTTAAATGTTTTTATAGAGATGGAGTCATGCTGTGTTGCCCAGGCTGGTCTCAAACTCCTGGCCTCAAACAATCCTCCGCCTTGGCCTCCCAAAACACTGGGATTAGGTGTGAGCCACTGTGCCTGGCCTAATTTTTTATTTTATTTTATGGTATTTTTTGTTTGTTTGCTTTGTTTCTTTCTTTTTTTTTTTTTTTTTGGAGACAGAGTTTCACTCTTGTCATCCAGGTTGGAGTGCAATGGGATGATCTCGGGTCACTGCAACCTCTGCCTCCCGGGTTCAAGAGATTCTCCTGCCTCAGCCTCCCGAGTAGCTGGGATTATTAGCATGCGCCACCATGCCCAGCTAAGTTTTTGTATCTTTAGTAGAGATGGGTTTTCACCATGTTGGTCAGGCTGGTCTCAAACTCCTGACCTCAAGTGATCTGCCCGCCTCGGCCTCCCAAAGTGCTGGGATTACAGGTGTGAGCCACCGTGCCCAGACATGACGTGTTTGAATCAGGATCCAAATAAAGTCTAGATTCTACAAGTGATCAATCTTTTGTTTTTGAGTTAATAGGTTCTCTTTCTCTCTCTCTCTGTAATATATTGGCTAAAGAAACTAGGTTGTTTGTTTTGGGGAGTTTTCCACAGTCTTGATTTCTCTGGCTGCACCTAGTCTACTCAACGTCTTGGCAATGGGGGTGCCATGGGTCTCAGTCCTTAAAACTCACCTAATTTCTCCGTAAATTTACTTTCTTGGTGATATCATTCAGGGTTTAAATACATGCTGACTATCTGGGGCCGGGTGCAGTGGGATTACATGCCTGTAATCCCAGCACTTTGGGAGCCTGTGTCAGGTGGATCCCTTGAGGTCATGAGTTTGAGACCAGCCTGGCCAACATGGTGAAACCCCGTCTCTACTAAAAATACAAAAATTAGCCGGTGCGGTGGCACAAGCCTGTAATCCCAGCTACTCGGGAGGTTGAGACACAAGAATCACTTGAACCTGGGAGGCAGAGGTTGCAGTGAGCTGAGATCGTGCCACTGCACTCCAGCGTGCGTGACAGAGTGAGACTCTGTCCCCCACCCCAAAAAAACCCCCAAAACAGAAGAACAAACAAAAAAGCAAACACAAAAAACCACTGACTATCTCTGTTTAGATAGCTGCTTCTGACAGCACCTCTCCCCTAACCTGCAGGCTCAAACATCAAACTGCCTACTTGCTATGCTATCTGCACTCTAAAAGGCTTCTCAAGCTTAGTATGTCCAAAACTGAGCTCCAGGGATCCTTCCCTAAACTTGGAACTCCTATGGTTTTCCCATCTCCCTCTCTACATGCTCAGGCCAAATCCTTGGCGTTGTCTTTGACCTGTCTATTTCTTTTATTCCCTACATTCGATCTTTTGGTTCCGCCTTCCAAATACCTCCAAAATCCAACCACTTCTCACCACCTTCACTGCTATCAATGACCAAGTTATTGTCATCTCTTTCCTAGATTGGTCTGCCTGCTACAGCCATTGTTCCACTCCAGGGTATTCTCAACACAGCAATCAATGTGCTTGATCCAGTTAAAATAAAAGTCAGGGCCAGGCACAGTGGCTCACACCTGTCATCCCAGAGCTTTGGGAGGCTGAGGTGGGTGGATCACTTGAGCTTAGGAGTTCGAGACCAGCCTGGCCAACAGGGTGAAATCTCGTCTCTACCAAAAATATAAAAATTAGCTGGGTGTGGTGGTGGGCACCTATAATCCCAGCTACTTGAGAGGCTGAGGCAGGAGAATCACTTGAGCCGGGGAGGCAGAGGTTGCAGTGAGCTGAGATTGTGCCACTGCACTCTAGCCTGGGCGACAGAGTGAGACACCATCTCAAACAAAACAAAACAAAAACAAAAACAAGTCAGAGCATCCATCCTGGCTAATATCCCTTCAGTGGCTCCCACCTCCCTCCAAGTAAAAGTCAGAGCGCTCACAATGGCCTGAAAGACCCTACTCACTCTGGCCCTGATACCTCTCCAACCCCATGTCCTACTGTTATATCCTCTTCGTGCAATTTACTGAAGAACATGCAAATTATGCTCCTAATATCAAAGCCTTTGCACTGTCATTTTCTTTTCTTTCTGGAACTTTCTTTCTCCAGATATTCCCGTGGTTCATTCCTTCACTTCCTGAGGTCTCTGCTTAAATGTCACCTCCTCAGGTCTTCCCTGACCAAACTGTCTATAATAGTACCTGCTCCTTCTTTGGCTCCTTTTTCCTACCCTGTTGTATTTTTCTCCATGGCACTCATCACTCCCTGACATAATATAGTTATTTGATTATCTATTTTCTGCCTGGTTCATTCCAACACACCAGCAGGGAGTTAGTTTTGTAAACTGCTGTATTCTCAGAGCATAGAATAATGCCTGGCTCACAGCACTACTCAACAAATATTTGAAGAATGAAAGCATGAAATAATTACACAAACATAAATATGTATTATAGCTGTGCTTGGTGCTATAAAAGAGAAGTATTGGCCTTTTCTTCTGGCTAATTGCTTTGGCCTGGTCAGAGAATTCAGGGAAGGCTTCATTGAAGACTTGAAATTTACAATGAATTGATCTTAGCCGGGCAAAGAGGAAGGGGAAGAATCCTCTGGGCCGAGGAACAGCCTGTGAGAGGGTCTTAATCTGGGGAGGATAGCACCTTGGAGGGACAGACAGATGGCCCGGGCAGGAACCTTGGGGAATGAGGGGCAAAGAGGAGGGTGATACAGCCACTGGAAAAGCTTTGGGCTTTATCTTGAGGGTAATGGGGAGAGGCGGAGGGTGACATGAGTTTATTGAGATGGTGTTTTTCAAAACAGCATCTGTTTGAAAACAGCAATCTGGTTTCTTTGCTTATTTAATAAACTTGTATACAGAGCTGACTTTGTGTCAAGCCCTGTTTGAAGTGATTCACTATTAACAACTCATTTTACCCTCATACGACACAGTGATGCTGGTACCATCATTAATCTCATTTTACAGACGAGAAAATTGGAGTGCAGAGAGATTAAGAAACTCGTCCAAGGCCGGGCTCAGTGGCTCACACCTGTAATCTCAGCACTTTGGGAGGCCAAAGTGGGTGGATCACTTGAGGTCAGGAGTTCGAGATCAGCCTGGCCAACATGGTGGGAGCCTGTCTCTACTAAAAATACAAAACTTAGCCTGGTGTGGTGGTGGGTACCTGTAATCCTAGCTACTCAGGAGGCTGAGGCAGAAGAATCGCTTGAACCTGGGAAGCAGAGGTTGCAGTGAGCCTACATTGCACCACTGCACTCCAGCCTGGGCAAGAGAGTAAGACTCCATATCAAAAAAAAAAAAAAGAAAAAAGAAAAAAGAAAAAAAAAAAGAAAGAAATATGTCCAACATTGCACAGCTAGTAAGTGGCGGAGACGTGATTCAGAACAGGTGACTGGCTCCACAGTCCATGCTTTTCCATTTCTGTTTGATACTGACTTTTGTGAGGTATAAATTTACAGGCAATACAATGCACACTAAGTGTACAGTTCAGTGAGATCTGATAAATGTATGTATCTGTGTGACAACCACCACAATCAAGATACAAAAAATGGGGGCTGGGTGCAATGGCATCCACCTGTAATCCCAGTACTTTGGGAAGCTCGAAGGGAGGATTGCTTGAAACCAGGAGTTTGAGACCAGCTTGGGCACTATAGTGAGACCCTATATCTACAAAAAAAATTTTTCCATCACTCCAAGAAGTTCCCTTGTGCCCTGTTGCAATAAACTTTTCCCATTGTACCCTAATAATGCCCCAGACCAATCCTAATTTGTTTCCTGTCACTGAAGATTATTCTAGGTAACCTAGATAACCTAGAATCTAGATATTCTAGATAACTTAGAGTTTCACAGAAATGGAATCATATGTTATGTGGTCTTTTTTGACTGGCTTCTTTTGCTCAGCATAAGCATAATGTTTCTGAGGTTCATCTGTGTTGTTGCCTATATCAGTAGTGTATTCCTTTTCCTATGCATATAATATGGGTTTTTTCCCTTTGGGTGCTTAAAAATTTATTATTTTATTTATTTAAAAAATTGACATATACGCCGGGCACGGTGGCTCACGCCAGCAATCCCAGCACTTTGGGAGGCTGAAGTGGGCTGATCACCAGAGGTCAGGAGTTCCAGACCAGCCTGACCAACATGGCGAAACCCCATCTCTACTAAAAATACAAAAATTAGCTGGGTGTGGTGGCGCATGCCTGTTATCCCAGCTACTCAGGAGGCTGAGGCAGGAGAATCGCTTGCACCTGGGAGGCGGAGGTTGCAGTGAGCCGAGATTGCGCCACTACACTCCAGCCTGGGTGACAGAGTGAGACTCCATCTCAAAAAAAAAAAAAAAAATTGACATATAATAATTGTACATATTTATGGGGTACATAAAGATGTTTTGATGTGTATAATGTATGGTGATCAGTCAGGGTAATTAGCATGTCTACCATCTCAAACATTTCTCATTTCTTTCTGTTCAGTATCTTCCTTCTAGCTATTTGAAACTATATATTATTGTTAACTATTGTCATCCTACAGTGGTACAGACTACTATAACTAAATTAAAAAACAATTGTGTGGCCAGGGATGGTGGCCCATGCCTGTATTCCTAGCACTTTGGGAGGCCGAGATGGGAGGATTGCTTGAGGCCAGGAGTTTGAGATCAGCCTGGGAAACATAGCAAGAACCCATTTCTACAAGAACTAAAAGAATTAGCTGGGCATGGTAGTGCATGCCTGTAGTCTCAGCTTCTCAGGAGGCTGAGACCAGAGGATCACTTGAACACAGGAGTTCAAGGCTGCAGTGAGCCATGATCATGCCACTGCACTGCAGGCTGGGTGACAGAGAAAGACTCTGTCTCTCAAGAAAATAAAAAAGAATTTGAAATAACTACAGATTCATAGGAAGTTGCAAAAGAAATATCCTGTGTACTCTTCACCCAGTTTCCCCCATTGGTTACATGTTATGTAACAATAGTACCATATAAAATTCAGGAAATCATGGTACAAATTCAGGGCTTATTCAGATTTCACTAGTTTTACATGCACTCCTTTGTGTGTATATTTTATATCGTTTTCTTCAATTTTGTGACATGTGTAGACTAATGTATCAGCTACCCTAATCAGGACCCAGAACTCTCCTGGTGATCACAAGCCTCTTTCATGCATCCCTTGACAGCCTTATCTCCCTCTCCCCATGGCAAATACCAATCTAGTCTGCATTTCTATAATTTTATTTCAAGAATGCTTTATAATTGGAATCATTAGTATATAACTTTCAGTGATTGGCTTTCTTCCCTCTGCATAATTCCCTTTAGGTGCATCAAAGTTGTTGCCTGTATCAATAGTTCATTCCTTTTCATTGCTGAGTAGTATTCAATGGCGTGGACATACCACACACAGTGAGTTTAACCATTCACCTACGGAATGACATTTAGATTGGTTCAATTTTTCAGCTACTATGAATAAAGATGCTATGAACATTTGTGTACAGGTTTTGTTTGTTTGTTTGTTTGTTTTTTGAGTTGGAGTCTCACACTGTCACCCAGGCTGGAATGCAGTGGCGTGATCTTGGCTCACTGCATCACTGCAAGCTCTGTCTCCTGGGTTCATGCCATTCTCCTGCCTCAGCCTCCCAAGTAGCTGGGACTACAGGCGCCCACCACCACGCCTAGCTAATTTTTTGTATTTTTAGTAGAGATGGGGTTTCACCATGTTAGCCAGGATGGTCTTGATCTCCTGACCTCGTGATCCACCCGCCTCAGCCTCCCAAAGTGCTGGGATTATAGGCGTGAGCCACCATGCCCAGCCTGTGTACAGGTTTTTATGTGAACATAAATTTTCATTTTTCTGGGATAAATGCCCAAGAGTGTAATTGTTGGGCTGTACGTTAAGTACACATTTAATTTTATAAGAAACAACAAAACTATTTTCCAGAATAGCTGTACCACCTTATATTCTCATCAGCAATGTGTGAGTGATCCAGTTTCTCCTCATTCTTTCTAGTTAATGGCATTATGGTTACATTTATTTATTTATTTTTGAGTTGAAGTCTCACTCTGTTGCCCAGGCTGGAGTGCAGTGGTGCAATCTTGGCTCACTGCAACCTCTGCCTCCCAGTCACTGCAACCTCCGCCTCCTCGGTTCAAGCAATTCTCCTGCCTCAGCCTCCTGAGTAGCTGGGACTACAGGCATGAGCCACCATGCCCGGCTAATATTTGTATTTTTAGTAGAGATGGGGTTTCACCATGTTGGCCAGGCTGGTCTCAAACTCCTGATCTCAGGTGATTCACCCACCTCGGCCTTCCAAAGTGCTGGGATTACAGGCATGATTCACTGCGCCTGGCTTCATTATGGTTTTTTTTTTTTTATTTTAGCCATCTGATAGGCCTATAATTATACTGTGGTTTCAGTGGTCATTTTCCTAATGGCTAACAGTGCTGAGTATCTTCCCATGTGTTTATTTGCTATCTGTATATATACTTTGATGATATATCTGCACATATCTTCTGCTCGTTTTCTGATTGGATTGCTTATTTATTTTTTAGTTTTAAGAGTTTTTCAATATAGTCTAGATGCAACTCCTTTTTGCTGGATTTTTTTTAAAAATCTTTTTTTTTTTTTTTTTTTTTTTTTTAGCAATTTGATTATTATATGCCTTGGCGTGGCTTTATTCATGATTCCTCTGCTTGGGGTTGGTTGAGCTTCTTGGATCTGTGGATCTGTAGTTCTATCAAACTTTACACAAATTTGGTCATGAGGTCATGTTTTCTTTCTGTCTTTCTTTCTTTCTTTCTTTCTTTCTTTCTTTCTTTCTTTCTTTTTCTTTCTCTCTTTCTTTCCTTCTTTCTTTTTCTTTCTCTCTCTCTCTTTTTTTTTTCAGTCTCATTCTGTCACCTAGGCTGGAGTGCAGTGGTGCAATCTTGGCTCACTACAACTTCCGCCTCCCAGGTTCAAGTGATTTTTGTGCCCAGCCTCCTGAGTAGCTGGGATTACAGCCACCACACCTGGCTATTTTTTTTTTTTTTTTTTTTTTTTTTTTTTATAGAGATGGGGCTTCACCATGTTGGCCAGGCTGGTTTTGAACTCTTGGCCTCAAGTGATTTGCCCACCTCAACCTTCCAAAATGTGGGATTACAGGCGTGAGCCACTGTGCCCTGCTAATGATTTATTCAGATATTTTTGTGCCACCCCCTCCTTTCCTGGGACTCCAGTTACACATATTTCAAATAGTTTCATATTGCTCCAGAGCCCTCTTAATTTTTTCAGTCTTTTTCCCCCTGCATTTTACTTTGGATAATTTATTTTGCTATGACTTCAAGTTCACTAATTTTTCTTCTGCAGTGTCTAATATGCTGTTAACTCTATCCCGTGTATTTTCCATTTCAGATATTGTATTTTTATCTCTAGAAGTTCCTCTTGGGGTTTTTTTCGCACCTACCATGTCTCTCCCTTTAACATGCTCGCAGTTTTCCCTACTTTCTTGAACTTCCAGAGTGTATTTATAATAAACATCCTTGTCCATTAATTGGATCTTCTGTGTCATTTCTGGATCTGTTCTATTGATTGGATTTTTCTCCTGATAATCAGCCATATTTTCCTGCTTCCTAGTATGCCTGGTAATTTTTATTTATTTATTAAAAAATTTCTTTGAGACAGGTTCTCGCTCTGTCACCCTGGCTGGAGTGCAGTGGCATAATCATGGCTCATTGCAGCCTCAACTTTCCAGGCTTCAGTGACCCTCCCACCTCAGCCTCCTGAGTAGTTGGGCACCTGCCACATCCCTGGCAAAGTTTTGCATTTTTGGTAAAGACAGAGTTTCACCATGTTGCCCAGGCTGGTCACAAACTCCTGAGCTCAGACAATTCACCTTCCTTGGCCTCCCAAAGGGCTGGGATTATAGGCATGAGCCACTGTGCTTGGCCTGCCTGATAATTTTTGATTAGATCTGGACACTTCGGATTTTACATTGCTGGATTTTTTTTTTCTTTTTTTTCTTTCTCCATCTTCTGGTTTTCTGAAGTTTCTGGGTTTTATGATACTGCTTTAAATATTGTTGGGTTTTGTTCTGGAATGCAATTCAGTTACTTGGAATCAATTAGATCCTTCCAAGACTTGCTTTTGAGATTTGTTAGGGCAGATCTGGAATAAACTTTAGCCTAGGGCTAATTTGGCCTATCATGGAGGCAATTGTTCTTTGATGATTGACCCTGATGCCCAATGTGTTTGGAGGTTTTTCCATTGCAGCTTGCAGGAGCTATTCTCATTCCCCTGTGAGGTCCAAGGATTGTTCTGCCTACTGGTGGTTCATTCTCCAGCCTCAGGAGGTTTCTTACATGCAAAGGTAGATAAATATTCAGCCAAAGTCTCAAAAGACCCTTCTTCAGATCTCCAGAACTTTCTCTCTGTGCAACTTCCTCCTCTCCAAGTATTCTTCTTATGGATTCTAGCTGCCTTGATTTCCCTGAAGTTCCACTCCGTCTCTTCTGCTCAGTGAGACCTGTAGGCTCTGTTTGGATTCTCCCTCCTTGTGCTGTTGGATGGAGACTCCAGGCAGTGAGCAGGAGCAATTATAGAGCTCAGCTTGTTTGCCTTCCTTGCTCAGGGATCTCAGTCTTGTGCTACCTGCTGCCCAATGTCTGAAAAACCTTTGGATGCACATATTTCAGCCAGCTTTTTAATTGTTTAAGGCAGGACGGTTTATCCATTGCCAATTACTCCATCATAGCTAGAATAAAATTATGATGAATTTCTTTTTATTGTTATTACTGAATGGTATCCCACTGAATGGAGATCCATGTTTAACCTTTCACCTGTTATTGGATATGTGATTGTTTCCAATATCTGGCTACTATGAATGAAGCTATATAAATCTTTGTGTAGACATGTTTTCATTTCTCTTGCTTAAATACCTAGGGGTGGCATTTCTTGATCATAGGGTATTGTATATTTAACTCTGTAAGACACTGTCAAACAGTTTTTCCAAGCAGCTGTATCAGAGTTCCTGTTGTTCCATATCATCACCAACATTTGATAGTCAGTCTTTGAAATTTTTGCCCATTCTAGTGACTTTGTAGTGGTCTCGTTGTGAGTTTAATTTGCTAGTTCTTGTTAGCTAATGTGATAATCATTTGTGTGCTTATTGGCCATTTTTACATCTGTTTTTATGAAGTTTAGCTTCATATCTTTTTTTTTTTTTTTTTTTTGAGACGGAGTCTTGCTCTGTCGCCCAGGCTGGAGTGCAGTGGCGTGATCTCGGCTCACTGCAAGCTCCGCATCCAGGGTTCACGCCATTCTTCTTCCTCAGCCTCCTGAGTAGCTGGGACTACAGGCGCCCGCCACCACGCCCGTCTAATTTTTTTGTATTTTTATTAGAGACGGGGTTTCACCGTGTTAGCCAGGATGGTCTGGATCTCCTGACCTCATGATCCGCCCACCTCAGCCTCCCAAAGTGCTGGGATTACAGGCGTGAGCCACTGCGCCTGGCCAACTTCATATCTTTTTAACATTTTTTCCCCTTGGCTTGTCTATCTTCTTATTGAATTATAAGAGTAGTTTTTGTATTCTGGATATAAATTTCTTGCAGATAAAATAGAGTCTATACTTTTTTTTTTCCAGAGTCTCGCTCTGTTGCCCAGGCTGGAGTGCAGTGGCACAATCTTGGCTCACTGCAACCTCTACCTCACAGATTCAGGCACTTCTCCTGTCTTAGCCTCCCAAGTAGCTGGGACTACAGACATGCACCACCATACCCAGTTAATTTTTTATTTTTAGTAGAGACAGGGTTTCACTATGTTGGCCAGGCTGGTCTCGAACTCCTGACCTCAAGAGATCCACCCACCTTGGCCATGCAAAGTGCTGGGATTACAGGTGTGAGCCACCATGCTTGGCCCAGAGTCTACTTTTGACTATACCTTTTTGCTGGATTGAGAGGAGTTGGGGGTAGTGGTAAGATAAACAGGCCATTGTAGTCACCAAGGAGAGAGATGATAGTGTCTTAGACAAGAATGGGGGTTTAGATGGAGGAAAGTAGGTGAGTTTTAAAATTATTTTTAAAAAAGACTTCAAGGGTTTCTGGGTGTACTTGGTTTTTCCTTTTGTCTTCTGAATGTCCATATATATATATATGTTTATATACATGTATATATATGTGTGTGTGTGTATATATATATATATTAAAAAAACATGAATCACTTCTATGCTTAAATTAACTACAGGAGAATGTCTCAGGAACCTACGACATACTCCCTTTTCCTATTCCTTTTTCTGAGCCATGGAGTGTCGAGTTATACAGTGCCAAATTCCAGGCAGGGTAAGTCCTGAGGGAAGAATCACCCTTTGTGGTTTCCACACAGTTTAGGGAATGAGGTGGGATAGATACATTAGGTACATGATGCTGTAAGTTGTTTTTGGGCTGTGTGTGTGTGCATGTATGATTTTTCAGGATTATTCTAAGAGGATTTTTCAAGCCACGGTTTTCTCAGAGTGGACAGTTATAATTAAAATTCACTAAAAATTTCCTTCATGAGTGGCTTTCTGGGGCTTTTCCTCTAACCCATATTTGTAGTTTTGAAGGTCACACAATTCAATTCTAGTTATACATTCAATGGCTTTCTTACAGATTTGCATCCATTGTTGCAAAACATGGCGGTGAGTATTCTATTTTCTGTTAATCAGAGTCCCCTCTACTGGAATTGCCAACTTTTGGTTGTTATACTTGATGTTATCTCTTTGCCTTTTAGGAAGAAATAATAGATGGAAGCTATCTGAATGGTAATGTGCCCCCTTGATCTCCACTTGCTTCTTCTAAGAATTTCAAACAGAATGTAGCTGTGATCTCTCTGGAATGATTCCTTTTAAAGATGTCTTTTCATTTTACTCCCATTGTAGCACTGCTGGATCTCATACAGTTTCAAAGGTAAAATGCCCTAGAGGAGAGGGGAAGGGATGGTATAGATTTTTAATAAAAATTCTTAATGGAAGTCTCTTAATTGTAAAAAGTAATATGTGCTCATTACAAAAAATGTCAATCAATGCACAATGTGTTAAAAGTCAACAAACACCCTTGCTCCACGGGCATCATTCCTCCTCACTCTAGCATAAGGGCCAATTTTTTTTCTTTTTTTGAATGGAGTTTCGCTCTTGTTGCCCAGGATGGAGTGCAGTGGTGCTATCTTGGCTCACTACTGCAACCTCTGCCTCCGGGGTTCAAGCAATTTTCCTGCCTCAGCCTCCTGAGTAGCTGGGGTAACAGGTACCTGTCACCATGCCCGGCTAATTTTTGTATTTTTAGTAGAGATGGGTTTTCACCATGTTGGCCAGGCTGGTCTCAAACTCCTGACCTCAGGTGATCTGCCGGCCTCAGCCTCCCAAAGTGCTGGGATTACAGGTGTGAGCCACCGCAACCGGCCTAAGAGCTGAAATTTATTGAGTGCTTTCTATGTAGTGGGTATTCTACTAAGCGCTTGGTATAGAAACAATCTAATCCTCACAAGTGCCACACAATGTAGTTCCCATTGTTATCCCATTGCACACAATGGTGAAACTGAGGTCCAGGAAGGGTAAATCAAGGACACACAACTGGGATGTGAACCAGTGGCCTGGCTCCAGGACCCATTCCCTTTACTGTTGCATTATAAGCTGCATACAGACAGATACCAGGGACATGGGGCAGGGAACTAGGTAGTGTGGAAACGCCAATATTAATAAACAATTCTAATATGATGAGTACTATGATCGATAAGAAATAGGGGTCTTGGGGCCTCATATCAGGGATACCCAGTTATGTTAAAGTGAAAGACTCCCATAACCACTCCTTTCCCTAAGATAACACCAATGGGTACTTTTGGATATATTCTTTCAGTCTAAGTATTTTATTTGTTTATTAATTTATCCATCCATCCATCCATCCATCCATCCATCTCTTTATAAGATTACAGGCCGGGCGCGGTGGCTCATGCCTATAATTCCAGGACTTTGAGAGGCCAAGGTGGGCGGATCATGAAGTCAGGAGTTCGGGACCAGCCTGGCCAACATAGTGAAACCCTGTCCCTACTAAAAGTACAAAAGAATTAGCTAGGCATGGTGGTGCATACCTGTAGTCCCAGCTACTCAGGAGGCTGAGGCAGGAGGATCACTTGAACGCGGGAGGCTGAGGTTGTGATAAGCCAAGATTGAGCCACTGCACTCCAGCCTGGGCAACAGAGTGAGACTCCATCGCAAAACAAACAAACAAACAAACAAAGAAGCAAACGTAAGATTACAAAAGGCTTTTCATAGGCTGGGCATGGTGGCTTATCCTGTAATCCCAGCACTTTGGGAGGCCAAGGTAGGAGGATCGCTTAAGGCCAGGAGTTCCAGCCCAGCCCGGCCAACATGGCAAAACTCAGTATCTACTAAAAATAGAAAAATGAGCTGGATGTGGTGGTGCACGCCTGTAATTCCAGCTACTTGGAAGGCTGAGGCAGGAGAATCGCTTGAACCTGGGAGGCGGAGGTTGCAGTGAGCTGAGATTGCACCACTGCACTCCAGCCTGGGTAACAGAGTGAGACTCTGTCTCCAAAAAAAAAAAAAAAAATGAGAAAAGGCTATTCATGGGCATTTACTGTGTGTTGGGCACAGTCTTACGCAATTTTCATGTGTGAACAAATTTTAATCTCACAGTTGTTAACCATATTTCATATAAAGGGAAACTGAGGCACAAGAAAATTTATCAAATTGTCTCAAGCCACACAACTAAGTGATGGAACTAGGATTCAAATCCAGTTTGGAGCCCACACTCCTAACTATGCTATTCCAGCCTCTCATGGTGTACCTAGCGTCTGCTTTTAAATGTACATCTTTCTAACACAATCAGTTTGGATTGTAGTCAATCTAAGCAGATTGTTACGGGAATTAGAATATTGCATACAGCTTAGAAATTTGGGAATTGGCTTTGAGAGAATGGGATCCAGGCAGATTCCTAGAATTGGAAACTATCCTATCACTGTGCCTGGTTAAGAAATTTTTTACTTCAGGCTGGGTGCAGCAGCTCACTCCTGTAATCCCAGTACTTTGGGAGGCAGAGGTGGGAGGATTGCTTGAGCCCAGGAGTTTGAGACCAGCCTGGGCAACATAGTGAGACCCCATCTCTACAAAAAATTAGCTGGGTGTTGTGGCATGCACCTGTGATCCCAGCTGCTTGGGTGGCTGAGGTTGGAAGATCACTTGGGCTGGGGAGATTGAGGCTGCAGTGAGCCGTGATCGCGCAACAGAGCAAGACCCTGTTTCAAAAAAAGAGAAAAGAAAAAAGGAAAGAAAAGAAAAGAGAAACCTCCCACTTCCAAGTACAAAGTCCTAACACCCCTGGTCCATCCCTACCTGTCCCCTGGGCACTTAGCTAGTACAGTAGTGCTTGTAGGAGAATCTGTCATTGTGATCTTTTCCTGTCTGTCTTCAACTGAAGCTCCCACGTGTGGACGGATGACCTGTCCCACAGAGTCCTGGCCTATCTGAATTCCCGGAATGTTGCCTTCACCATCCCCAGCCTGCAGGTGTGTACCTGAGACCCATCTATATGTTCCCATCTCAGTGCTCAGGGATTGCAAACTCAGGGGCCAGGTAAGTTGGAGAAGTGGGCTGGATGTAGAGATAGTCTTTGCTTCTGCAAGGAAAAGGGTTCTGTCCAGTTTTTCTTGAAACATGATATAAGCTATTTTGTCTTTCTTTCATTTTCCCACCTTTGATGGAGACATGGTATATTAGGATATAGGCTGAGCTGCTATAACAAAAAGACCCCCAGATGACAGCAGCTCAAACAATTTAGTTTATTTCTTTCTCGTACAATAGTCCAGAGCTAAGTGGGAAAGCCACAGAGAAAAGGCAGCTCTATTCCATGAGGTTATCCAAGGACCCAGGTTCCTTTTATCTTTTTGCTTTGTCATCTCCTGGGGAGTTATTGCCCATGTGGTGGAAACACCTCTTCCTTTCTCCAATCCAGGGGATGGGTGGGAAGAAGAAGACAAGGGTAGCATCTTCTCTTCTGAGGATATGACGCAAGTTACACAATTCCCTCTGCACACATTAGATTGGCTCACACACCATAGTCACATCTTACTGCAAAGGAGCCATGTACCCAACTAAAAGTTGAAGGGTTCAATTGATAAAGAGCAGTGAGAGAGTGGATATTTGGATATAGTGATCAGTCTTTCTACCATGGGTCCAAGAAATGTACTACTGTAATGAAAACAATAGCACAAGCGTGTTGATAGGTGGCAAAGGATATTTGCCTTAAGGGGCAATAGGGCTCGTGCCTGTGGTGGTGACTGCGGTGAACTGCACAGCACCTGCCTGACTGTTAGCCTAGTGTGGCATGTTGTGTCTTTATCATCACACTGTGGATAACACAGAAAATTGGAGAAAAATTCTTTCAGTATTGAGAAAGTTATTCAGTTTAGCAAAAGACCATTTATGTCATTAATTAATGAATAAAGTTCTGACATATGTCTTCATTGTTTCCATTTTTACTTATGTTTGAATGAAAATGGAAACATCAACCAACATTGATATCACAAATATACTCAGAGAGCTTGTTGTCTGCCAGGTCCCAGGACAGCCACTAGCTGGAGGTGGCTGTTGGCCCCACATGGCATCTGCTTTTCTTTTCTTCTTCATCAGTCAGGGAAACTGAAAGAGAAGCAATGCTTGCCACTTTTCTCTCTAGCAGTAATGGATACTCATGAGATGTATCCACTTTAATCTGATACGTTTCTTCCTGTGTATATACCATATTTATTTATTCATTTAATATCTACTGAGTTAACATCTGCTTTCTGCCAGGCATAGCTCTAGACACTGAGGACTCAGTAGGGAACAAGGCAGTCATGATACTACCCACAAGGACCTTTCATTTTAGGGGTGAGGCTTTAATTAAGCCATTATTCACCTTGGTCAAGATAGAGAATAATAGCTGGCACTATTGAGCACTTACTGTGTGCTAGCAACTATTGAAAACACTTTACACACTGAATCCTCGTAATAACTCTATGTGGTAAGTCCTTTTATTGCCTCCATTTTGCAGATAAGAAAACTGAGGCCCAGAAGAAATGTTGCTGATTTAGCAAATAAAAATACAGATGTGACTCTGCGTGGTGGCTCATGCCTGTAATCCCAGCACTTTGAGAGGCATAGGTGGGAGGATTGCTTGATACCAGGAGTTGGAGACAAGCCTTGCCAACATAGCGAGACCTTGTCTCTACAAAAACAAACAAACAAACAAACAAAAAATTAGCTGAGTGTGGTGGTGTGGCCTGTAGTCCCAGCTACTTGGAAGGCTGAGGCAGGAGGATTGCTTGAGCCCAGGAGTTTGAGGTTACGGTGAGCTATGATCATACCACTGCATTTCAGCCTGGGCAACAGAGCAAGACCCCGTCTCTAAAACAAAAACAAAAACAAAAAACAGATGTCCAATTTCGTTTGAATTTCAGATAAATAATGAGTGATTTTTTTTTTTTTTGAGACAGAGTCTTGCTCTGTTGCCCAGGCTGGAGTGCAGTGGTGCCACCTCAGCTCACCACAACCTCCTCCTCCCAGGTTCAAGCAATTCTCCTGCCTCAGCCTCCTGAGTAGCTGGGACTACAGGTGCATGCCATCATGCCTGGCTAATTTGTGTATTTTTAGTAGAGATGGGGTTTCACTATGTTGGCCAGGCTGGTCTCAAACTCCTGACCTCATGATCCGCCTGTCTTGGCCTCCCAAAGTGCTGGGATTACAGGTGTGGGCCACCTTGCCTGGCAAACAATGAGTGATTTTTTAAGTTAAGTATGTCCTATGCAACATTTGAGACATACTTATACTAAAAAAAAAAAAATGTGTAGTTTTTCCCGAAATTCAAATTTAACTGAGCATCCTGTATTTTACCCAGCAACCCTAGTTAAGTAACTCGTCCAAGCCACACAGCTAGTAAGTGTCAAGGTGGGGATTTGCATGTGGCTTGTCTGGGTCTAGAGTTCACCTTTTGCCCATGACATCACACTGGGCATGTCTGTTTAACGGAGATTTAGAGAACAATTCCCCAGACAGCAGAGGAAATCTCTTTCAGGAGAGGCTGATGGCTTCTGCTCCTTGCCCTGTAGGGGGCGCCACAGAGTATGTTCATTTCGCCTGTATTTTGCTCCTGCGCTGGTAGCTTGGGTTTGGGCACAGTGCCATCTGGGGTTCTAAACTTCCTGGACAAAGGCCAGCTGCTGCTGATGGGAAACTCAATCACCTACAGGGACCAGGCAGGCCATGGAATGGGGGAATCGGGCTGGCTGGGCCTGAGAGTTACTTCAACAAGCAGCTGTCCCTTGGCTTGCCAATTATTGCCTAAAAGGGGATGTGCGCCCGGTGTTGCCAAACCTTTACTTTTTCAAGAGAAGTTGGAAATCTTGATCTTGTGAGGAATCCCCTTATTATTATTATTATTATTATTATTATTATTATTATTATTATTTAGGTGGAGTCTCGCTCTGTCACCAGGCTGGAGTGCAGTGGCGTGATCTCGGCTCACTGCAACCTCCGCCTCCCGGGTTTAAGCGATTCTCCTGCCTCAGCCTCCCAAGTAGCTGGGACTACAGGCGTGCGCCACCACACCCAGCTAATTTTTGTATTTTTAGTAGAGACGGGGTTTCACCATGTTGGCCAGGATGGTCTTGATCTCTTCACCTCGTGATCCACCCGCCTCGGCCTCCCAAAGTGCTGGGATTACAGGCATGAGCCACCGCGCCCGGCCCCTCATTTTTAAATGTTGGCGGCTAATGAGGAAATTTGGAGGTGGCCAAACCAGACTGCTGGCCACTAGTTGTGGTCTCTGCAGGGAATGAGGGGGCCGGGCTGGGCCGCTGGCCATGGTGCTGACCATGTGCTCCTGCTCTTTCTGTTCTCACCGACTCTCCCAACACCCCAAATACAGGCAGCCGTGGAAAACCACCTGGAGCAGCGTCTGCACCAGCCCCAGAAGCTGCTGGAGGACCTGAGGAAGACAGACGCCCAGCAGTTCCGCACTGCCATGAAATGCCTCTTAGAAGACAAGAAGGACGGCTTGGTGAGGAGCCCTTGGCATCCCGGGGATAGAGGAAGTCCAGCACCACGTGGTGTTTGTTGAATTGAATAAATGGAGCCTGACTTAGGCCTTGGCACTTCATTGTCTCTTCCTCTCTCCTTCTGCCTCCTCCAACCCCCTGGGGGCTTTAGGACCTAAGTTTTCTCACTTACTTTCTCCAAAGTTAAAATGAAGAGCCTTACAATTTTTTATTTTATTTTTGTTTTAGAGTCTCACTCTGTCACTCAGGCTGGAGTGCAGTGGCACAATCTCAGCTCACTGTAACTTCTGCCTCCTGGGTTTAAGTGATTCTTGTGCCTCAGCCTCCCAAGTAGCTGGGATTACAAGTGTGCACCACCATGCCTGGCTAATTTTTGTATTTTTAGTAGAGACGAGATTTTGCCAGGCTGGTCTCAAACTCCTGGCCTCAAGTGATTTGCCTGCCTCGGCATCCCAAAGTGCTGGGATTACAGGTGTGAGCCACCATGCCTGGCCTAATTCATATTTTTGTCAGTACTAAGAAATGACGGGTCCTAATTAAGGATCTGAGAATCTCCTGGTTGTTTGGGTCAATAAACATCCACTAGTAAAAATTACTATGCACCAGTGGACACAGAGATCCTCCTGCACTCAAGGAGCTCACGGTCTGGAGGGGAGACAAAAAACAGGAACAGTTAATTTCCACAAAATGAGTTTAGTGATCCAAGAATATCACAAAGCAAGGCCTCTGAGACCTTAAAAACTGGGACTTAAAAAAGGTAAGTCATTTGCTCAGGACACACAGATAATGGAGGCCCTGGGACTGGAACCTGGGAATGCCTGACCCTAGTACCCATGGGGCTTAACCGGTAGGATTGTCATGAGAATTAATCAGATGATGCGTTTGCTCCAAGCTTGGCACAGTAGAGTCAATGCTCAGTAAAATGGAGGCTTTTTTTTTTTTTCTTAGAGACAGGGGCTTGCTCTGTCATCCAGGCTGGAGTGCAGTGGTATAATTATAGCTCACTGCAGCCTTGATATCCTGAGCCCAAGTGATCCTCCCACCTCAGCCTCTCAAGCAGCTAGGACTACAGGTGCGCATTAGCACACCCAGCTAATTTTAAAAAATTTATTTTTTAGGGACGGGGTCTCCCTGTGTTGCCTAGGCTGGTCTCAAACTCCTAGGCTCAAGCGATCAACCTGCCTCAGCCTCCCAACATGCTGGGGTTATAGATGTGAGCCACTGTTCCAGGCCAATCAGTCCTTTTCAAAATCTCCCCAGATGGGCTGGGCATGGTGGCTCATACCTGTAACCCTAGCACTTTGGGAGGTTGTGGGCAGATTGCTTGAGCCCAGTAGTTTGAGACCAGCCTGGACAACATGGCAAAACTCCATCTCTACAAAAAACAGCTGAGCATGGTGGTGTGTGCCTGTAGTCCCAGCTACTTGGGAGGCTGAGGTGGGAGGATCGCTCAATCCCAGGAGGTTGAGGCTGCAGTGAGCTATAATCACACCACTGCACTGCGGACTGGGTGACAGAGCGAGACCCTGTCTCAAAAATAAAATAAAACTTTAAAAAAGCTCCCCAGGTGATTCTGATGTGCACCCAGAGATGAGAACCACGGGCTTGGAGGAAAGACGCATGAGTCCCTTTAATGCATTATAGAGTTTGGTTCAAGATGCCCTGGGGCCACATAAGGGAGGGAAATCTGATCTGAAGTAGGAAGTTGGAGGGATCAGAGACTTCACGAAGGTGATGGCAATGGAGCCCAGACTTAAAGGATGAGCTAGATTTCACCAGAAAAAGGAAAGATGCAGAATTCCAGGTAGACCAAGGGCCTGATGTATGCTGGTCAGGTGTATCTGGAGAGTGGGGAGGCTCCACAGTGAGTGGAGCAGGTAAAGGCCTTGACTTTGTTCTGCAGGGAATGGAAAGTTCTAGAAGTTTCAACATAGCAGCATGGTGTTAAACAGTGATCCTGACTTTCCCCACTGTTGCAATGTGTGGTCCCTCCCAGGGCTTCCAAATTGAGAGGCAGCTCTCAAACTGACCCTGGCTTCTGTCATTGCTTTAGGACCTGAAAGACATCATCATCGACTTAGGAGAGATTCGAGAACGAGCCTTGCAGAGCCCTGGCGTGAACCGCAGCCTGTTTCTCATCACACTGGAGAGGTGTTTCCAGATGCTGAACTCCCTGGAGTGTGTGGAGATCCTGGGCAAGGTGCTGAGGGGGTCCTCAGGGAGCTTTCTCCAGCCAGACATCACAGAGCGGCTCCCTCGGGACCTGCGCGAGGATGCCTTTAAGAACCTGTGAGTGGTTCCTCCGAACTTTTTTTTTTTTTTTTTTGAGATGGAGTTTCACTCTGTCGCCCAGGTTGGAGTGCAGTGGTGCAGTCTCGGCTCACTGCAACCTCTGCCTCCCAGGTTCAAGTGATTCTCCTGCCTCAATTCCAAGTAGCTGGGACTACAGGGGCGCCTACCACACCCGACTAATTTTTGTATTTTTGTACAGATGGAGTTTCACCATGTTGGCCAGGCTGGTTTCGAACTCCTGACATCAAGTGATCCACCTGCCTTGGCCTCCCAAAGTGCTTGGATTACGGGCATGAGCCACTGCACCCAGCCACTCCCACCTTCTTAACTCATCACAGTATCCTTCAGGGGCTGCCGTGAGAATGCAAAGAGATCTCACCTGGCAGCAGGGAGAAGACAAGTGGGGACAGGTTGATATGCACGTTTTGGAGCAAAAGCTTAACATCTGTAGAGTTAGGCTGGGTGTGGTAGCTCACACCTGTGATCCCAGCACTTTGGGAAGCAGAGGTGGGTGGATCATGATGTCAGCAGTTCGAGACCAGCCTGGCCAACATAATGAAACCACGTCTCTACTAAAAATACAAAAATTAGTTGGGCATGGTGGTGGGCGCCTGTAATCTCAGCTACTTGGGAGGCTTGAGGCAGGAGAATTGCTTGAACCTGGGAGGTGGAGGTTGCAGTGAGCTGGGATCATGCCACTGCACTCCAACCTGGGCGACAGAGTGAGACTCCATCTCAAAAACAAAAACAAACAAACAAAAAACAAAAACAAAAAAACCCACATAAATAAATACAGTGGGAAAAAAAGTGTTACTAAATCCTAGCTAGATATGTTGCTTGCTTAAGTGTGTTAGTCAGATTGGGCTGCTGTAACAAAAATACCATAGACTGTGTGGCTAGTAAACAAGAAGCATTTATTTCTCATGGTTCTGGAGGCTGGGAAGTCCAAGATCAAGGTGCTGACAGACTTGGTGTCTGGTGAGGGCTCGCTTTCTGGTTTATAGGTGGCACCTTCTCGCTGTGTCCCCTTGTGGTGGAAGGGGTGGGCAAGCCCTCTGGGATCTCTTTTATAAGGGCACTAATCCCATTCATGAGGTATCCAGCCTCATGACCTAATCACCTCCTCAAAACTCCACCTCTTAATACCTTCATGTTGGGAATTAGGATTTCAACACATGAAATTTGGGGAAACGCAAACATTCAGTCCACAGCACAAAGGCTCTGAGCCTGGGTCTTGTTCCATTGATTTAAAAACAATCTGAGTGTGTTTTAAAGATTCACTGGCACTAAACTGAGACTTTGTTCTTGAGGGACAACAGAAGGAGTGACAGAGCACTGAAAAAGGAGGACTTCTCCTTTTGAGATGCCATGCCAGCTTAGATTGGTTACACCTAGCCCTGCATGAAATTGCGCTTTGATGTAAACCAAATTCGAGGATTGTGTCTAGGACTTGAAGGGCCATAGGCATTGCAACCACCGCCAACTCCCTCCTTTTACTAATCGTAGTGCTTTATGGCCATAAAGCACTCTTTCTAAATCTAAAAATGATTTAGAAGAAGGAAAAGACCAATATGATGATAACAATGTGGGAGATTCCTTTTATCTTTTGTAGCCAAATGACAGTAAGGAAAACAGACAGTATGCTGACCTCATCGTTTCTCTAGGTTGCCAGTTTTTTTCACTAAGATGTATATAAATGAAACCCTTTTGCTCTGCAGGCTATTATACTATTCCTTTTAAATTCAGCATCTCTTCCCTCCTCCGTTCATGCAGATTGTGGAAGAGAACATCATTGGGAGAGAGAGTTTATTGGTTACTGCTCACCTGAGTAAGCAGTAAGCCCAAGTGGCAGAAAAACCCATTCAAACTGGCTTGAAGCAAAAAGGGAATTATTGGAACATGTAATTGAATAGTTTTAGGTGTAGGGCTGACTTCAGACGCAGCTGGATCCAGAGACTCAAATGATGCCATCAGAAACATCTTTGGCTCTTTGTCTTATATGCTGAAAACCACTGAATTGTGCACTTTATTTATGTAATTTTTTTTTTTTTGAGACAGAGTTTCACTCTTGTTGCCCAGGCTGGAGTGCAATGGCCCCATCTCGGCTCACTGCAACCTCCACCTCCCAGGTTCAAGTGATTCTCCTGTCTCAGCCTCCCAAGTAGCTGGGATTACAGGTGCATGCCACCACGCCTGGCTACTTTTTGTATTTTTAGTAGAGACAGAGTTTCATCATATTGGTCAGGCTGGTCTCAAACTCCTGACCTCAGGTGATCCGCCTGCCTTGGCTTCCCAAAGTGCTGGGATTACAGGTGTGAGCCACTGCACCCGGCCCAATTGTGTACTTTAAATGGGTGAATTGTAAGGTGTGGGAATTATATCTCAACAGAGCTGCCCCCACTTCCCCAAAAAAGGACCAAGAGGTGAGGAAGTGGAGACAATATGTATGGAATATTCTTTGGAAGGTGTTTAGCTGTGAAGGGGAAGAGGAAAATGGGAAAAATAGTTACATATACCTAAGGAGTGTGTTTGGGGGTATTTTTTATTTTTAAGTTCTGGGGTACACGTGCAGGATGTGCAGGTTTGTTACATAGGTAAACGTGTACCATGGTGGTTTGCTGTACCTATCAACCCACCACCTAGGTATCAAGCCCAGCATGCATTAGATATTTTTCCTAATGCTCTCCCTCCCCCACCCCACCCCCACAATAGGACCCAGTGTGTGTTGTTCCCCTCCCTGTGTCCATGTGATCTCATCGTTCAGCTTCCACTTACAAGTGAGAACATGGGGTGTTTCATTTTCTGTTCCTGCGTTAGTTTGCTGAGGATAATGGCTTCCAGGTCCATTCATGTCCCTGCAAAAGACATAATCTTGTTCATTTTTATGGCTGCATAGTATTCCATGGTATATATGTACCACATTTTCTTTATCCAGTCTATTATTGATGGGCATTTGGGTTGACTACATGTCTTTACTATTGTGATTAGTGCTGCAATGATCATGTGTGCATTTATCTTTGTGACAGAATGATTTATATATTTTTGGGTATATACCCGATAATGGGATTGCTGGGTCAAATGGTATTTCTAGTTCTAGATCTCTGAGGAATCGCTACACTGTCTTCCACAATGGTTGAACCAATTTACATTCAAGAAAGGGAAGGTTTTTTTTTTTTAAATATACTTTAAGTTCTAGGGTACATGTGCACAACGTGCAGGTTTGATACATAGGTATACATGTGCCATGTTGGTTTGCTGCACCCATCAACTCATCATTTACATTAGGTATATCTCCTAATGCTATCCCCACCCCCTCCCCCCACCCCCCAACAGGCCCCGGTGTGTGATGTTCCCCTTGCTGTGCCCAAGTGATCTCATTGTTCAATTCCCACCTATGAGTGAGAACATGCGGTGTTTGGTTTTCTGTCCTTGTGATAGTTTGCTGAGAATGGTGGTTTCCAGCTTCATCCATGTCCCTGCAAAGGACACGAACTCATCCTTTTTTAGGGCTGCATAGTATTCCATGGTGTATATGTGTCACATTTTCTTAATCCAGTCCATCATTGGAGGACATTTGGGTTGGTTCCAAGTCTTTGCTATTGTGAATAGTGCCACAATAAACATACGTGTGCATGTGTCTTTATAGTAGCATGATTTATAATCCTTTGGGTACATACCCAGAAATGGGATTGCTGGGTCAAATGGTAATTCTAGTCCTAGATTCTTGAGGAATCACCACGCTGTCTTCCACAATGGTTGAATCAATTTACATTCCAACCAACAGTGTAAAAGCGTTTCTATTTCTCCACATCCAGGAGAGGGAAGGGTTTTAACACAAGACAGCTTTGGGTCACATTTGCTGTTGTGACTCCCTTTTTAATGCAGCCCCCACCTGCTTGTTATTAGCTGATGCCTGTGTTTGTGTCATTTAGATCTGCAGTGTTCAAAGATCTCTACGACAAAACCTCGGCTCATTCCCAGAGAGCTCTCTATTCCTGGATGACTGGAATACTGCAGACATCCTCCAATGCCACTGGTGAGCCTGTACTTGGAGGTGGGGTCACTTTTTGGGGGAAGAATATCTTCAGAAGAGGTGTTTCATCTCTGAAAACATGGATTTGATGTTGTTCTCTTCTGATTTTTACCACCTCCCACTGCTTCGAAAAACAGTTTGATGTGGCTTATGGAGTAAAACACATACTCCATTTCGTCAATGCAATTCGCACATGTGGAAGTCTGAAATAATGATGTGTTTGTATTTCATAATCTATGTTGTGTCCTAGTTTTTCAGTGGAATATAAATAATGATGGTAACTTAGATTCAATGTGAACCTTGAGTAGGGGTACAAGTTCAAAATCTGTATAAAAAAATCTATATTAAAATGAGAGAAGAGGCTGGGCGTGGTGGCTCACGCCTGTAATCCCAGCACTTTGGGAGGCCAAGGCAGGAGGATTGCCGGAGGTCAGGAGTTTGAGACCAGCCTGACCGACATGGTGAAACCACATCTCTACTAAAAATACAAAGATTAACCGAGCGTGGTGGCGGGCACCTGTAATCCCAGCTACTCAGGAGGTTGAGGCAGGAGAATCGCTTCAACCGGGGAGGCAGAGATTGCAGTGAGCTGAGATTGCACCACTGCACTCCGGCCTGGGTGACAGAGCGAGACTCCGTCTCGAAAAAAAAAAAAAGAGAGAGAGACAGAAGAGAATTTTATTAGGAAATCTAGGCAATAAAACACAGAAATTTAACTCTGAGCGTCCTGGCTACCAAAGCAGGTAGGTCAGGATTTATTTATTTGATGGATGTTGCTTAAAGCCTCCTTGTGTCCTAGAGCAGTCAAATTCATAGAGACAGAAATTAGAATGGTGGTACAGTTTCGATTTTGCAAGGTTCAAAATATTCTGGATATGGCTGGTAGTGACGGTTGCACAATAGTGTGGATGTGAATGTACTTACTCCCGCTCAACTCTACACTTAAAAATGGGGCCAGGTGGGCCGGGCATGGTGGCTCATGCCTACAATCCAGCACTTTGGGAGGCTGAGTCAGGCAGATCAACTGAGGTCAGGAGTTCGAGACCAGCCTGGCCAACATGGTGAACCCCCTTCTCTACTAAAAATACAAAAAATTAGCCTGGCGTGGTGGTTCATGTCTGTAATCCCAGCTATTTGGGAGGCAGAGGCAGGAGAATCACTTGAACCCAGGAGGTGGAGGTTACAGTGAACTGAGATCATGCAATTGCACTGCATCCTGGGTGACAGAGTGAGACTCTGTCTCAAAAAAAAAAAAAAAAAAAAGAAAGAAAGAAAAGAAAAGAAAATTGGGGCCAAGTGCGGTGGCTTACACCTGTAATCCCAGCACTTTGGGAGGCTGAGACGGGCAGATCACTTGAGGTTAGGAGTTTGAGACCAGCCTGGCCAACATGGCAAAACTCTGTCTTTACCAAAACAAACAAACAAAAAAACAAAAGCCAGGTGTGGTGGCGTGCGCCTGTGGTCCCAGCTACTCAGGAGGCTGAGGTGGGAGAATCACTTGAGCCCGGGAGGCAGAACTTGCAGTGAGCTGGGATTGTGCCACTGCATTCCAGCCTGAGTGATGTAGTGAGACCTTGTCGCAAAACAAGCAAACAAACAAACAAACAAACAAAACAGCGATAGAAAAGAATGGCTATATAGATTAGCAATACAAACAATTTCTCAGATAGCTTCAATTTGTTAAACCTTTAATGTCAGTAATGTAAACAGAATAAACTTTTTAAAAGCCCATTATGTATCAATAGCTGAAGATAGAGAAGGAAACAAAACAAAGTCTCTGCTCTTACGGCCCTATTGTTTTATTGTGGGAGTGTTGGTGGAGACAATTTTTTTAAACATGTAAGTAAATAAAGAGAGAGAGAGAACTTAGAAATTTAGATACTGGTAGCGGCTATGAAGAAAATAAAATAGTTTGTTGAGACGGAGTCTTACTCTGTCACCCAGGCTGGAGTGCAGTGGCACAATCTCGGCTCACTGCAACCTCTGCCTCCAGAGTTCAAGTGATTCTCTCAGCTCCTGAATAGCTGAGAGTATAGGTGCCTGCCACCATGTCCAGCTGATTTTTGTATTTTTAGTAGAGATGTGATTCCTCCACGTTGGCCAGGCTGGTCTCAAACTCCTGACCTCAACAGATCCACCTGGCTTGGCCTCCCAAAGTGCTGGGATTACAGGCATAAACCACTGCACCCAGGCAGAAAGGATATTACAGGTACTTTAGACTAGAAGAGCGCTTGGCAAATGTTTTCTGTAAAGGACCAGGTAAATATTTTAGGCTTTGTAAGCCTACCATCTCTGCCTCAACTATTCAGCTCTGACGCTGCAGCTTGAAGACAGCTGTAGACAATAGATGAATGAGCATGCCTGTGTCCCAGTAAAGCTTTACTAATGGATGCTGAAATTTGCATAATTTTCATGTGTCACCAAATAGGATTCTTCTTTTGATTTTCCTTTCAGCTATTAAAAAATGTAAAAAGCAGGCAGGGTGCAGTGGCTCATGCTTGTAATCCCAGCACTTTGGGAGGCCCAGGCAGGAGGATTACTTGAAGCCAAAAGTTCAAGACCAGCCTGGGCAACATAGCAAGACCCCATTTCTTAAAAAATTTTTTAAAAAATAGCCGGTGTCCTGGTACATGCCTGTAGTCCCAGCTACCCTGGAGGCTGAGGGGGGGAGGATCCCTTGAACCTAGGAGTTTGAGACTGCAGTGAGCCGTGATGGAGCCACTGGACTCCAGCCTGGGTGACAGAGCGAGACCTTGTCTCTAAAAAAAAGTCCAAAATAATAAATGTAAAAACCACTTTTGGCTCATGGGCTGTATAAAAACAGGTGATGGGCTGAGTTTGCCCCATGGATTGTAGTTTGCCAACTCTTGGACTAAGGAATCAGGGAAGACCTCTCAAGTGGGTGACATTTGAATCAAGACCAAAATGAGGAGATGGAACCAGTCACGTAAGGCTCTGGAGAAAGGGCATCCCAGAGAGAAATCCCAGGAAATACAAAGGCCCTGAGACGGGAATGAGCTCGGTGTGGGGAAAACATAAGGAAAGCAGATGGGGCTGGAGGATGGGGAATGCCAATCAATCTTTTCCTGGAATTCAGCTCTGAGATTTGTGCATAATGAACATTAAACAACATCATAATCAAAGTCTCAAATGCATAGTAGAATTCCCTCTGCCTGGTGCATAATTGTGGTCTCCAGGAATCAGAGTCTCACACTGGGTAACCATGAGAAAGCCTCTCTACCTTCAGACTTCTCTGTCTTTATTGCCAGAGTTTAATTAGGCACAGACTTTCCTTCTAAAATTCTTATACGGTGCGCTTCATTATTAAACTACAGTGAGTTAAAATTAATTCTGTTTGGACTTAAATTGTTTTTTCATGAAGGCCCTTGAGGGAACTGGAAATACTTTGGCTGTTAAAAATATCCCAACCTTGCTGGCCAGGTGTGGTCGCTTACACCTCTAATCCTAGCATTTTGGAAGGCTGAGGAAGGAGGATTGCTTGAGGCCAGGAGTTCAAGGCCAGCCTGGGCAATGTAGTGAGACCCCCCCACCATACAAAAAAATTAAAAGATTAGCCTGATGTGGTGATGTGTGCCTGTAGTCCTAGCTACTAGGGAGGCTGAGGCAGGAGTTTGAGGCTTCAGTGAGCTATGATCATCCAACTGCACTCCAGCCTGGACAACAGAGGAAGAAAAAAAAAAATCCCAAGCTTGGGGATGATTGATCTACAGAAATACAGTTTATGCTTAGTAATAAGTTAAAAAATAAACAACTAAGCTTGGTTCTTTGTGAATGTGTGGTTCTAGCCTCAAAAGTTTCCAGCCCTCTATATAGGCAAGGCAAATGTCCAGGGTCCCCATCTAGAGGATCGTAGGAGTCTGCCTGTGTCACCCCAACATCTTTGATTCCTGGTTTGGGAGAGGCACTCCATATTTTCTTGTGAATCAGTCTATATAAAAGTTGATTTCTCCATCTTGTTTTGGCATCTGTCATTGCCCACGGCTTCTGCAAATAGCTCTTGATGTTAGAGTCACTGCACCCTGTAAATGCTCCCCACTTCCTTCATTTTCCCCAAATGCCTCCAATACAATATCGTGTGTAAATGTCTTTTGCTAAAGAGCTGGGGAGCATTGGCAGCCACTTCCAGCTCAGTGAAACTTGAAGTCTGATCCTAGACTTGAGATATATATATATATATATATATATTTTTTTTTTTTTTTTTTTTTTTTCTGAGATGGAGTCTGGCTCTGTCACTCAGGCTGGAGTGCAGTGGTATGATCTCAGCTCACTGCAACTTCTGCCTCCCGGGTTCAAGTGATTCTCCTGCCTCAGCTTCCTGAGTAGCTGGGACTACAGGCGTGCGCTACCACGCCTGGCTAATTTTTGTAGTTTTATTAGAGATGGGGTTTCGCCATGTTGACCAGTATGCTCTCGATCTCCTGACCTTGTGATCCACCTGCCTCGGCCTCCCAAAGTTCTGGGATTACAGGCTTGAGCCACCGCACCTGGCTGACTTGATGGTTTTTAAAATTCCACTGACATCTCAGTGATGGGGAATTTCAAAAGCCAGAACGGGGTGTCAGAGAGAGTCCTCTGGGAATTCAGTGGAGGGAGAAAGTACTTCTCGTGAAGGAGATAAGAGAAGGCTTTAAGGGAGAGGAAAATTTGAGCTTGATCTTAAAGTAGGATTTGGATGCAGAAGGGGTAAGGAAAAGCATTGTAGGTGGTGAGCAGGGCCAAGGCCAGCCAAGATTTGGAGAATGTTTTGGGGAGGTACAAGTAGTTTGCTTTGGTTCAAGTATAGTAACATGGTGATAATCAGTGAGGATGATCCTTACTAGTGGTAGTGATGCAAGACAGTCAAACATATTTCATGTTGCCAGATTATTATCATTATTATTATTATTAGACAGAGTCTCGCTCTGTCACCTAGGCTGGAATGCAGTGATGTGATCCCGGCTCACTGCCACCTCCACCTCCCGGGCTCAAGAGATTCTCCTGCCTCAGCCTCCCAAGTAGCTGGGATTACACCTGGCTAATTTTTCTTTGTATTTTTAGTAGAGACGGGATTTCGTGATTACAGGTGTGAGCCACCACATCTGGCCTCATGTTTCCAGATTATTTAGTAACCAATCGAATGAAAAAATAAAACTACATTTTGTGGGTTTTAAGTATTAAAAATAACCTGCATTTCTTATTTATTTATTTATTTTTAATTATTATTACTTTTTTAAAGAGACAGGGTCTCACTCTGTTGCCCAGGCTGGAGTGCAGTAGAGTGAGCACATAGCTCACTGTAGCCTCAAATTCCTGGTTTCAAGCAATCCTCCCTTCTCAGTTTCCTGAGTAGCTGGGACTACAGCTGGCTTTTTTTTTTTTTTTTTTTTTTTGTAGCGATGAGGGTCTTGATATATTGCTCAGGCTGGTCTCAAACTCCTGGCCTCAAGCAATCCTCCTGCCTCAGCCTCCCAAAATGCTGAGATTACAGGTGCCTGGCCAGAAAGAATAATCTGTATTTCTAACAAGTGGCCAGGTGACACAGATGTTGCAATTCCAAAGACCACACTATTGAGTAACAAGGTCTGAGGTGGTGCGAATCTGTGTTCACATCCTACGTGTGATCTCACAGGTAGGCCCTACGTATATGATTGTTGAATGAGTTAATAACAAATTAATGTGGCTGGGCATGGTGGCTCATGCCTGTAATCCCAGCACTTGGGGAGGCAAGAGGCGGGCAGATCACCTGAGGTCAGGAGTTTGAGACCAGCCTGACCAACATGGTGAAACTCTGTCTCTACTAAAAATACAAAAATTAGCTGGGCATGGTGGTGGGTGCCTGTAATCCCAGCTACTTGGGAGACTGAGGCAGGAGAATCGCTTGAACCGGCAGGCGGAGGTTGAGATGAGCTGAGATCACACCACTGCACTCCAACCTAGGCAACAGAGTGAGATTCTGTCTCAAAAAACCCCGAAAAACAAAATAACGAATTAATGAATGCAAGAAGTAGGTCTTGACAGCAAAGATGCTGTTGACTATCACATACCAGTGTAAAGGCTTTTATTTATGTATGTACTCATTTATTCATTTCTTTATTTTTTGTAGATGACTCTGCTTCATGGGTCAGTGCGGAACACTTATGGGTTTTGGGCAGATACATGGTTCACCTATCGTTTGAAGAAATTACGAAAATTAGTCCTATAGAAGTAAGTTGGAAAAGTACATTTATATGTCACCATTACTAATACACTTGGGGTAAGGTGTATTCTCAAACTCTAATGTTCATCCAGCCAGTCAAGGTGCCTTGGAAATTGTGTACCCTCCTCAGCCCAATAGACCTTGGGCCTCTGAAGAAAACTATTGGAAGAAAGTTTCAAGTGGGCAGTCATGGGATTGTTTTAGTGTGGAAGGGCTAAGAAAAGAAAAAGAATTGTGGACAACTAAGATCACATCTCTGATGTGAGCAAACATGATTTAAAGGGATTGTTGGCTATGAACCAAAAATCATTTAAGGGTATTTTTGTACTGGAGAAGGCCAAGGACAAAAGATATAAAGTTTCCCATCCTTGGGATCATGAACTCAAAGCAAAAGCAAAATGGATTAATAGCTACTTCTATTTATAGCTACTTCTGTTAATAGCTACTTGAGCATGAGCAATGGTTAGATTTTAATTCTAGAGTTTACAGTGGAGAAATACACACATTCTAGGATTACTTAACTCACTAGTCAACCTGTCCCTCTCCTTTTGATGTTGACCCAATGACACTAAAATCCCTTGGGCATCATGATTCTTGAATGCGGTCTCCAAAGAATGCTGCCAACACAAAGGGATTCATGAAGAGACTGTGGGCCTTGCTTCCAATTTTTCTTCTTCTTCTTCTTCTTTTTTAAGTCATATGTGCCCTGACTCTTCTGGCCAGTGAGAGAAGTGTTTGCATCAAATGACTGGCCTGTTCAAGGACCCATTGACCCAGCAATGTGTGGTTATTATGAAACCAGAGGCAGAACGAGCTTTCTCTCTTTTACCTAGGGGGCTGGGAGTATTTCAAGTGTCTTCCGATTTTTATAACCCGCAGTCCTAGAATTAACCCCGCACCCCACTGCCATTTACTCTCTCAATGTAGAGTTGCTTTGAGTAGGTAACAGCTTAAATTCTTAGAAAGCTGAGCCCCCTAGAGGAAATTTCTAAGGTCAAGCACTCATTTGCAACTTTTTATTCGCTAAAAATGTAGAGAAGGGAGAAGTCAAGAATAACACTGCTAAAAGGGAATTTTATTTTATTTTATTTGTTTATTTATGAAATGGAGTCTCGTTCCGTCGTCCAGGCTAAAGTGCAGTGGCGTGATCTCAGCTCACTGCAACCTCCTTCTCCCAGATTCAATTGATTCTCCTGCCTCAGCCTCTTGAGTAGCTGGGATTACAGGCACATGCCACCATGCCTGGCTAATTTTTATATTTTTAGCAGAGACGAGGTTTCACCATGTTGGCCAGGCTGGTCTTGAACTCTTGACCTCAGGTGATCTGCCTTGCCTCAGCCTCCCAAAGTGCTGGTATTACAGGTGTGAGACACCGCACCCAGCCTAAAAAGGAATTTTATATGGACAAAGAGTACGATCCACAAAGGAGAGACAACTTTATGAGCCCCTTTGAGCACAGCATAATACTGTCTCAAAATATAGAATGTGCTGGCTGCCGTGGCCCATGCCAGTAATCCCAGCACTTTGGGAGGCCAAGGCGGGAGGATCACTTGAGCCCAGAAGTGCAAGACCAGCCTGGGCAACATAGTGAAACCTCATCTCTACAAAAAAATTTAAAAATTAGCCAGGTGTAGTGGTGTGTGCCTGAGGTCTCAGCTACTTGGGAGGCTGAGGTGGGAGGATCACTTGAGCCCAGGAGGTCGAGGCTGCAATAAGCCATGATCACACCACTGCACCCAAGCCTGGGTAAAAGAGTGAGACTGTGTCTTGGCCGGGCGCAGTGGCTCACGCCTCTACTCCCAGCACTTTGGGAGGCTGAGGCGGGTGGATCATGTGAGGTCAGGTGTTCAAGACCAGCCTGGCCAACATGGCGAAACCCCGTCTCTACTAAAAATACAAAAATTAGCCGGGCATGTTTGCACATGCCTGTAATCCCAGCTACTCAGGAGGCTGAGGCAGGAGTATCACTTGAACCCGGGAGGCTGAAGTTGCAGTGAGCTGAGATTGTGCCACTGCACTCCAGCCTGGGTGACAGAGCGAGACTCCATCTCAAAAAAATAAAAATAAAAATAAAAATAAAAACAAAAATAAAATAAAAAGAGTGAGTCAGTGTCCCCCCAAAATTATATATATAATTTATAATCTGCTAGAAATACAAGGAAGAATAGATAGATATGAGTCCTGTAGTAGTAGAAGACTTGCACGTGGCACCCTTGGACATGTGGGCCAAAAAGGAACAAGAATGTTGGGAATCTGAATAGTATATTTAATAAGTTGAATATATATGCACCAAACTTTGTGTCTTACAAAGAGAACACATACTCTTTTCCATCACCCAAGGGCCATTTATAAACTCATTCATCTATTAAAAAAATTCTGATTCTTCAAAGCAGAAAGTTTGTGGACCACATTCTCTGACCTCCATATAACAAATCTAGAAATAAATGTGCAAAGATTAGCTTTTAAAAAGCCCAGTTTCTCAGATATTAAAAAATAATTCTTTCCTAAAGAATAGTTAGGTTGAGGAGGAAACTAAAGTAGCAGTTACAGACCACTAAGAAATCAATGACAATGAGGCCAGGCATGGTGGCTTACGCCTGTAATCCCAGCACTTTGGGAGGCCGAGGCGGGTGGATCACTTGATGCTGGGAGTTCGAGACCAGCCTGGACAACATGGTGAATCCCCATATCTACTAAAAATACAAATATTAGCCAAGCGTGGTGGTGGGCACCTGTAGTCCCAGCTACTCCGGAGGCTGAGGCAGGAGAATTGCTTGAACTCAGGAGGTGGAGGTTGCAGTGAACTGAGATCATGTCACTGCACTCCAGCCTGGGCGACAGAGTGAGACTCCATCTCAAAAAAAAAAAAAAAGAAAAGAAAAAAAGACATCAATGACAATGAGAACCAGGAGGTGTATCCAAGTGTCCATGATGGGGCACAGTGCAGACCACCAGGGTGGGGCCACACTGGGCCACTTCCACCCTCCTCACTGATATTCTCGTCCTTGTCCACCAACTAGATTGGGCTGTTTATCAGCTATGACAACGCCACCAAGCAGCTGGACATGGTCTATGACATCACACCTGAGCTGGCCCAGGCGTTTCTGGAGAGGATCAGCTCCTCCAACTTTAACATGAGGAATACCTCCACCATCCACAGGCAAGCGCATGAGCTCTGGGCCTTGGAGCCCTTTCCCAAGATGTGATCTAAGCATCAGAATTCTCTGAGCAGCAAAACACCCAGGGAGGGAAGGGAGGTGGCTGGTCCATCTCTTTGAATAGTCCCATATTTCTCTGTGCATGTGAGGAGAGGTGTCTGCAACTTTTTTTATGAAGAGGTTATGAAGCTGGGTGAAAGGATAAATGCTTTCTGAGCATCTCCTGTGTGCCAGGCATTTTATGCAACCTTATCAAGTGCTAATTCTGTCTCTCAGCACAGAAATGAAACATTTTAAATACTCAGGACTGGGTCCTGTTCCAAAGTGAATGTGTGATTTCCGTTTAAGTTGAGTCAAGTGTTGGAAATAACTCATGGGTCCCCATATATGAGAACCGCTTGTTATCAGACTCTTAGCTGGGGAGCCCCTGGATGAGATCAGCTCTAGAATTTAGTGACTGTAATGTGATCCTCCCTAAAACCATTCCCAGCAGGGGAGGAGGGACAGGAACTCTACATTCCAGGGGTGTCAGGAAGGGAGTGGGCAATGGGAAGGAGGTGGTGAGTACAGCTCAATACTCCCTCCTTTTCCTTTTATTTATTTATTTTTTTGAGACAGAGTCTTGTCCTGTCACCCAGGCTGGAGTGCAGTGATGTGACCTTGGCTCACTGCAACCTCCACCTCCTGGGTTCAAGCAATCCTCATGCCTCAGCCTCCAGAGTAGCTGGGACTACAGATGTGTGCCACCATGCCCAGCTAAATTTTTTGTATTTTCAGTAGAGATGGGGTTTTGCCATGTTGGTCAGGCTGGTCTCAAACTCCTGACCTCTTGAACTGCTGACCTCAGGTGGTCTGCCTGCCTTGGCCTCCCAAACTGCTGGGATTACAGGCATGAGCCACCACGCCTGGCCCATTCAATCCTGTTTTTTTTTTTTTTTTTTTGAGACAGAGTCTCACTTTGTTGTCCAGGCTGGAGGGCAGTGGTGCAATACCAGCTCACTACAACCTCCACCTCCAGATTCAAGAGATCCTCCTGCCTCAGCCTCCCAAGTAGCTGGGATTACAGGCGTGTGCCACCACACCCAGCTAATTTTTGTATTTTTAGTGGAGACTGGGTTTCGCCATGTTGGCCAGGCTGGTCTCAAACTCCTGACCTCAAGTGATCCACCCATCTTGGACTTCCAAAGTGCTGAGATTACAGGCGTGAGCCACTGTGCTGGGCCATCATTCAATCCTCTTGTGTCCGTCTCTCAAGGTCTTATTATTGCCACACTGCTCCCATCCCATATTACCTTAAGGTTTTTCAAATGAGCCACTCTTAGGGAATGTACTCATAGGAAACAATTACATCTGTTTCACCTACCTTTAGTAATTTTCACTTATTAGCATGTGTCTCATTTTTCTATGGTTTCACACACACAAAAATAGCCTCATGATTAAGAACATGGGACCTCGAGCCAGACTTCGTGGCTTAATCCTTCCCTGCTGCTTACTAATGGTGTGATCTTTGCTATTTTTACATCACCTCTCTATACTTCCGCTTCCCCATCTGTAAAATGGGAGATAAAAATATGCCTACTGCATTAAGGTCTTTGTAGGGATTTGCACACTTGACACATAGTAAGTGCTCAATGAATAATATTTTTTCTTTTTATTTATTTATTTATTGAGACGGAGTCTCACTCTGTCGCCAGGCTGGAGTGCAGTAGCACAATCTCGGCTTACTGCAACCTCTGCCTCCTGGGTTCAAGTGATTCTCCTGCCTCAGCCTCCCAAGTAGCTGGGACTACAGGCACACGCCACCACGCCCAGCTAATTTCTGTATTTTTAGTAGAGACGGGGTTTCACCATGTTGGCCAGGATGGTCTTGATCTCTTGACCTTGTGATCCACCCGCCTCGGCCTCCCAAAGTGCTGGGATTAGAGGCATGAACTACCACGCCAAGCCTATTTTTCTTTTATAATTTATTTTTTTAAATTGATAAATAAAAATTATATCTATGGTGTGCAACATGTTTTGAGATATATATTCATTGTGGAATGGCTAAATCAAGCTAATTAAGTTATCATTACCTCACATACTTTTTTTGCGGTGAGAACACTTAAAATCTACTCTTAGCAATTTTTGAGTATATGATACATTGTTATTAACTGTAGTCAGCATGTACAATAGATCTCCAGAACCTATTTTCCTATTTAACTGAAACATTGTGTCCTTTGTCCAAGTCTCTCCAACTCCCTTCCCACCTCCAGCCCCTGGTACCAACCATTCTAAGGCTCTGCTTCCATGAGTATGACGTTTGTTTATTTGTTTTTCAGATTCATAATATAAATGAGGTCATACAGTATTTGTCTTTCTGTGCCTAGCTTATTGCACTTAGCATAAGATCCTCCAAGTTCATCCATGGGGTCCCATATGATAGAATTTCCTTCTTTTTCAAAGCTGAAGAGCATTCCATTGTGTATCCACCAAATTAAAAAAAAAATCCATTCATCCACTGACGTGTTGGACACTTAGGATGATTCCATGTCTTGGCTGTTGTGAATAGTTATTCTCAACGTGGTTATTAACGTTCAGCCCTCACTTCCCCTGAGTCTTCTTTACTCGAAGTTAAGCAGATCTCTTTTCCTCATGAGACACACTTTCAAATCTTTTCCCTGGACCTGGCAGCTCTCCTGTGGGCATGTCTGAATATGTCAATATCGCTCTGAGAGGGTGGAGCCAGGCTGACTGTGGTCAACTAGGTAGTCTTCATTCTAACTCTAAGAGCATTCATTAATGAATGAGTGCTTGGTTTCCACCAGGATGTATGCAAATCAGTTGGTATACCACTTCTCATTTAACTTTCACAATCATCCTCTTTCTTTCACTCATGTTTATTATGATGTGCTACGATGAACAAAGAAAACCTCCCATTTATTAGAGGCTCAGAGAGGGAGAGGCACCCTGTCTCTGTACAGTATGGGAGTACAGAGTGTGCACTGCAGAACTGTGTATAGCGGCCTCACAGAGAAGTTAAGTAACTTGGTGGAGAGCAAACATCTCACAGAGCTGGGCTTCAAACTGCAGTAGGCCTGAATCAATGCTCTTAATGATTAGAAACATTGCTCTCAGTTATACCAGGGTTCCAATCTCACTTCTGCCCTTCCATTGTTTTCCTCCAGTCTTTTTTGTTTTCCTTCTGAAATCTTTGCATCATCTGGGTGGGTACCAGAAGGCATCCTAGAAACAGATCTCTGCCTCAGAGAATCCCTCAGGGTGAGATCAGCTCTAGAATTTAGTGATTGTAATGTGGAAAATGGGGAGTTTTCTGTGGCTACCGGCACCTTTCTTTCCTTATTCCCTTTATTCATCCCAGGTGGAGAGATGGCATAGGTGGATGGATCTACATTTAAGTCCCAGCTCCACCGACTTGCCTTGGACAAATCAAATCTCAGTTTCCCCATCTGTGAAATGGGGCTAATGAGAGCACCTGCCTTGTAGGGTTGCTGTAATGAGATAATGCAGGTAAACGGCTCAGTGCAAGACCTGATAAGTGGTAGCTGCTATTAATATAATCAAGACCCCATTGGTTTGGACTGGGGAGGGGGTGTCGTGTCCACCAGCTCTCAGCGCTCTGTTATGGAACCAAACTGGGTCTGTTTGCCCATGCGCAATGGAAAACCAAACACTGAAGCACTAGGTTTTTGTAGAGAGAAACGGTTACTGTGAATCAACTGCCAAGGAGACAGAAGACAGTGCTCAAATCTGTGTCTCTGAGCTGGGGACTGGGGCAGGTTTTATAGGCGGAGGGTAATGAGACTTGATCTGATTGGGTCTTGCTACAAGGTGATGCTGGGAGGTGTGATCTGATTGGATCATGCCATGAGGTGATGCCAGGACTCATTCTGATTGGATCGTGGACCATGCCATGTGGTGTCCACTTCATAATTCAGCCCCCATTCCTTGGTCTCGTCTGAGCAGTTAGGTTCCGCCTGTGGTTGCACATTTGGTTCATCTGAGGATGTTCAGGTTATGTGACCTTCAACCTGGGAGTCCGTGGCAACTGAAAAACAACTCACCATTTTATTACACAAAATTGAACCAGAATGGGCTGGTTCTGCGGTTACACCTCCACCACCATCCCTCCTCTTCTCACACAGGCTGGGGCTGCTGGTTTGTTTCTACAATGACCTGGAATTGCTGGATGCCACTGTGGCTCAAGTCCTGCTTTACCAGATGATCAAGTGCAGCCACCTGAGGGGCTTCCAGGCTGGCGTCCAGAAGGTACAGCTGGGGTGCAAGGCCCTGAGGCCTCTGCCTCAGTGTCACTAGCCAGAGAAATGGGGAGAACAGCCTAGCTTAGCCTTTGGGAGAAAACACACAGCATTAGTCGGGATTTAAGTCCAGTCACAGCAGATGGCATCTCAAATACTGAGGTAAGTGTAACATCGAAGCCCAGACAGAAAATAGCAAAGGAACAGACCCTGGGGAGATCAAAATTTAATCAGAAAGCTGTCTCAGCCAGGCGCGGTGGCTCATGCCTGTAATCCCAGCACTTTGGGAGGCCAAGATGGGAGGATCATTTGAGGCCAGGAGTTTGATACCAGCCTGGTCAACATCATGAGACCCTTGTCTCTGCAAAAAATACAAAAAAATGGCTGGGCACGGTGGTTCACACCTGTAATCCCAGCACTTTGGGAGGCCAAGGCAGGCAGATCACCTGAGGTCAGTTTGAGACCAGCATGGCCAACATGGTAAAACCCTGTCTCTACTAAAAATACAAAAACAGGCGTGGTGGCATGCGCCTGTAATCCCAGCTACTCAGGAGGCTGAGGCAGGAGAATTGCTTGAGCCTGGGAGGCAGAGGTTGTGGCGAGCTGAGATCGTGCCACTGCACTCCAGCCTGGGTGACAGAGTGAGACTCTGTCTCAAAAGAAAAAAAAAAAAGCCATGTGCCTATAGTGCCAGCTACTTGGGAGGCTGAGGTAGGAGGATCGCTTGAGCCCAGGAGTGCCAGCCTGCAGTGAGCTATGATAGTGACTTTGCACTCTAGTTGGATGACAGAGCAAGACCCTATCTAAAAAAAAGAACAAAAGAAAAGAAAGGGACAGCTACTTCGAACTTAAATATGCATACAGATCACCTGGGGATCTTAAATGCAGATTCTGATTCAGGAGCTCTTGGTTGAGGCCCAGGACTCCCATCTTCCTCTTCTTCCTCCTTCTTCCCTTGGCCTCCCAAAGTGTTTGGATTACAGGTGTGAGCCATTGCGCCCAGCTGACGCTGCACTTCCAACAAGCTTCCAGGTGATTCTGGAACCGCTGCTCTGGTGAGCACACCTGGAGCGGCAGGAGATAAAGCAGTGGTTCTCAAACCTGCCTCTAGATTAGTAACATCCCTGCCAGGTGCCACCCTCAGAGAATCTGATGTTATTGTTCTGGGGTGTGGCCTGAGGTATGGCCTGATTTTAATGCTTCTCAGGTGATTTCAATGCAGCCAGGATTGAGAACACTGGATTGCAGGGTGGTTATGAGTTCCCAAGACCAGATGAGCAAACACGCTCTCTCTCATTTTCCTTCCTCTCCATCTCTCTCTTCTTCCTTCCAGTCAAGTCTCAATTCTACCCCCTTCCATTCCACTTTTTGTGGCCCTTTTCAATTTGCTTAAAATCGAAACGATGACATGAAAATAATATTAAATGAAATTTTGATAAAGCCATCAATAATTTCACAGCAGTTTCCCACACATCACCATAAAGTCCCCAAACACATTTGACATTTGAGAGTGTGGTCATCTATTTTGGTCAGCGCATCTTTTTTTTTTTTTTTATAAGATTCATTTTTTTTTTTTTTTGAGTTTCATTCTGTCACCCAGGCTGGAATGCAGTGGCATAATCTCAGCTCACTGCAACCTCCACCTTCCGGGTTCAAGTGGCACAATTTCAGCTCATTGCAACCTTCGCCTTGCCTCAGCCTCTGGAGTAGCTGGGACTACAGGTGCATGCCACCATGCCCGGCTAATTTTTTGTGTTTTTAGTAGAGATGGGGTTTTACCATGTTGACTAGGCTGGTCTTGAACTCCTGACCTCAAGTGATCCACCTGCCTTGGCCTCCCAAAGTACTGGGATTACAGGCGTCAGCCACCGAGCCTAGCCTGTGAATGCATATTTTTGTTTCCAAGGAAAAGAATCCGTCCTAAGCAAGCTCAAGCAAAAATAAGAAGATAAATGTATTTTAAGGCCCAGGGGTCTCAACATGTGGCAGCCCTGACCAAGGAGAAGGTGGCATGCAATTAGATACGAGGGAGCCCTTTGGGATCATCTAGCTCAGTTGTTCTCAAACTGGAGGGTGCATCTAAATCACAGGGAGGGCCTGTTCAAATACAGCTTGTGGCAGCGCTCCAGTTTTGTGGAAGACAATTTTTTGGCATCAGGGACCGGTTTTGTGGAAGACAATTTTTTTCCGTGGACTGGGGCCGGGGGATTGTTTCAGGATGATTCAAGTGCATGACATTTATTGTGCTCTTCCTTCCTTCCCTCCCTTCCTCCCTCCCTCCCTCCCTCCCTACCTTCCTTCTCCTTCCTTTTCTTTCTTTCTTTCTTTCTTTCTTTCTTTCTTTCTTTCTTTCTTTCTTTCTTTCTTTCTCTTTCTTTCTCTTTCTGTCTCTCTCTTTCTTTCTTCCCTCCTTCCTTCCTTTCTTTCTTCTCTTTCTCACTCTCTCTCTTTCTTTCTTTCCTCCTTCCCTCCCTCCCTCCCCCTCCCCCCCCCATCCCTTTCCCCTTCCCCTCTCCTCTCCTTTCTTGATGGAGTGTCGCTCTGTTGCCAGGCTGGAGTGCGGTAGCACGATCTTGGCTCACTGCAACCTCTGCCTCCCAGGTTCAAGCAATTCTCTGCCTCAGCCTCCTGAGTAGCTGGGACTACAGGTGCACGCCACCACGCCCAGCTATTTATTGTATTTGTAGTAGAGACGGGGTTTCACCATGTGGCCAGGATGATCTCATTCTCTTAACCTCGTGATCCGCCTGCCATGGCCTCTTAAAGTACTGGGACTACAGGCGTGAGCCACCACGCCCGGTCTGTGCACTTTATTTCTATTATTACATTGTAATATATAATGAAATAACTATAGAACTCACCATAATGTGAAATCAGTGGGAGCTCTGAGCTTGTTTTCCTGCAACTAGACGGTCCCATCTGGGGGTGATGAGAGACAGTGACAGATCATCAGGCATTAGATTCTCATAAAGAGCGCACAGACTAGGTCCCTTGCATGCACAGTGCACAATAGGGTTTGCTCTTAGGAGAATCTAATGCCGCTTCTGATCTGGCAGGAGGCAGAGCTCAGGCGGTAATGCTCACTGGCCTGCTGCTCACCTCCTGCTGTGGCTGGTTCCTAACAGGCCAGGGTCCCGGTGGTCCCCATCTGTGACCCGGAGTCTGGGGATCCCTGGATTTCGGAGCCCCACCCAGTCTCTGATTCAGGAGGTCCGGGAGCAGCCTGGCAATCTGCGTTTCTAACAAGTTCCCAGGTGTTGCAGATGCCGCTGGGTGTGCTCCACACTTTGGGAGCTGCCACTGTAGTCCACCCCTTCGTTTTACAGATGTGGAAACTGATTTCTAGGTAAGGCAGTTGCCGAACTTAGAGAACCCAGGCGCTTTGACAGTTGTTTCTTCTACTTCACTCTGCTGCCCCCCAGTGGCTATTTCAATATTGCCAGAAACCCGTTTTGTGCACCTGCCTGAAATGACTACGTTATTACGTAAATTCGGGTGTTAAAATATGAACCATTCTTGTTTTTTGTTACAGAGCTCATTGTATAGTAGGTGACTTTATCACATTCCTTACCGAAAGCAGCTGTAACGCACACTTTACTATCATTAGGCAGGCATATTGCAATAAAATAATTATTAAAATGATCATAGAAATGTGCAAAGAGGTGCAAGAGATAATTTTAAGAAGAGTAAATTGTGCTTCTGTTCATATTACAACTCTGTAAAAACTATGTAGTGTCTCTATATTTATAAAGGTATAAGAAATCTTGGAAGCATATACACCCAATTGCTAATCATGGTTATTTTTATGTGGTAGGATGTTCAGGAGACTTTTACTTTCTTGTACTGTGAAGAGTTATTTTTGGCTGGATGTGGTGGCTCATGCCTCTAATCCCAGCACTTTGGGAGGCTGAGGCATGTGGATTACATTAGGTCAGGAGTTTGAGACCAGCCTGGCCAACATGGTGAAACCCTGTCTCTACTAAAAATACAAACATTAGTGTGGTGGTGGGTGCCTGTAATCCCAGCTACTCAGAAGACTGAGGCAGGAGAATCGCTTGAACCCGGAAGGTGGAGGTTGCAGTGTTGCAGTGAGCCAAGACCACACCATTATACTCCAGCCTGGGTGACAAGAGCAAAACTCTGTCTTAAGAAAAAAAAAAAAGTTATTTTTACACAGATTATAAATTATCGTGAAAAGGCCCCTGGCTATTTAATGAAAGGAAAACAGCCTGTATATATGGATATAGAGTTCAAGGTCACCAGAGGACAACAGATGCTATAAGAGTGTGGTGTAGTTATAAAAGGAACATTTCTTTCTGACATGGATTAAGGTTGATTTAATAACAAATTAATATTTAAATGAAGTACAAAGGGAATTTTTGGCACATGAAAGCTAAGGCCAGAAGAGGTGTCCTCCGTGTGGTGTCTCACTGTCTGGGCATGGCAGGAGTCCCTTTCCTTCATCGTTTCTGAGCCCAAAAGCTTTGATGGAACAGGGTCAAGGGAGGTGCTGTGGAGTCCTAATAGCCCTGGATATGGTCAGAGGGAGCCACCGCCCTGCTTCCTGTCAACACTCATTCCAGTTTGCTCTCCTTCCAGCTCAAAGCAGAACTCCTGGACATTGCCATGGAGAACCAGACCCTCAATGAGACCCTGGGTTCTTTGTCGGATGCAGTTGTAGGTTTGACCTACAGCCAACTGGAATCCCTCTCCCCCGAGGCTGTGCACGGAGCCATCTCCACCCTCAACCAGGTCTCAGGTTGGGCCAAGAGCCAGGTCATCATCTTGTCTGCCAAATACTTGGCCCATGAGAAGGTCAGCTGGAGTTTTAAACTCTTTTTTATTCCCCTAAGATGACCTAAGTGTATTAGACCTGCCAGGCTGCCATAAAAATATACTGTAGATTGAGTGACGTAAACAACATAAATTTATTTCTCACAGTTCTGGAGACTGGGAAGTCCAACATCGAGGTGTCAGAAAGGTAGGTTTCATTCTGAGGCCTCTTCTCTTGGCCTGTAGGTGGCCGCCATCTTGCTGTGTGCTCACCTGACCACATGAGAGCAAGCTCTCTGGTGTTGCGTCTTACAAGGAAACTAATCCCATTGGATCAGGGCCCCACCTGACCCTCATTATCTCATGACCTCATCTAACCCTTAAAGGCCTCTTAAAGGTCTCACCTCCCAATGCCATCACATTAGGGGTTAGGACTTTGACATATGAATTCTTGGGAGACACAAATATTTAATCCATAACAATCAGTTATACACACACAGCAGGGGGCAACCAATCAGTAAGAAGATGATGCTGAGGAGGACTGCCTGGGTTCAAATCCTTGCTCTGCCATTTACTAGCTGTGTGACACTAGGCAATTTGCTATTTTCACTTTGACTCAGTTTCTCTATTTGTAATATGTGGACAACAATAGCACTTACTGCCGGGCAAGGTGGCTCACACCTGCAATCCCAGCACTTTGGAAGGCTGAGGTGGGAGGATCACCTGACGCCAGGAGTTTGGGACCAGCCTGATCAACATGGTGAAATCCCGTCTCTACTAAAAATACAAAAATTAGCTGGGCGTGGTGGTGCATGCCTGTACTTCCAGCTACTTGGGAGGCTGAGGCAGGAGGATGGCTTGAACCTGGGAGGCAGAGGTTGCAGTGAGCAGAGATTGTGCCACCACACTCCAGCCTGGGCGACAGAGCAAGACTCCATTTCAAAAAAAATTAAACAACAACAACAACAAATCAGTAGCACTTATCCTGTAGCATTGCTGCGAATATTATGTGAGTTGGTACACATGAAGAAGCTAGACCACCAGGTGACACCACAGAGTAGGAGCTCAAGGGGCATTAGCCATCCCTGAGTGGGATCAACGTGTGGGACTCATCCCAGGATTTTCCTGCCTGCTGTTAAGCTGCTATTAGGTTGATGCAAAAAGTAATTGCGGTTTTTGCCATTACTTTGGGATTAGGGATGATGCTATTTTATTCCAATCTTGGGCTGCAGAGAGGGAACTGTCAGGCAGACAGTCCTCTTTGGTGGGGACAGGAGTCTTAATCTGTGTTCTTGCTGCTCCTGGGGTGGAAAATGGACATTCTTTTGGGGACAATTAATGTCCCTGGGTTGGGTCCAGTCCAGAGGGCTCCAAATCTGGGAGACTTGAGTTCTAAGCATTTTGGTGTCATCTAATTTTTTTTTTGATACGGAGTCTTGCCCTTGTCGCCCATGCTGGAATGCAATGGCACAACCTCAGCTCATTGCAACCTCCGCCTCCGGGTTCAAGCAATTCTCCTGCCTCAGCCTTCCGAGTAGCTGGGATTATAGGCACCCACCACCACACCCAGCGAATTTTTGTGTTTTTAGTAGAGACGAGGTTTCGCCATGTTGGCCAGGCTGGTCTCGAACTCCAGACCTTGTAATCCGCCTGCCTCAGCCTCCCAAAGTGCTGGGATTACAGGCATTAGCCACCGTGCCTGGCTTTTGGTGTCCTTCTCGTTTAGTCCACACTCCTGGCCACTTCCCAGGATGCAAACTGGCTCACAAGGATTGGATTAGGACCCATTCCAATCAAATAATAATAACAAACATTTGTTTATTTTTGGCTTCTGGATATTAATTTTAATTACTTTGAAACAACATAATTTACTACCAGATGTTTAACAAGCACCCATTATAATTGCTAAACTGTGAATTTAGTTTTAACTGTGTCTGACCAACTATACAAAACTCATCAATTTTTATTTTGACAAAAGGTAGTAGGCTGGGCATGGTGGCTTATGCCTGTAATCCCAGCACTTTGGGAGGCCAAGATGAATGGATCACTTGAGGCTAGGGGTTTGAGACCAGCTGGACAACATGGTGAAACCCTGTCTCTACTAAAAATAGAAAAATTAGCTGGCCATGATGGTGCACACCCGTAATTTCAGCTACTTGGAAGGCCGAAGCAGAAGAATTACTTGAACCCAGGAGGCAGAGGAGGTTGCAGTGAGCCGAGATCATGCCACTGTACTCCAGACTGGGCTGAGCTACAGAGCAAGACTCTGTCTTAAAAAAAAAAAAGAAAAAAGTAGTAGGAATCCCAAAGAATAAAGGAGAGACTACTCCTTAAAGGTCATGTTTACTAACCTAGCACCGTAATTCTAGTGTTAGTACCTCCCATGCAGCTTGAAGGAGGATATGGGAAGAGGTGAAGATGTTGAAAATGTAAGGGGCCCCATTTTGCTTGTTCTAAAGCAAAATACCACAGTGTCTCACAAGGAAGAAAATCACTAGGCCAGGCACGATGGCTCACGCCTGTAATCCCAGCACTTTGGGAGGCCGAGACAGGCAGATCACGAGGTCAGGAGATCAAGACCATCCTGGCTAACACGGTGAAACCATGTCTCTACTAAAAATAAAAAAAAAAAAAATTAGCTGGGCATGGTGGCGGGTGCCTGTAGTCCCAGCTACTCGGGAGGCTGAGGCAGGAGAATGGCGTGAACCTGGGAGGCGGTGCTTGCAGTGAGCCGAGATCGCATCACTGAGGTTGGAAATGAAAACAAAAGCTTTTGATTCAGGTGGTAAAATGAAAACAAAAGCTTTTGATTCAGGCGGTAAAGGGGTTTAAGAGTTATAGAGTAGAATCCATGCATCCAGAAGGCAGTGCTGGAGTCGGCCTCAGGAACTGGGGGGTTTCTTCTTCTTTTTTTGTTTTTTGAGACAGGTTCTCACTATGTTGCCCAGGCTGGAGTGAAGTGATCTGATCTTGGCTCACTTCAGCCTTGACCCCCCAGGCTCAGGTGATCCTCCCACCTCAGCCTCCTGAGTAGCTGGGACCACAGGCACATGCCACTACGCCGGGCTGATTTTTGTATTTTTTTGTAGAGATGGGATTTTGCAATGTTGCCCAGGCAGATCTCAAACTCCTGGGCTCAAGCAATCTACTCGCCTTGGCCTCCCAAAGAGAAGGAGTAGGGAATTTCTTCTTGGCATCCAAGTCTTTTTAAATTTCTTCAAGTTTTTAAAGCTGGGTTTGGTATGTCATGGTTCTGAGCCAGATATATTCCAACCACATTCCCCAAAGTAAATCCAAGTGGGAACTGGAGCAGGATGTCGGTAGAGAGGGCGAGGGAGGGATGAAGGGCAGCTGCAGCTCCGAGGGCTGGTCCTAGCCTGCTTCCTCCATCGCGGGGCCAAGGGAGGGAGGGTGTGGAATAACAAACATTTACTGAACACTTACTATGTGCCAGGTTGTGTTCTAAGTGAATTAATAACTTAATCCAACAATCCTCTGAAGTCAGTAGTGCTGTAGTCTTCATTTTCCAGTTCATTCATGTGAGGTACAGAGTGTGTAAGGGAACTGGAAAAGGCCACGTGAAAGTTACGCAGCTGGGATTGAACCCAGGGCACCTGGCCTCAGAGCCATCTTGTTTAACTCCTGTGCTCACTGTCTCCATTATGGCACCATGACCAATGCCCACGCACTCCCACTTTCTGACTCAGGTACCAGGCCAGCCCATTCATCTGGTCTCTTCTAGCCTCGTGGTGACTTTATGTTGAAGGCTTTGAATCCTTGTTTCTGGACCTTGACTGGGGCTCCATGGGTCCACCTTGACAGTCCTCTCTGAATTTGATTTTAGGGAGTTGAGGGAGACGGTTTTGTTCCCTCCCAGCCCAGGACAAAGTGGTTTGTCTCTTTCCTAATACCCAACTCTTCCTACTGAGGGGTGAGGCCACTTTTACTCAGAAGGCAAGAGGTCAAAAGGTCTTGCCTTCTTTGAAGACAGCATGAGATCACCCATTATACACAGAATAACTAAAGGAACCCACTCAGCTGTCTTTTCATAGAACCAAAGCATGTCCTTGATTATATGGAAAACTATCTAGCATCTTCACTCTAAAGGAAGGAAAAAAAACCCAAGTATAATTTCTTTCTTTCTTTCTCTTTCTTTCTCTCTCTCTCTTTCTTTCTTTCCTTTCTTTCTTTTTTCTTTCTTTCTTTCTTTCCTCCTTCCTTTCTTTCTTTTCCTTTCTTCCTTCCTTCCTTCCTTCCTTCCTTCCTTCCTTCCTTTCTTTCTTTCTTTCTTTCCTTCTCTCTTTCTTTCTCTCTCTTTCTCTCTTTCTCTCTTTCTTTCTCTTTCTTTCTCTTTCTTTCTTTCCTTTCTTTCTCTCTTTCTTTCTTTCTCTCTCTCTCTCTTCTTTCTTTCTTTCTTTCTTTCCTCTCCCTCTCTCTCTCTTTCTTTCTTTCTTTCTTTTCTTTCTGACAGAGTTTTGCTCTTGTTGCCCAGTCTGGAGTGCAATGGTACAATCTCAGCTCACTGCAACCTCTGCCTCCTGGGTTCAAGCAATTCTCCTGCCTCAGCCTCCCAAGTAGCTGGGATTACAGGAACCTGCTACCATGCCTGGCTAATTTTTGTATTTTTAGTAGAGATGGGGTTGCACCATGTTGGCCAGGTGGTCTCGAACTCTTGACCTCAGGTGATCCACCCGCCTGGCCTCTCAAAGTGCTGGGATTACAGGCGTGAGCCACCATGCCTGGCCAACTCTCTTTCTTGATAGAAGGAAGGAAGGCCTGTGGAGGCAGCATCTGTCTGGCTCACTGCTGTGCCCCTAAGGTGTCACCCATCCCTATACTTGGCACATAGATGGGCTGAGTGCACGTTGGAGAGGTGAAAGGCGGGAGCAGAGCCTGACTGCGCAGCCGCTCCTCTTCCAGGTGCTGTCTTTCTACAATGTCAGCCAGATGGGCGCACTGCTGGCTGGGGTCAGCACCCAGGCCTTCTGCAGCATGAAACGCAAGGACATCTCGCAGGTCCTGAGAAGTGCCGTCTCCCAGTATGTATCCGACTTGTCACCTGCCCAGCAGCAAGGTATCCTCAGCAAGGTGAGAGGAAGATGTCTGGTGCTCAGCCACATGTCACAGGGGGTATGTTTTTGGGGTTGGTGAGTGGGCTGTGACTTTGGGCCATGAACCCAGGGCTGGGATTGTCTCAGCTGTTGGTGTCTGGGGTGGCTCTGCCTTCTCCTGGTGGCACACCTTCCTTCCTTTCCAGACGGAGCCCTTCAGTCATGCTGTCATTCTTCCCAGACCCCTTTGTTCTGCCAGACAGTCTAATCTGGAAGACTTTTCTTAAATCAGGTTTCCTGATCTTATAACACTTCAGGTTCAAGTTTTTTTTTTTTTTTTGAGACAGTCTTTCTGTGTTGCCCAGGCTGGAGTACAGTGGTATGATCATAGCTCACCACAGTCTCCTGGGCTCAAGCAATCCTCCTGCCTCAACCTCCTGAGTAGCTGGGACCACAGGCATACATCACCATGCCTGGCTAATTTTTTTAACTTTTTGTAGAGACATGGTCTTGCTATGTTGCGCAGGCTAGTCTCAAACTCCTGGCCTCAAGCCACCATGTCTGGCTAATTTATTAATTTTTTGTAGAGATGGAGTATTGCTATGTTGCCCAGGCTGGTCTCCAACTCCTGGCCTCAAATAATCCTTCTGCTTCGGCCTCCCAAAGTGCTGGGATTATAGGTGTGAGCCACTGTGCCTGGCCTAAAATTTGTTTTTCAAATCTAAAAATAAACCCAAAGTCCTAGGGTGCATCTGAAAGCCCTTTTCATGGTCCACAGCCATGTCCGTATTCTGTTTTTTTGTTTGTTTGTTTAGATAGGGTCTTGCTCTATTACCCCAGCCAGCATGCAGTGGCGTGATCTTGGTTCACTGCAGCCTCCACCTCTGGGGCTCAAGGGATCCTCCCACCTCAGCCTCCCAAGTAGCTGGGACTACAGGCCTGTGCTGCTCACTAATTTTTGTTTTTCTAGAGATGGGGTCTTGCCATGTTGCCCAGGCTGGTCTCAAACTCCTGGGCTCAAGTGATCTACCTGCCCCGGCCTCCTACAGTGCTGGGATTACAGGTGTGAGCCACCATGCCTGGCCCCTTTTTTACTTGTCAGGGAGTCTTTTGACATCTTGCTCTATCAGGTCCGTTCTGTCCAATGGCAAAATCTGTTAAGAAACCAAAACTTGGCCAGGTGAGGTGGCTCACGCCTGTAATCCCAGCACTTTGGTAGGCCAAGGTGGGCGGATCATGAGGTTAGGAGATTGAGACCAGCCTGGCCAACATGGTGAAACCCCGTCTCTACTAAAAATACGAAAAATTAGCCGGGTGTGGTAGTGCACTTCTGTAGTCCCAGCTACTCGGGAGGCTGAGGCAGGGAAATTGCTTGAACCCAGGAGGCGGAGACTGCAGCGAGCCAATATCATGCCACTGAATTCCAGCCTGGCGACAGAGGGAGATTCCCATCTCAAAAAAAGAAAAAAACCCTAAAACCTAAGGGGTTTGGCCTAAAACACCAATACCTTGCAGATAGCAAGTAGCCCATACAGTTAAAATAAAGAAATAAGGAGCACGGGTTTTGGAATCAGACAGACTTGGGCTTGAATGTCACTTACTGACTTTCAACTCATCACACTTTAAGTCTCTGTTTCCTCACCTGTGAAATGGGGATGATGCTACTCTCCACTTCCTAGGGTTGCTGAGCGGGTCTGATGGATTTTATTGCCTGTGATGTAGTGCCTGGCCCTTCCTCAAAGCTCAATGCATTTTTTACAATGTTGTTTTGTTGCTTCTCGCTTCTGGCAGATGGTCCAAGCGGAAGACACTGCCCCAGGCATCGTGGAGATACAAGGGGCTTTCTTTAAGGAAGTGTCTCTCTTTGATTTAAGGAGGCAACCTGGATTCAACTCTACAGTCCTGAAGGATAAGGAACTTGGAAGGAGCCAGGTATTACCATGAAACACAGATCGATCCTGTATTTCTGACTATCTGTCTTGTGAGAATGAATGGTCTGTTTTAAGGTTAATTTGATAAAAGAAATTTATTTCTGTGGGATTAGTATAGGAGGCAGAATAGTATAGTGTTAAGAATTTGGACAGGCTGAGGCAGGAGGATCGCTTGACGCCAGGAGTTCGAGACCAGCCTGGGCAACATAGCAAGCAAGATCCTGTCTCTACAAAAAGTTAAAAAATTAGCCAGGCATGGTGATGCATGTCTGTGGTCCCAGCTACTCAGGAGGCTGAGACAGGAGGATCACATGAGCATGGGAGTTCCGCAATGCAGTGAGTTATGGTCATGCTACTCCACTCCAGTCTGGGCGACAGAGCGAGACCCTGTCTCTTAAAAAAAAAGTTAGACAAGACCTGAGCATGAATTCTGGCTCCCACTTATTTATTAGCTTTGGAGAAGTTCCTTATATGGCCTCAGTTTTCTCATGTGCGAAATGGGGATAATTTTGATAATAAAATGAGGGTCACTGATACATGCCACCTGGGCTGTGTACTGTAAGTATTCGCGGCTATTATGTGTATTATTAAATGCTGTGAGCATTGAGGCCGCTTGGGGGGATGGTGCTGTTGAAGTGGATGCTCTGCCTTAGTACCATCGTTGACTACCTTTGTATTCAGTCAGTCTTCATTACATGCACCCAGCAAATGTTTATCAAGCACAGCCCAACAGTGCGCCAGGCACTGCTCACAGTGCTGAGTGTGCAAAAGTGAATGAAACGACACAAATCCCTGTCTGTTCCAGGCGCTCTTGCTCAGGGTCTCTCATGAGGCTGGATGATGTCCTGCTGATCTATTGCTGTGTCACAAACCACCTCTAAATTTAGTGACAGTGGCAACCGTTTTATTTTATTCTGTTTTATTTTTTGAGACAGAGTCTCTCTCGGTCACCCAGGCTGGGGTGCAGTGGCACAATCTTGGCTCACTGTAACCTCCTCCTCCTGAGTTCAAGCAATCCTCATGGCTCCACCTCCTGAAGTAGCTGGGATTACAGGCACACACCATCATGCCCGGCTAATTTTTGTATTTTTTATAGAGACAGGGTTTCACCATGTTGGCCAGGCTGGTGTCGAACTCTTGACCTCAAGTGATCTGCCCGCCTTGGCCTCCCAAAGTCCTGGGATTACAGGCGTGAACCAGGGCACCCAGCCAATAGTTTTATTTTGGAAAATACATTCTGCCACCGAAGACTTCAAGATACTTTTGTCTCGGCCATTGAGCTGATGGGATTGCTGTTTCCTGAGATGGGGAAGACCATGGGAGGGTCCCAGAATTTGACCCTGAGCCCAGGAAAATCTCTGGGGCCACAAACAGTGTCCAGAACTTTCCTCCATCGTCCATTCCTTTTGCCTGGGCTTTTGTGCTGCTTTTTGGCTCTCAGCTACCATGTCTAATGCTAGCTCATAATTTATTCTGTCTGGGGAATGATACTCAAAGTTTCAGAGTCTATAAAATAGACAAATGTAGTACTTGATTGCGTCTGCAAGTTAGGGATTCTGTAAAATTATGTTCCTTAAAACAAATGACTCCCCTGTCTACTAGGCATTGTTCTAGAGTGCTCATTGGGGGGTGGTTTGAAGACAGTGCATGCTGCTAGCTGCAGGTACTTTATTGCTGGTGCTTTCTAGCCCATCCTGGTTTATTCTGGGATGCCTGGTGTTCAGAACCTGGCAGGTGCACATGTGAATAGGAGACACAGGGAGTTCTCAACTGGTCAGCAGCTTCCTAAAGCACAGGAAGTAAAACTCCAGCCCTGCCACCAATGTCTTTGCCTCTCATCTGCCTCATGGGGTGTAGAGAATCATCTGGAGTGTGAGAGTGGGGCTCTGGAATTACCTTGACACTGGTTCAAATCCAGGCACTGCCACTTAGCAATGGTCTAGTCCTAGGTAACTCACATAGCCTGTTAAGCCTCCATTTCCCCATCTGTAAAATGGGATTGTGGAATGCCTTCCTGATAGGGCCTCACAGTGTTGGGCACACGCTGAGTGTGCCATCAGTGCTAACGATCATTCTCTTCTTGCAGGCTCTGTTCCTGTATGAGCTTCTGTTAAAGACCACCAGAAGGCCTGAGGAGCTTTTGAGGTAGGAAAATGTAACTCGGCCTGGGTGCTGAACAGGCCTTTCAGAGCCTTCTGCCAGAGCAGCCTACTTTTCCAGGTGGGAGAGTTAGGCAGTCACATCTGTAGCTTGTATCTGATCATATCTGCCTTCTCTCGCTCTTTCTTTCCTCTCCTCCTCACTTCCTTCCTCTCCCGAGTGCCTTGTTTTGTTTTCTAGTGCTGGGCAGCTGGTCAAAGGCGTGACCTGCTCACACATTGATGCCATGAGCACTGACTTCTTTCTGGCCCATTTCCAGGATTTTCAGAACAACTTCGCCCTGCTTTCACCCTATCAGGTACCGTTAAAGCATTTTCCAGCTTCTAATTCTCTCTCCCTACCCCAGTCACTGGGCCTGGATTGGCTGTGGCATCTAAAGATCTTTATGCCAGAATCATTCAGACGCAAGTGATGACTTAGGGCCAAAGATTGAGCCAGGTTTTTTCCAGTTTCTTTTTAAACAGCTCCAAATACCCACATCACTACAGCCAAAGAATCAACAGATTGGTTATTCCATACTCAAATTTAAGCCTTAAAATATATTCATAAGGGACAGTATTTTGTGTGTTCATAATTATGTTCCCGTGGGATGGAAGGTACTCCTTCAGCTAATATTCCAACACTTTCCAGGAGTAGCTGTGAATGCAAACAGTACTCTGAGAACATTTTCTTTCTCACTTAAAACTTCATTTTCTAAAAGGTTATGGAGGCTATTTAACCTTTGGGGAGACTAGAAGCAGTAACTGATTTCTTTTTTTTTTTTTTTTGAGACACAGTCTTGCCCTGTCACCCAGGCTGGAGTACAGTGGCATAATCATGGTTCATTGCAGCCTCAACCTCCTGGGCTCAAGAGATCCTTCCGTCTCAACTTCTTGAGTAGCTGGAACTAAAGGCACACACCACCATGCCTGGCTAATTTATTTATTTTTTGCAGAGATAGGGTCTTGATATGTTGCCCAGGCTGGTCTCAAATTCCTGGGCTCAAGTGATCCTCCTGCCTCAGCCTCTCAAAGTGCTGGGATGACAGGCATGAGCCACTTCACCCAGCCAGTGACTGATTTTTCAGTGTCTAAGCTAGTAAACACAGGCCTTACAGCATTTGAACTTTTGGTGTGAACCGCTGGCTTACAGACTCCTGTAATGGATATTAAAAAGCACCTTCTCAACTCTGGCCTTGTGTTTCAGACCAGAATGAAGAATTTCCAAAGAGTAAATTATCTCCCAGAAAACCAGGAAGCATAGAGTGCTTGGTGTATAATCCTTCAAGATCATTACAGGAATATGCAAAGTTTTAATGAAGCTCTCTCATTCCCTTGGACTGTTAATTCTGTTAGTGATTCTCAAAGTTGAGCTTGCATCAGCATTGTGTGGAAGGCTGTAAAAACACAAATTGGGGGCCCCACTCCCAGAGTTTTACATATAGTAGGTAAGGGGTGAGGCCTAATACTTTGCATTTCTAATCAGTTTGCTGGTACAAACCACTGAACTATATTAAAAGACCTGCCCAGGTGGGCAAGCCAATAACTGAGCAAATGGATGGAAGCTAGACCTGCTTTGAGGAAGACCTACATGTTCGAGCAGGAAGAGTTGCCCCAGTGAAGGTGCTTTCCTAGGCTTCCAGCTCTCAGAGCCTTCAAATACCAGTTAATTAGAAAATTTGCCTTTCTCGTTTATATTTTTACTAAAACACATTATTATTATTATTATTATTATTATTATTATTATTATTATTATCATTATTATTATTATTGAGACAGGACCTTGCTCTGTTGCCCAGGCTGGAATGCAGTGGTTCAATCTCACTGCAACCTCCGCCCCTGGGTTCAAGTGATTCTCCTGCCTCAGTCTCCTGTCTAACTGGGATTCTAGGTGCGCACCACCACACCTGGCTAATTTTTGTATTTTTAGTAGGGACGGGGTTTCATCATGTTGGCCAGGCTGGTCTTGAACTCCTGACCTCCAGTGATCCACCAGCCTCAGCCTCCTAAAGTGCTGGGATTACAGGCATGAGCCACCACGCCCATTCTGAAAACACATAATTATTACACACACACACACACACACACACACACACACACACACACACAAACAACCAATACAGAGAAAGTAAAATTTCCCCAAATTTTCCCCAGAGCAGTTGTTCTCAACAGAGTACTGTTTTGCCCTCTTAGGGGACTTTTGGCCATGTCTGCAAACATTTTTGGTTGTCACAACCGGAGCAGAGCTACTGGCCTCTAGTGGGTAGAGGCCAGGGGTGGAGCTCAACATCCTACAATGCGTAGGACAGCACCACTACACAGAGGTACCTGGTCGAAAATGTCAATAATACTGAGGTGAGCAACTGTGTTTCAGAGGTAACTATAAAGAACAGTTTGCTATTACTTTTGAGAGTTTTCTTTTATATATAAAATATAGGCCGGTCACAATGACTCATGCCTGTAATTCTAGCACTTTGGGAGGCTGAAGTGGGAGGTTCATTTGAGGATAGGACTTTGAAACCAACCTGGGAAACATACAGCAAGACTCTAACTCTACAAAAAAATACAAAAATTAGCCAAATATGGTGGCACATGCCTGTAGTCCTAGCTACTTGGGAAACTGAGGCAGGAGGATCACTTGAACCCGGGAGTTCAAGGTGGCAGTGAGTTATGATGGAGTCACTGCATTTCAGCCTGGGTGACAGAGTGAGACTCTATCTCTAAACCAAATTTTAAAAAAGTATCTATATGTAATATAAAAACCACAAGTGGGCCGGGCACAGTGGCTCACGCCAGTAATCTTAGCACTTTAGGAGGCCGAGATGGGTGGATTACTTGAGGTTAGGAGTTCGAAACCAGCCTGGCCAACCTAAAAAAATTTTTAAAAAATACAAAAAAAAAAACCCCAAAAAACCCACTAAAAATACAAAAAAAAAAAAAATTAGCCGTGCATGGTGGGGGGTGCCTGTAATCCTAGCTACTCGGGAGGCTGACGCAGGAGAACTGCTTGAACCTGGAAGGCGGAGGTTGCAGTGAGCTGAGATTACACCACTGTACTACAGCCTAGGTGACAGAGTGAGACTGTCTCAAAAAAAAAACAAAAAAAAAAAACACAAGTGAGCTCATACTATACATGCTGTTCTGTTTATATATATAGCTAAGATATATATATGTATAAAACTATATATATAGTTAAGCTATATATAACTATGTATAATTAAATATAGCTATATATAGTTAAATATAACTGTATAACTATATGTATAGTTAAGCTATATATATAGTTTAACAGAATTGTGTGTACAATATGAGCCCATTTGTGGTTTTTACATTATATATAATATAACTATATATATGCACATGCATAAAATAGCACAGACATCATTTAGTGTTAATATATATATAAATCTACCTTATTAAAACAAAGTAGGTGCACTATTCCATTGTATGTATATACCATAATTTACTTAACCAATCCCCTGCTGAGGAACATTAAAATTATATCTCCCTTTCTTGCAGATATAAGCAAAATTGCGATGAGCATTCTCACACTTAAATGTCCGTGTTCATGTTTGTTATTACCTCAGCGTTCTCATCCATAAACTGGGCACAGTAGTGGTACTTACATCATAGGGTGCTCTATTGCATAAATGAACACGTATGAAGCACTTAGAATAGTACCTGGCACATGGAAAGCACTGTGTTTGTTCTTCTTCTTACTGCATTAAATCCCCAGAACTGCTTAATCTTTCAGGTTAATTGTTTGGCGTGGAAATACTGGGAAGTTTCCAGATTGTCTATGCCACCTTTCCTCTTGGCTGCACTCCCGTAAGTGAACATCAGCCCCCACCTTCTGGCTCATCAGTGAGATCGGTGGGAATCACTGAAGTCAAAATGATTCTCTCCCCACTGGGTTTTCTTCAGGAACCAGAGGCAGAGTGGAGGGTGCCTTAGAGAGTTAAGCCCTTGAGATCCAGGATTTCAATTCTGAGTATCACACAGACATTTGAGACAGACCTTCTTGCTTTTCCTGTTATCTAAAAACCAAGCCAAAGCAACCCAAGCCTGAATGAGTGTCAGTGAGGCAGGTCCCATCTGGCCTGGCTTTGCGGCTGTGCCAGGCTCCAGGGGAATCAGAGTTGAGGGGAGCAGTAGGCGTTTCTCCTGGCATGTGTGAGCTTTTGGGCCTGCAGGGTGGCCCTGCTTTTCAAACATGATCTGGACATTGTTTCTCTCCTTCTCTCCTTCTTTATTTCCCTCTACCTTTTTTTGCTCTTATTGTCTTCGTTCATTCAAAAAAAAAAAAAGTTCATTGAGTACTTGCTGTGTGCTAGTTCTCAGATAGCTAAATTTTCTATCTGAAGATTTAGAAATTCCTATTAATTTATAAGACCTTATAATCTCATGGTGGGAGAGGGAATAGACAAACATGAAGCCAATTATATCAGGTTGATATTTGGTTGAAAGCAACAGAACTGAAACTGAAACTGGCTTATGCAATAAAAGGGAATTTTTTGTTCAGGTAACTGGAAAGTTCAGAGAGGGACTTCAGGCATGGCTCGATCTAGGGGTGCAAATGATGTCATTTGTCTCTTGTCCCAGCTTTTCTCTGTTGGCTTCACTATCAGGCAAGTTGTTCCTCTGTGGGAACCCTGGAAGATCTAAGGTTAAATTTTCCCAGTTTCATATTCAGGGAAAATAGAAAAATGTTCTCTTCCCATCATTCTCAATACACATCTTGGGTTTGACTCTCATTGACCTTAATTGGGCGAATTTGTTTTCCTTGAACCAATCAGTGAGGTTGGGAGGATGGGTAACTTTGACTGACTTCAATCTGTATTGCACCCCTGGAGCTGGAGAGAAACCACAAGGACTTAGAGTGAGGGAGATGGTTCTCCAAGAAAAACTAGGTGCTTTCCAAGAAAGCCAGGTGCTGTTACACACCTCTGTTAGGACAGAGGTGGAAGAACATGTTTGGGGGAAGATGTTGAATCTGGTTCTTGAACAGTCAAGTGGTGGGTTTGACTAGGCCAGATGGGTTTCATGCAGCCTTTCTCAACTTTTTTATTGCCTTCCAAAGGAGAGGCAAAGGGGAGGGATAATGAGCACTGGACATAGAGGAGGGAATATCACCCATAGACTGGAGAGACAGGGGAGACCGAACTAATGCTGGATAGAGAGTTTAAGATGGACATTCCAGGCAGTGGAATGGGGATGTCCGGTTCAGCAGTGGGTAAGAAAAGCCAATCACTCTGGGAACACATGGGGTTATATCTGCAGAGTAGATAGGGGAGAGAAGGCCAGAGAGTTAAGGGACATCAGATCATGGGGGCTTTGTAAAGTGAGGTGTTTCACACATATTCTGTGTGCAGCCATCAGATTTATATTTCAGAAAGATCATAGCCACTACCCACATAGAGGATAGAATGCAGGGAGGCTGAATGGAAAGAAGGGAGACAGCTGAAGATTATTTCAGTAACCCAGATCTTGGCATGGCACTTCTACCACTCATTCATGTCTCAGCTCAAATGGAACTGCCTTAGAAGGGGCTCGTTTGATTATCCCCATTGTCATTCTCTTTTACAGAGCCATTTTATTTTCTTCCTTACATTAATTAATTAATTAATTTATTTATTTATTTTTGAGACAGAGTCTCCCTCTGTCACCCAGGCTGGAGTGCAGTGGTGTAATCTTGGCTCATTGCAACCTCCGCCACCTGGGTTCAAGAGATTCTCCTACCTCAGCCTCCCCAGTAGCTGGGATTACAGGTGTGCGCCACCACGCCTGGCTAATTTTTGTATTTTTTGGTAGAGACAGGGTTTCACCGTGATGGCCAGGCTGGTCTCAAACTCCTGACCTCAGATGATCTGCTTGCCTCGGCCTCCCAAAGTGCTGGGATTACAGGCGTGAGCCACCATGCCAGCTATTAATAGCTCAAATGTCTTGTTTTGTTCACTGGTTTCTGTGTTTCTTCTCTCTGCTAGAATTAAGGACCACTTGTGTCTTGTTCATTGTTATATTTGGTGCCTAGAACAGTGTCTGGCTTACTGTAGTTGCTTTGTAGATATTTGCTGGATGAATGAAGAAATAAATAAGACAGTGGTACTGGGAATGGAGAAGTTAGAATAGATTTTTTTGTTGTTGTTGTTTTGAGACGGGGTCCCATTCTGTCACCCAGGTTGGAGTGCAGTGGTGCGATCTCAGCTCACTGCAACCTCTGTCTCCCAGGTTCAAGTGATTCTTCCACTTCAGCCTCTAGAGTAGTTGAAACCCCAGGTGTGCATGCCACCATGCCCAGCTAATTTTTTGAATTTTTGGTAGAGATGGGATTTCACCATGTCGCTCAGGCTGGTCTCAAACTCCTGATCTCAGGTGACCCACCTTGGCCTCCCAAAGTGCTGGGATTATAGCTGTGAGCCACCACACCTGGCCAGAAGTAAGAACAGATTGGGATAATGCTAAGGAGATAGCAATGACAGGCTTGGGATAAAGAAAAAAAGGAGTGTGGGATAGCATAGAGGCGGAAGAACATGTTTGGGGGAAGACGTTGTATCTGGTTTTGGAACAGTGAAGTGGTGGGGTTGAGTAGGCCGGATGGGTTTCATGCAGACTTTCTCAACTTTTGTTAATGCCTTCCAAAGGAGAAAATTTTAATTTCTCCTGAATGAAAGAAATTATACACTGAGGAAAAATATTTTGAGTAGGAATGAGCTTCAGTGGGTTACAGATCGTTGTCATAACAGTCTTTTTTATCTCCATCCAAACCAGTTTCTCCTTCTTGAGGGTGACTTTGACCCTGTTGAGAATACATTGTCAAGAGCTGAAGGATCAAGAGTGGAAGGCAGAGTTCTGGACTGGAGATGACAGAATTTCTCTTTCCACTCTTTTTCTTATCTTTCTTTCTCACTTTCTAGTTATTCTCTCTCCTCGTTGTCTCTTTTTTCATCTACTTTTTCCTTTCTTTTTCATCTCCCCTCAACCAGTCCATCAATCAACATGTCTATTTACGAGAACCCATTCTCTGATCAATGCTCTGGGGCATAGAAGAGGAGCATGATGGGAAGTTTGTTCCCACCCACAGAAGAGGGTCATGATGGGAAGTTTGTTCCCACCCATAGAAGAGAGCATGATGGGAAGTTTGTTGCCCATTCATAGAAGAGGAGCATGATGGGAAGTTTGTTCCCACCCATAGAAGAGGAGCATGATGGGTGGGAAGCTTGCTACCTGCTGCAGGGAGCCAAAGCATCACTGGGAAGAACAAACATTTAAAGAATGTCTTTGGGATGAGCTCTTGGGCAGGCGGACCCTGATTTTAGGGGCCAACAGGAGCAGCCATGTGTTCCTCCTCTTGTTCTCCCCATCTCTCTCCAGGGCCCGCTACCTGGCTTCTGTCCCAGCCTCCCAGTGTGTGCCCTTTCTGATCAGCCTGGGGAAGAGCTGGTTGGACTCCTTGGTTTTAGATTCCCACAAAAAGACTTCAGTCCTCAGGAAAGTGCAGCAGTGCCTGGTAAGAAAACTCTTCCTGGGTGTCCCCTCCCTCTGGGTATCTGTGGCCATCTTGGGGAGCCCTGTGAGGGATCTGGCTAGGATCTTGAGCCTGCTGTGATGGCCAGAAGTCTGACTGGTGGGTCTTGAAGCTTACTCTAAAGTTGCTGGTTGGAACAATCTTTTCCATTGGTTCTGGAGACTTCTGCCCCACGGCCCAAAGGAGGGGAGGCTACTCTGGAGGAATGGAAAGAGCACAGTACCCAGAGACTGGGTGCCAGTGATTGGTTATGTGGCTTTGGGTGAATCACCTTTCCTCCCTGAGCCTCAGTCTTCTCATCTGTAAGGTGGGGGGAGTAGCACATCCCCCTTAGAGTTTTTTTTTTTTTTTTTTTTTTGGGACAGAGTCTCACTCTGTCACCCAGGCTGGAGTGCAGTAGCACGATCTCAGCTCACTGCAACCTCTGCCTCCCAGGTTCAACTGATTCTCCTGCCTCAGCCTCCCAAGTAGCTGGGACTACAGGTGCGTACCACTACACCCGGTTATTTTTTGTATTTTTAGTAGAGACAGGGTTTCACCATGTTGGCCAGGATGGTCTCAAACTCCTGACATCAGGTGATCCATCCACCTCGGCCTCCCAAAGTGTTGGGATTACAGACATGAGCCACCATACCTAGTCTCCTCATAGAGTATTGAAAACATGACATGGGCAATGTATTATTTAATGTAAAGGCTCAAAGGCCAGATTGTCTGGGTGTGAATCCTAGCCTTGCCACTAGCTGGCAGTTTCTTTTTCTTTAAAAAATGGATAATAGTAGTACTTACTTCTTACAGTTACTTTGAAGATGACTAGATTGAGACCCACAGATACTCAGGACGGTGCCCGCACATAGGAAACACACAATAAATGTGAACTATTTTTGTCATTTTGTGAAAGTGCAAAAGAGCTTTGAAGGCTTTCAAGTGGCATACAAACTTTGAAGTGCTGTTTTCATTGTTGTGGTGCCAATAGTATAATGGTGGTTGAACTCTGGAATATTCTCAGAGCAATAACAGTGACAGTAGCGCTCAATTACTGAGTGCTCCTGGTGTGCCAAGCCAGGGTTTTCCAGATTTCTGAGGCCTGCATCCCTGGGGAAGATCAGGTCCTGTTCCATCTCTAGGAATCCATGGCAGGGTAGGCAGTTAAGATCCTGGAATCTTTAAGAAGTTTGGGATCGGAACTTTTTTTTTTTTTTTTTTGAGACAGAGTTTTCCTCTGTCACCCAGGCTGGAGTGCAATGGCATGATCATCTAGGCTCACTGCGACCTCTGCCTCCCGGGTTCAAGCAATTCTTGTGCCTCAGCCTCTCGAGTAGCTGGGACTACAGGCATGTGCCACAATGCCTGGCTAATTTTTGTATTTTTAGTATAGGTGGGGTTTCACCATGTTGGCCAGGCTGATTTCGAACTCCTGGCCTCAAATGATCTGCCTGCCTCGGCCTCCCAGAGTGCTGGGATTATAGGCATAAGCCACAGTGCCCACCCCACAGGATGTGTTTCTAATGGCTCACGATCTTATGCTCTGTTGGAACTGCCCATTGGCTCCACTTTTTGGGTTCAGGACGACTCCATTGCTGATGAGTACACTGTGGACATCATGGGGAACCTGCTGTGTCACTTGCCGGCAGCCATCATCGACAGGGGGATCTCCCCCAGGGCTTGGGCGACTGCTCTACACGGCCTCAGAGACTGCCCAGACCTCAACCCTGAGCAAAAGGCTGCAGTGAGGCTCAAGCTCCTGGGACAGTATGGGTGAGGAGCGGCTGGGTTTGGCTTTTGGTGGTGTGGTATGCTCTGTGGAGGGACACTCAACCTTGGCTCTCCTGCCCTGCAAACAGAGTCTCTGGCTTAGGATGAGATAAAATTCTTATGCTTATTTTGGAAATGTGACCTTTCTTCTTTTGGCTTCAGATTTTTTTTTTTTTTCTTAGACGGAGTCTCGCTCTGTGGCCAGGCTGGAGTACAGTGGCACGACCTTGGCTCACTGCAACTTCTGACTCCCTGGTTCAAGCGATTCTCCTGCCTCAGCCTCCCGAGTAGCTGGGATTACAGGCATGTGCCACCACGCCCAGCTATTTTTTGCATTTTTAGTAGAGACTGGGTTTCACCATGTTGGCCAGGATGGTCTTGATCTCCTGACCTCGTAATCCACCCACCTCGGCCTCCCAAAGTTCTGGGATTACAGGCGTGAGTCACCGCGCCTGGCCTTGGCTTCAGATTTGCTGTAAAGTGGAATCAATAGTAGCTGCCCTAAAAATCTCAAAGAGTTGTTTTTTACACAGCTTGGCATATGAAGGGGAAATTTGGAAAAGGTGGCCCTTTACAGATGCAAGGTAGTGGTATTATTATTAGTTTAAAGACTATTTTTTTTTTTAAATGGGGTCTCGCTCTGTCACCCAGGCTGGAGTGCTGTGGCACAGTAATGGCTCACTGCAGCCTCAACCTCCCTGGGCTCAGGTGATCCTCCCACCTGAGCCTCCCAAGTAGCTGGGACCACAGGTGCACATCACTGTACCCAGCTAATTTTTGTATTTTTTTTTAAGGGATGGAATTTCACCATGTTGCCTAGGTGGGTCTTGAACTCCTGGGCTCAAGGGATTCACCCACCTAAGCCTCCCACAGTGTTGGGATTATAGGTATGGGCCACCATGCCTGACCCTAGAGACTATTTTTAATACTAGTTTTAGGTTCTCAGAAAAATGGAGAAGATAGAGATTTCCCATATCTCTCTGACCCCGTACACGCATAAGCTCCCCATGATCAATATCCCCCACCAAAGTTGTACATTTGTTAGAACTGATGAACCTATGTTGACATTATCGTCATTGGATTCTCATTATCATCCATAGTCCATATTTTACATTAGGATTCACTCTTGGTGCTTTACATTCTATGGGTTCAGACAAGTATATAATAACATGTATTCACCATTATAGTATCATACGGAGTATTTTCACTGCCCTAAAAATCCTTCCGGGCTTTGCCTGTTCATTCCTCTCTCACTCCTAATTCCTGGCAACCACTGATACTTTTGCCTTTTCTAGAATATCATATATTTGGAATCATACAGTAGATAGCCTTTTCAGATAGACTTCTTTCACTTAGTAATATGCACTTAAGTTTTCTCCAGGTCTTTTTTTGGCTTGATAGCTCATTTCTTTTTAGTGCTGAATCATATTTCATTGTCTTAATGAACCACAGTTTATTTAGCCATTCACCTACAGAAGGACATTTGGTTGCTTCCAAGTTTTGGCAATTATGGATAAAGCTGCTATCAACATCCATATACAGGTTTTCATGTAGACGTAAGTTTTCAACTCCTTTGTGTAAATACCAAAGAGTGTGTTTGCTGGGTTATATGGCAAAAACATGTTTGCTTTTGTAAGAAACCAACAAAATGTCTTCCAAAGTGGCTGTATGATTTTGCATTCCCACCAGCTGTCACTGCTAATTGGGCAGACCTCCTTTAGAGATGTCGCCAAAGATAGTGTAATGCTCTTCACTGTAGGCATTTATGATCTATACAAGAATAACAGTGGATTCTGGGTCAGTGCCTTTATTTTATCCTGCCAAGTTCAAGAGAAAGGTTTTTTCTTATTCTAAGAGAAGACTGTTATGGTAAAGTAAAAGGAAGAAATATATAATTACTCTTCTATTGAGGAGGGAGAAGAAGGACACACTGTGATGTAAATGGCAGAAATTCAATAATTTAATTCAAACTAAAGAGAACGGGAATGTATTGAATTCAGGAATGGAATGTAACGGGAAACTCCACTGGTGGTCTTCAGGCATGGCTGAATCCCGTGTCTCAAATGATATCTTCAGGAATATGTTCCTCCCATCCCTCAGCTCTGTGTTCCTTGGTGTGGTCTTTACTTTTTCCACTTGGTAATATGAATGTCCTCCAATATCCTCCCCTACTGCCAGAGATACCAGAGAAAGGAGAGCTTCTCTGATAGTTCCATCAAAACTCCCAGGGATGACTCTGATTGGTCAGCCTGCATCACATGCCAATTTTCTTGGTCAAGGAAGTGGGACCATGTGATTGACATGAGTATAAGACAATCTATTCCTGAAAGAAAAGGGTGCTGGGGGAAAAGGCAACAGATGTCCACCACAGCATGTTTTTTCACTTTACTGGTTATTATCTCTTTTTAGACTCCCTCAGCACTGGACAGCCGAGACCACGAAGGACTTGGGACCCTTTCTAGTACTTTTCTCAGGAGATGAATTAAGCTCTATAGCCACAAAGGTAATGTTGTGCTCCATCTTAAGAAGGCTGAAGGAGTTTGAAGGGGAGAGAAAGTGTGGTCAGTTATACAGCATTGGGTTTACTGCTGTCTATGGTTCTGGAAGCTTCCTCCCTGCCTCCAAGGGCTAAGATGTTTCCAGCTCCATTCCAGGATGTGCAAGGTTCTGGAAAAGGGAGTGAGTCCACAGCTAAATGAACTCAGGCCCTTTTGTGTGGCCCCCCAGGCAGATGTGTGCAGACAGATATTACTTAGCTACCACTCTGCTATTAGTGTGCATCTCACACGCACGCCTGTTCTGGCTCTCACACTGGCTGGTGCCCTATGCACATGCACATGTATGTCCAGTGTATGCAATCACATGTGCAAGCACATTTAATCCAATAACAAGTCTTTATTGATCATTACATTTGGGCATGACGCTTTTCTAGGAGTAAGGCTCCAGAAGTTAGACAGTCTAGACCAAGGGGCATGCAAAATAAGCATGAATTAGTCATTTGTGCTGCATAACAAAGCCACACAATCTCAAGGGCATAGAACAATTCGCATATGTTCCTTGCTGCCTGATTTGTGGGTCGCTGGGGCAGCCCTGCTCTAGAACTTGTTTTTCTTACCATGAAGGTATGAAACTACCAAAAAAGGGAAGGGATAAGTACAATTCTCCTTAAGTCCTAGGTTGGAAGTTGGCACGCTGTCACTTCTGCCACACTCCAATGGCCAAAGTAAGTTACATGACCAAGACCAACTTTAATGGGGCAGGAAGGAGTCTCCTTCCATGGAGGTGGAGGGCAGGAAAGGAGTGAATGTTTGCTGAATGACAATCAGATCCCCCACAAAGCACATCCACACACTCTCATACCTGCACTTGCAGGCACAAGGTGCACATGGTCACACATGCTCAGCAGGGCCTGAACACACACAACTTCACCTAGGATCACACGCAGCACATTCTGAAGTCCAGTCACAGTAAAATCATATTCTGGATGTCTGAATATATAGTTATAAGCAGTTGATGCACACATGTTTATTTTTATTTTATTATTTTATTTTATTTTGCGATGGAGTCTCCCTCTGTTGCCCAGGCTGGAGTGTAGTGATGCAATCTCGGCTCACTGCAACCTCTGCTTCCTGGGTTCAAGTGATTCTCCTGCCTCAGCCTCCCGAGTAGCTGGGATTACAGGCCCCTGCCACTGTGCCCAGCTAATTTTTATATTTTTAGTAGATATGGGGCTTCACCATGTTGGCCAGCCTGGTCTTGAACTCCTGACCTCAAGTGATCTGCCCGCCTCGGCCTCCCAAGTGCTGGGATTACAGGCGTGAGCCACCATGCCCGGCCCTGATGCACAAATGTTATATATCCATCTATTTTTTTTCCTTCCTTGTTTTTCTTATGTTTAGATGTTTATTATTATTTTTATTTTTCCATAAGGTATTGGGGTACAGGTGGTGTTTGGTTACATGAGTAAGTTCTTTAGTGGTGATTTGTGAGATTTTGGTGCACCCATCACCTGAACAGTATACACTGCAACATATTTGTAGTCTTTTATCCCTTGGCCCCTCCCACTCTTCCATCCAAGTCCCCAAAGCCCATTGTATCATTCTTATGCCTTTGGGTCCTCATAGTTTAGCTCCCACATATCAGTGAGAACATCCATATATCTATCTAATCTTAAAAAAATCAACTTCTGAAATTGAAAAAGTCTTGCATCAACACTGTGAAATCTCAAAAACACAGTGTAGAGTTAAAAAAAAACCCAGATTGCAAAAGAATATCTATAGTAGGATACAAAGTAAATAAATAAATAGTAGCTGAATTAATTTAAAGCAAATGTAAGCCAAGTTTATATGTAAGAGAAGTGTAAAAGTGAATGCCAAATTCAGAGTGACAGTTACTTCTGGGGAAGGAGGAAGGCAAAGAGTGAAGGAGGGACTTATTATTTATATTGTGATGTTTTATTTCTTAAGTTGGGTTGTGAGGACATGGGTGTTTTGTTGTATTATTCTGTATACTCTTTTTTTAAATACTGGAAATGTTTAATAAAGCAAGTAATACATGCTCCTGGTTAACAAATCCCAATCGCACCAAAGGTAATAGGATGAGAAGCAAGTCTCCCTCCCACCCCAGACTTCTAGTTCCCTAGCCTCCCTCTTCAGAGGCAATTGCTGTCCCCAATCTCTTCTGCATCCTTTCAGAAATATCCTGAATATCTATATAACAAGTTTTATATAGGTATAAAAATACCTATATAACAAGCCTCGCCAACATGGCGAAACCCTGTCTCTACTAAAAACACAAGAGCATATACACACTCTTCTTTAGAAAATACAAAATGGAAAATGCCATTCACTCCGCTATGCATATTGCTTTCTAAAAGTTAACTGTCTTAGAGTGGTTGCCTTCAGCCTCAGCTGCACATTAGAATCACCTGGGGAGATTCCAAGAGGGACCAATCCATGGTATCCAGCCCAGCCCGACTGAGTCAGAATCTTTAGGGGCTGGCTCTGGGTCTCCCAGGTGACTCTTAGGTATAGCCAGGGTTGAAGAACTGCTGGCTTAGACTGTGACTCTAATTCTGAAGATGAGACTAGAAAGGGGAGCTACATAGGCTGAGAGGCTTGCTCTCTGGGTGAGCCGGGACCCAGTGAGGCATAGCTGTTTGTAGAGCCTGATGGATTATCTGGGCCCATGGGCAGGCCTTCTAATAAAATCCCAAGTCTTGACAAAGTGTATTCGTTCTAGATGAGAAATGGCACTTTCTCCAAGGCAACCCAAAGTCCCCTAAGTCCCCTCATTGCTAGTCTCCACCCAGGATGTTGAGACAACCCTTCTTCACCTCCTTTTCATGACAAATGTTGTGTTAGGCAATTCTTTTTTTCTTTCTCTTTTTTGAGATGGAGTCTAGCTGTGTTGCCCAGGCCGGAATGCAGTGGCACGATTTCGGCTCACTGCAACCTCCACCTCCTGGGTTCAAGTGATTCTCCTGCCTCAGCCTCCTGAGTAGCAGGGATTATAGGCATACACCACCATGCCGAGTGAATTTTTGTATTTTTTGTAGAAACGGGGTTTCACCGTGTTGGCCAGGCTGGTCTTGAACCCTTGACCTCAGGTGATCTGCCTGCTTGGGCCTCCCAAGTGCTAGGATTACAGGTGTGAGCCACCGCACCTGACCTGTGTTAGGCAATTCTTGCATTGCTATAAAGAAATACCTGAGACTGGGTAATTTATAAAGAAAGGAGGTTTACATGGAATACTATGTGGCCATAAAAAAGAATGAGATCGTGTTCTTTGCAGGGACATGGATGGAGCTGGAGGCCATCATCCTTAGCAAACTAATGCAGAAACAGAAAACCAAATACCGCATGTTCTTACTTATAAGTGGGAGCTAAATGATGAGAACACGTTGTCACATAGAATGGAACAGCAGATACTGGGGCCTATTGGAGAGTGAAAGGTGGGAGGAGGGAGAAGATCAGCAAAAATAACTAATGGGTACTAGGCTTAATACCTGGGTGATTAAATAATTTGTACAACAAACCTCCATGACACAAGCTTACCTATATAACAAACCTGCCATGTACCCCTGAACTTAAAATAAAAGTTAAATTAAAAAAAATAAAATAAAAAGGGCCAGGTGCAGTGGCTCATGCCTGCAATCCCAGCAGTTTGGGAGGCCGAGGCGGGCAGATCACGAGGTCAGGAGATTGAGACCGTCCTGGCTAAGAGGGTGAAACCCCGTCTCTACTAAAAAATACAAAAAATTAGCCGGGCGTGGTGGTGGGCACATGTAGTCCCAGCTACTCGGGAGGCTGAGGTAGGAGAACGGCGTGAACCCAGGGGGCAGAGCTTGCAGTGAGCCGAGATCGTGCCCTGCACTCCAGCCTGGGTGATAGAGCGAGACTCCGTCTAAACAAACAAACAAACAAACACTGCCAGGCACAGTGGCTCACATCTGTAATCCCAGCACTTTGGGAGGCCGAGGTGGGCGAATCACTTGAGGCCAGGAGTTTGAGACCAGCCAGGCCAAGATAGTGAAACCTTGTCTACAATAAAAATAAAAAAAAATTAGCCTGGCTTGGTGCTGCATGCATGTAATCCCAGCTACTCAGGAGGCTCAGGCACGAGAATTACTTGAGCCTGGGAGGTGGAGGTTGCAGTGAGTGGAGATCACACCACTGTATTCCAGCTTGAGCAACAGAACAAGACTCTGAAAAAAAAAAAAAAAAAAAGAGACAAGAAAAGAGGATTGATTGGCTCATGGCTCTGCCGACTGTACAGGAAGCATGATGCTGGCATCTGCCCAGCTTCTGGGAAGGCCTCAGGAAACTTACAATCATGGCGGAAGGCGAAGGGGGAGCAGACACATCTTACTTGGCCGACACAGGAGCAAGAGCATGATGGGGGAGGTGCTACATGCATTTAAACAACAAGATCTCGAGAGAACGCACGCACTATTGTGAGGACAGTACCAAGGGGATTGTATTTAACCATTCATGAGAAATCTGCCCCCATGATCCAATCACCTCTCACTGGGCCCCACCTCCAACACTGGGGATTACATTTCAATAAGATTTGGGTGGGGTACACATCCAAACTATGTCAAATATAAAGTTTAGTAAAAACTTAGAAATAGCACCAAACCAAAAAAGGGGTAGGTACACATACATTTTTTTTGTTTTTTTCTGAGACAGGGTTTTACTCCCATCACCCAGGCTGGAGTGCAGTGGCATGCTCTCGACTCACTACAACCTCAGCCTCCTGGGCTCTGGTGATCCTTCTGTCTCAGCCTCCTAAGTAGCTGGGATGACAGGCTCATGCCACCACGACTGACTAATTTTTGTATTTTTAGTAGAGATGGGGTTTCACCATGTTGGCCAGGCCAGTCTTGAGCTCCTGACCTCAAGTGATTTGCCTGCCTCGACCTCCCAAAATGCTGGGATTACAGGTATGAGCCACCACACCTCGCCTAACCTACATTTTTTGTCGATATTACCAGATTGCTCTGCTAATAGTGCACAGTTTGACAGTCCCACGGAAAAATGAATGTGCCCAGCATTAAGTATTAGCACTTCATTTTATTTTTGACAATCTGATGGGTGAAAAGTGATTTACTTATGTTTTTTAGACTTTATTGGATTTTTATTGAAGTTGAGTATCATTTTATAGGATTCTTTATAGAGACCACATTAGTGGGACTAGGGAATAGATTTATATGAGAAGTTGCTATAACAAAGAATGAAGGCAGTAAGTAGTGTGACAGTTTCAACTCTAATTTCAATCTGTATTTAAGGGGTTTTAATTATTATTCTTCTTCTTTCATCTTCTTTCACACAGTTTCCTGAGATCCTTCTGCAAGCAGCTTCCAAGATGGCCAGGACCCTGCCCACTAAAGAATTCCTCTGGGCTGTCTTTCAGTCTGTTCGGAACAGCAGTGATAAGATCCCCAGCTATGACCCTATGCCTGGTGAGTGTTTTCAGGGTATCTGAGCCATTGCTGACATAGTAATTAATGTTTTGGGCAGGGTCCCTGACATCAAGAGGCCTCCTTATGCAGGGAACTGGATGAAATGTCTGCAAAGCAATAGAATGACAAAATCTATAAGCAAAAGAATTACACTTTTGGTTCAGGTGCGGTTGCTCAAGCCTGTAATCCTAGCACTTTGTGAGGTTGAGGCAGGCAGATCACTTGAGGTCAGGAGTTCGAGACCAGCCTGGCCAACATGGCGAAACCCTGTCTCTACTAGAAACACAAAAATTAGCCGGGTGTGGTGGTGCATACCTGTAGTCTCAGCTACTCAGGAGGCTGAGACACGAGGATTGCTTGAACCCAGGAGGTGAAGGTTGCAGTGAGCTGAGATGGCACCACTGCACTCCAGCCTGGGTGACAGCGAGACTCTGTCTCAAAAAAAAAAGAGTTACACTTTTGTAAAGTGACCTGGAATCATGTCCCATACTCCATACCCAGGCTAGTAGGTTTAATGCGTGAATATGTGTAACAAACATTTCAGTAGGATTGACTTAGAGGACCAACATGGATTAGTGGTTTAACATAGCAGTGACAGGGCCGGGCTGGCTACATTTCACTCCTGAGTCTGCCACTTACTGGCTGTGTGGCTTTGGGTAAGCTCTTTAACCTCTGTGTGCCTCAGTTTTCATCCTTTATCAAATGGGGATAATGAAAGTCTCTACCTCACTGGGTTATTGTGAGAATTAATGGGTTTAAACCCAGAAACATGTTTACCGGAATGCCTGGCATGTAGCAGATCTTTAATAAGTATTATATATTTTTAAAATTTGATTTTTTTTATTTTTTGAGATGGAGTCTTGCTGGAGTGTCACCCAGGCTGGAGTATAGTGGCATGATCTCGGCCCACTGCAACCTCCACCTCCCAGATTACAGCAACTCTCCTGCCTCAGCCTCCTGACTAGCTGGGATTATAGGCATGTGCCACCACGCCTGGCTAAGTTTTGTATTATTAGTAAAGACGGGGTTTCACAATGTTGGCCAGGCTGGTCTTGAACGCTGGCCTCAGGTGATCCACCTGCCTTGGCCTCCCGAAATACTGGGATTACAGGCGTGAGCCACTGCCCCCGGCCTAAAATTTGATTTTATAGAGGCAGGGCCTCGCTCTGCCACCCAGGCTGGAGGGCAGTGGTGCAATCATGGTTCATTACAGCCTCGACCTCCTGGACTCAAGAGATCCTCCCACCTCAGCTTCACAAGTAGTTGGGACTACAGGCATGCACCACCACATCTGGATACTTTTTTATTTTTTTTGTAGAGATAGGGTCTTGCTGTGTTGCCCAGGCTGATCTTGAACTCTGAGCCTCAAGTGATCCTCCTGCCTTGGTCTCCCATAGTGCTGGGATTATAGATGTGAGCTACCATGCCTGTCCAAGTGTTAGATATTTTATTATCATTACCATGCACCTACTAAGTGCAGACTGGGGCCAGGCATGAGGAGACAAAGTTAATCAGACCCAATGATAGTAGTTGACAGTCAGTGCTTGCTTTCATCCACCCAACAAATATTCGTTAAGCACCAATTTTGTAAATAAAGAGCTTACTTTCAAATGGAGGGTAGCAAGACAATAAATTTCCATACATAAGTAAAATATATGGTATATTGTATGAAAAGTGCCAAGAAGGAAAATAAAGCAAGGGAATGCACCACGAGTGTTGAGAGGGGACTGTCATGTGAAAAGAGAATCACGAAGGAACGTCTTATTGAGAAGGTGACATTTGAATGAAGACCCAAGGGAGAGTGGGCCATGTGGATATTTTCAATTAGAGTCTTCCAGGCAGAGAGTGCGACAGGATCACTTCCATGAGTGGGAGGTAAGGGCCAGTGTGTTTGGAGGGGAGTGAGAGACAAGGCCAGCCATGTAGCGACTGTTAAAAGAAACCCTAATGACTTTGGCTTTTACTCTGCGTGGAGGCATCATATGACATCGAGCAAAGAAGTATCACAATTGGATTTATGTCTACCTTGGGTGATTATCCCTCCATGCATTATCTTGTTCTCCCATTTTGTTTTTTTTTTCTTGGTGAATGTGGGGTTTTATTGGGTAATGGAGGTGGCTCTCGGTGGGATGGATGGGGAGCTAGAAAGGGGATGGAGTGGGAAGATGATCTTCCCCTGGAGTTTGGCTGTCCTATGACCAATCTCCTCTCCAACTGTCCCCAGCCAAACTCTTCTTGGCCTTCAGACGCTCCTTTCTCTGCCGTGCTGTTCTTCTGCTCCTCTTCTCTTCTGTTCATCTGCTCATCTGCTTGTATGCTCATGGAGCCTGGGGTTTGGGGTTTATATGGGTACAGGATAGTGGGATGTGGCAGGCCAAAACCTAACATTTGGGTGTGAAAACAGGAATGCCTATTCCCATTTAGGGCTGCAGATTTCCAGGCTTGGGTGTTCTCTTGTTTTTTAAATGAAGGAAACTGGGGCTTAGGAGACTAAGGGACTTGTCTAAAGTCACAGAGTTAGTAAATGGCAGTTCTTGGATTTGTACTCAAAGCTGGTGGTGACCACCACTGGCTCCCACTGCCCTCAAGGTCTAGCAGTCCATGTCATCATATTGCAGAGCTCTTACTGTGTGCATGTGGTACACAAAAGTAAGGCTTTCCATGCTCAGGGGAAGGAAGCTCTGGTATCAGTGCATAGTTTGAGTGTTCTTTAGTTGGTTCTGGGTATTAGTTGCTGCTGTGCTTTAGTGATTAATGGATTAGCAGAATTACCGCTTGGTTTTATATTAATTTGTGTGTGTGTGTTCACTCACTCCACAGATATTTGCTGAACACCTACTATGTACCAGGCTCTATTCTAAGCCCTGGACAGACACAGTGATAAGACCAAGTTCCTGATATACTAGTCAACCATTCTGCCCTCTCTAGTTCTGTGCTATCACTGATGTTGTTTTCACTAGAGGGTGGGCTGGGGGTTGGCCTAGGGAGGGATGGGTCTTTAGTCCTCTCCAAGTGGCTTATGATAAAGATGTTTGAGGACCACAACTGGCATCTTTGATCTGGTCTACTTTTGCCTCGTGATTGGAATGCAGTGAATTTCCATTGAAGGTGCAATGAGAAGAGAGAGGCCATGGGGCTCGGGAAATACCCTGGCCTTGGGTGGGGTTGGTGCATCTGTCAGCATCAGTGGTGGTCTGCGGCTAAGATAAGAAATCCAGGGTTGCTCTTAAGGATCCTAGAGTTTTCTCCCAGGTTGGGCACATCAGATCCAGCAAAGACAATATCTCACTTGCATGTTGGTTGGTAACTGGTTTGAGTAGGTAAGGTTCACATTATTCAAAGACCGAAATGGATGTTTTTCCTGTTGCCAAGAGAAATGCAATGGGCTCATTTCTCTTTTCTCTTGGGATGGGAAAGCCACAACCCCCACTATGATTTTCATGGACAGCAACTCATCTTCCTGGTTTTTATTTTTTATTTTATTTTGACACAGGGTCTCACCGTTACCCAGGCTGGAGAATAGGTGTGATCACGGCTCACTGCAATCTTGACCTCCCAGGCTCAGGTGATCCTCCCACCTCAGCCTGCTGGGTAGCTGGGACTACAGGCATGTGCCACCATGCCTAGCTAATATTTTGTAGTTTTTTTTTTTTTAGAGGTGAGGTCTTACCATGCTGCCCAGGCTGGTCTTGAATTCCTGGGCTCAAGTGATCCTTCTGCCTTGGCCTCCCAAAGTGCTGGGATTAAAGACATGCGCCACCGCACAGCCCATCTTCCCATTTTTATAGGAAGGCTGCTGCATAATTTTGGAATCTTTATGCTGGGTTGCAAACTCAAAGGCATAGGGGGTAAGATAGGCAACAGAAATTGTGTATCGAGTGCTTACTGTATGCGTGGCACTGTTCTAAGTGCTTTACATATAACACATTTAGTTTTCACAACCATCCTATGAGGTGATTTTATTTCCATTTTATAGACAAGAAAACTGAAATACAGAGAGGTTAAATAGCCTTGGATTTGAATCGAAAGTCAGGACTGTTCACCACCAGCTCTTACTGCCCTCAAGGAATTTGTAGTTTAATTGTAATGTTGCACCGCTCCTAGTTTGTGCACGTGGATGTGCAAAAAGCTGGCATTTCCATGACTTTGTTACCCAGTAATTAGCAAGAAATGGCAGAAGTGGGATTCAAACTGGTCCCTGGCTCCTGCTCTCTGCTTTTACTCTGTAGTCCCTTCCATGCATAAATCTGACTGGCGAAGAATGTTACTCATTTCAATACACTAACATTTCCTGAAATTCTCTTTCCTCTTCTCCTTCCCTGCATCTCTCCTTTCTTCAGGTTGCCATGGAGTCGTGGCCCCCTCTTCTGATGACATCTTCAAGTTGGCCGAAGCCAACGCCTGCTGGGCCCTGGAGGACCTGCGGTGCATGGAGGAAGACACATTCATCAGGACCGTGGAACTGCTGGGAGCTGTCCAGGGTTTCAGCCGGCCTCAGCTGATGACCCTGAAGGAGAAAGCAATACAGGTGAAGCCCACCTCAGGGAGGAAACATTAAACAGAGGAAAAAAGAAAAACACCAAAACCAGTTCAGCATTTCTGCACATAGAACCCTCCTCGAGCAGTTTTCCCATACATCATCTTGAAATTTTACTGCATCAGCTCAGTGATATTGTGATCTTCTTATCTGAGAAAGGAGGAAATTTCCAGTTCCTCCCTCTTAGGGCTGTGGCAGAGAATGGGATGAGATGTGTCTTGGCATCTAGCAGATGCTCAGTGAATCAAGTTTTGTGGATGTCCCAGTGCCTCTGACCAAGGCGGTTTGCAGGAATTAGGCTTTATTCCTTCACCTGGAGAGCCCCAGCTGCTGCTCACAGCAGGTTTTCTCAGAATCATTTGCAAATTTGTCTGAAAATATAACAGAAAGGAGTAAAAAGAGGACTGGAAGTAGCTTTCCATCTTTAAAAAGGTCCCTTTGTTGGCTGGGTGCAGTGGCTTATGCCTGTAATCCCAACACTTTGGGAGGCCGAGGCGGGCGGATCACGGGAGGTCAGGAGTTCGAGACCAGGCTGGCCAACATGGTGAAACCCTGTCTCTACTCAAAATGCAAACATTAGCCAGGCGTGGTGTCATGTGCCTGTAGTTCCAGCTACTCAGGAGGCTGAGGCAGGAGAATGGCTTGAACCCGGGAGGTGGAGGTTGCAGTAAGCCAAGATTGCGCCAGTGCACTCTAGCCTAGGCGTCAGAGCTGATACCTTGTCTCAAAAATAAATAAAAATAGGCTGGGTGCAGTGGCTCATGCCTATAATCCCAGCACTTTGGGAGGCGGATCACGAGGTCAAGAGATCGAGACCAGCCTGGCCAACATGGTGAAACCCCATCTCTACAGGTGGCATGCACCTGTAGTTCCAGCTACTCGGGAGGCTGAGGCAGGAGAATTGCTTGAACCCGGGAGGCGGAGGTTGCCATGAGCCGAGATTGCGTCACTACACTCCAGCCTGGTGATAGAGCGAGACTCTGTCTCAAATAAATAAATAAAAGGAAAAGGTCCCTTTGTGGCCTGTTTTAGCTTTTCTTTCTTTTTTTTTTCTTTTTCTTTTAAGACAGAGTCTTGCTCTGTCGTACAGGCTGGAGTGCAGCAGCGCGATCTGTGGTTCACTGCAAACTCTGCCTCCCGGGTTCAAGTGATTCTTGTGTCTCAGCCACCTGAGTAGCTGGGACTACAGGCACAAGCCACCATGCCTGGCTAATAATTGTATTTTAGTAGAGACGGGGTTTGTTTGGCCAGGCTTGTCTCAAACCCCTAGCCTCAAGAGATCTGCTCACCTTGGCCTCCCACAGTGCTGGGATTACAGGCATGAGCCACTGCACCCAGCCCTGTTTTAGCTCTTTACATGGTTGTGGAATATCTAGTTACCCTCAAGGGTTAAACAATTCAATGTCTTAAAATTATAAATATAACTGTATTTATGTATTATATGAGTACTTCAAGTTTATTGTAGAAAAGTCAGAAAATAATAAAGAAGAAAATCAGTGATAATCTTTTACTCACTGTTGATATTTTGATAAGCACTGTTCAGCAGATAAGCACTGTTGATATTTTGGTATATTCACTTGAAGCTTACCAGACTCCAAAACTATGTATATAAAAAATATTATTTTATATATTTCATACATATATCTCATGTTTTACAAAAATGATATTATACTTACCTACTATTCAATAACTTGCTTTCTACACCCAACAGTACAGACTGCATATTTTTTCATATCCAAAATGTACATCTATGTCAGTATTTTATTTATTTATTTATTTTTTGAGATGGAGTTTTGTTCTTGTTGCCCAGGCTGGAGTACAATAGTGTGGTCTTGGCTTACTGCAACTTCTGCCTCCCAGGTTCAAGCAATTCTCCTGCCTCATCCTCCCAAGTAGCTGAGATTACAGGCATCCGCCACCATGCCCGGCTAATTTTTGTATTTTTAGTAGAGATGGGGTTTCACAATGTTGGCCAGGCTGGTCTCGAACTCCTGACCTCAAGTGATCTGTCTGCCTGGCCTCCCAAAGTGTTGGGATTACAGGCGTAAGCCACAGCATCTAGCCTATATCAGTATTTTAAATAGCTTTGTAATACAATTAGCCTTCCATATCAGTGGGTTCCACATCTGCAGATTCAACCAACCTCAGGTAGAATGTATTTAGAAAAAATGATCCAAATAACAATATAACAATAAAAAACAATACACATAAAAATACAGTAGCATTTTTGACATAACATTTTGTACATATTTACATAGCACTTATATTGCATCAGGTATTATAACTAATCTAGAGATGATTTAAAGTATACATGAGGATGTGCATAGATTATATGCAAATACTACACTATTTTATATAAGGGACTTGAATATCCATGGATTTTGGTATCTTTAAGAAGTCCTGGAACCAATCCTTGGTGGAGGTATCCACAGGGGCAACTTCATTTTATTTATGGTTAGTTCTTATTTATTTAGCTAATTGTTAGACTTTCAGGTTGCATTAAAAAAATGCCTCAATGTATGCCTTTATACATATACTGTTGGGTACTTGTCTCATTTACTCAGGCTAAATTCCCAGAGGTGGAATTTCTGGGTCAAAGAATATAAATACTTTAAAAGCTTTTGATACAGATAGCCAAATTGCCCTCTCAAGAGTATGTACCAACTTATATTCTCAACTACAACAAATGAGGGTATCCCTTACCTTGTATCTTTCCAGTATCGTAAATGGTGATAAGTCTTTATACTTCTTGACATGTGATGAATCAACATGGTCTGATTGTTTTTAATGTATATTTCTTTAATTATGACTGAGAATAAAGTTTTCCCCATACATTTAATTTTTCTTTTGTGAATTCCTTGTTGATGTCTTTTGTCTATCTTTTTTTTAAAACAAATATAGTCATCTTTTTATTATTGATTTAAAAGAGAGCTTTATATTAAGATTTACCCTATGTCTTTTTAATTTTTATTTATTTTTTATTAAGGGATAGTTGACAAATACAAATTATATATATTTATGGTGTATACATATATACAATATGATGTTTTGATGTATGTATACATTGGGGAATGGTTAAAGCAAGCTAACATGTCAATCACCTTTCATACTTGTCCGTTGTCAGTTTTTGTTGTGAGAATATTTAACATCTACTCTCTTCACAATTTTCAACCATTCAACACATTATTATCAACTGTGGTCACCATGCTGCACAATAGGTTTCCCTATGTCTGTTTTATTTTTATTTCTTTGAGACAGGGTCTCGCTCTGTCACCCAGGCTGGAGTACAGTGGCACCATCTTGGCTAACTGCAACTTCTGCAAGTGAGTCTTGTGCCTCAGCCACCCAAGTGGCTGGGATTACAGATGTGCGCCACCATGCACAGCTAATTTTTTTTTTTTGTATTTTTAGTAGAGGCAGGGTTTCGTTATGTTGGCCAGGCTGGTCTTGAACTCCTGGCCTCATGTGATCTGCATGCCTTGGCCTCCAAAAATGCTGAGATTCCAAGTGTGAGCCACCGCACCTAGCCTCCTTATGTCTATTTTAGATACTGCCTTTGTCCATTCAGGCTGCTATAACAAAATATCATAGACTGGTAACTTATAAACAGAAATTTATTTCTCACAGTTCTGGGGGGTGAGAAATCAAAAATTGAAGCACTGGCAGATCCAGTATCTGGTAAGGACTTGTTTTTCATAGATGGTGCTTTCTCACTGTGTCCTCACATGGTGGAAAGGGACTAGCTTGTAGCTAGCTCTCTGGGGTCTCTTTTACAAGGGCACTAATCCCACTCATGAGGGCTCCACCCTTATGACCTAATCATCTCCCAAGGCCCAACCTTCCAATACTATCACATTGGAGATTAGGTTTTAACATATGCATTTTAGAGGGGCACAAACATTCAAATCATTGTAAATACCATCACAGTGTTCAGTCTAATCTATTTTCTTTTTTTGCCTAAAGGTTTGGGACATGCCATCTTACTGGAGAGAACACCATATCGTCTCCCTGGGGCGCATTGCTCTGGCTCTTAATGAGAGTGAGCTGGAGCAGCTGGACCTCAGCTCCATAGACACTGTGGCTTCCCTAAGCTGGCAAACAGAATGGACCCCGGGACAGGTGGGTGGATGTTTCTGGGTCTTTTAACTATTCCATATTTATAAGAGCTGCCTTCATATCCTTACTGTTAATTTCCTCATGATGGTCATTTTTGAGTCTGTTTCTGTTGACTGATTTTTCTCTTAGTTATGAGTCATATTTTCTTTTTTTGTTTGCAAGCCTAGCAATTTTGATTGGGTGATGAGCATTGTGGATTTTACATTGTTGAGTATTTGATTTAGTTGTATTTCTTTGAAGAGTATTGGGCTTTGTTCTGTCATACACTTAAGTTACTTTCAAATCAGCTTGATCCTTTTGATGCTTCCTTTTGAGTTTTGTTAGGGTAAAACCAGAGTGACCTTTATTCTGTTGTTAATTTATCATCATTACTGTGACATGATTCCTTTGAGGATGTTACCTAATGCTCCATGTATTTCAAGATCTCTCTACTTTGGCTGGTGAGAATGTGAACTATTTCCAGCTCCATATGAGCTCTGGAAGTTGCTCAGCCTAATCCTTTCTGATTACTGATGACTCTTTTCCTGCCTATGTGGAGTTTCACTCTTTGCATGTGCAAAATAGCAGTCAGTACTAGACATCTCTGCAGCTTTCTGGAACCCTCTGCAGTTTCCTCCTCTCCAATACTTTGCCCAAGTGATAAGTGCCGTGGCCTCTCTGAACTTGGATATCTGTATCCTCAACTCAGCTGGGCCACTGGGCTTGTTTTGGTTCCTCTTCCTGATCCATGTCTTGGAAACTGCTTTTTGGCAGTAAGTGAGGGTAATTTTAAGGCTCATCTTGTTTGTTTTTCTTCTTCTGGGATTATGATTCTGTTGTTCCATATCCGGATGCAGTTGTCTGATGTATTTTGTTAAATTTTCTAGTTGTTTATGGTGGGTGGCCAATTCCTATGTTAATTAATCCTTCATGGGCTAAAGAAGAAGTTCTTCCCAGAATTTTAATTGTTTTGATTGGGAGAGGAGTTTAGGGTGTCTAATCCACTGTACTGCTGGAAAGGGAAGTGTTAGCCCTTCCATGTTATCTTCGTTCTTAGGCAGCTCTCTCAGTGGTCATTTTCAGCACTAGGCTTATATACAACCTAATTAACAAGCCCATAAAAATGTGCCTCTTCTTTATTAGTTTTTGGAAAAGCCTCAGCATTGACTCCACTCATGTAGTTGCCCGCCCCTGAGCAACCACTCTGGTCAGGGGTTGAATATGTTGGTTGGCGAGGCCTGCATCAGGGAGCGGAGTCCATCTTATCAGCATCTCATGACCACATGAGCCGAGTGGGGAAGGATATGTGGTGGGCTGATTAAGGTCCCCCAAAGATGTCCATGTCTGAACCCCTGGAAGCTGTGACTATGTTAACTTATGGAGCAAAAGGGACTTTGAAGATACGATTAAGGATCTTGAGATGAGGAGGTTATCTTGGATTATTTGGGTGGGCCCAATGTAATCACAAGGGTCCTTTTAAGAAGGAGCAAGGAGGGTCATAGATAGAGAAGGTGACATGATAATGGAAGCAGAGGGACCTAGAAAGAGATCTGAAGGTGCTCTGCTGCTGATTTTGGAGATGGAGGATGGGGCTATGAGCCAAGGAAATGCAGGTGGCCTCTTGAAGCTAGAAAAAGCAAGAAAATGAATTCTTCTTAGAACTCCCAGAAGGAACCCATCCTTCTAGTCCATTTTAGGACATACAGTCTCCAGAACTATAAGAGAATAAACGTGTAGTTTTAAAGCCACTATGTTTGGGGTAATTTGGTAGAGTAGCAATAGGAAGCTAATGGAGGGTAATTTTCCAAAGAAAAAGTGTGGACGCTGAGCAGCCAAAACCAATGAATGTCCCCCTACTCTTTTGAGCTTTTTGTAATCACGGTGGCCATGTTTCATAACTCTGAGTGGCACCATTCAAACAGAATACACTGTGAATGGTGCACCCCTGGAGCTGGGCAACATGCAGATCCTGGCCATGAAGATTACATGAGTTAATACTTGAAAACATTTTGAACAATGTCTGGTACATAGTAGTCAATAAAAATTAGCTGTTTTTATGTTGATATTGACATCATTGCATTGTCATCATCAACATTATCATCATTACAGCCCCTTTCTCTGGGTTAGTCTCCTCCTTTGCAAGATGAGAGCGTTAGCCCCAACAATCTGAGGTTCCTTCCAGTCTGATATTCTATAATCCCATGGTTCTTTGACTCTAAAACTGGTTTTGACTAGTTTGAGAAGTGCCACATCACACTGTGCTATTAAAATCATTCTATTTGCAGGCTCGGAGAAACAGAAAAATACATCCAGAAACTAGGGTATCTCCTTCCCTTCGCACCGATTTTAATTCTCATGGATGGCAGTGAGATTTATCAATATGTTTGAAGAGGATATGAAAACCTAACATTTGCATGTATCATTTGTAGTCAGTTCTTCAACTTTAGCTCCCAATCAACCTTAAATGCAGGTTTCTAGATTAATAGTCAGACCTGACGGAACTACATTAACAGATAGTTCAGCTCAAAAACCAATATAAGGGAAAAAACTATTATAGAAGCCAGAGGGATGAACAGAGAGATTGAAATCTTAAAGCTATTCATTTTTCAACAGTTAATATTGCCTAAAAGTGTTGGTATTAATTGTCTTGGAATCATTACATATACACTGGTCTCGTCACTCAAGGAAATTTATTTTAACTTATCACCTTGCAGGCTGAGCTTGCATTTTCCGGGTTTCAGTGGCAAGGACAATTTAATACCATATCTTCAAAGTAATTTTATTTAAATTGTATTTTTGCACTTTCATTTTAAAGTGAGCGTGCCTGATAGTTGAGGAGCCCAAATTGCTCTGAGTCAACTAGTGAAACCTGATTATGAAGACTTAATAAGAAAAATTTGAAAACTAACTTGAATCTCCATCTTTTCTCCATAGCCAAACACCTTCACTGGCTAAGAGTATGGGCCCTGGAATCAGACTGCCTGGGTTTTGATCCTAGAACCATCATTTTCTTTTCTCTTTCTTCTTCTTCTTTTTTTTTTTTAGAATGAGTTTTGCTCTTGTTGCCCAGGCTGGAGTGTAATCTCCACTCACTGCAACCTCTGCCTCCCGGGTTCAAGCAATTCTCCTGCCTCAGCCTCCTGAGTAACTGGGATTACAGGCATGCATCATCACACCCTGCTTATTTTGTATTTTTAGTAGAGACGGGGTTTCTCCATGTTGGTCAGGCTGGTCTCCAACTCCCGACCTCAGGTGATCTGCCCGCCTTTGTCTCCCAAAGTGCTGGGATTACGGGCAGGAGCTACGGCGCCTGGCCAGAACGATCATTTTCTAGCTGTGTGATCTTGGCCTAGTTACTTAACCTCTCCTTGCCTCAGTTTGCTCATCTGCAAACTAGGGATACTATTAATACTTACCTCATAGTGTTATTTAGGAGGATTAGATGAGATAGTATGTGTAAAGTGGTCAAAGTGGTGCCAGCACACAGTATGCACTCAAGAAATGTTAGCTACAATAAATGTTAGCTATTACCACTTTGGATATACAGTCCCATTAAGTCAAAGACATATAAGTCTAAGCATGGTGTTACTGCATCCCCCGCCCCCATAGTAGCTGTGAGCTTTGTAATCATGGAGGACAACTTGATGAGGACACTGACCAGTCCGATTTTCAGAAACATGAGAAATCTTCCTGAAGCCAGTCTATTACATGAAGGCAGCAAAATGAAGCATGTCAAATAATATATATTGCCCACGACTTTTGTAAGTCACTCACTCAGATGTTGTTTCATTCATTCATTCATTCACTCATTCATTTACTTACTCAAGAAGTACTTATTGAACTCCTACTCTGTGGCAGGCATTATGCTAGGTGCTGGGGACTCATTGGTAAACTACCTGGATATGGTCCTTTTCTTTTGGGAGCCTACTTGGTGATACAGACAAAAAAGTGAGTAATCAAAGTGAAAAATTTGAAAAATCACGATAAGTGATGCGGAAAATGGACAAGGTGCTCATGGGAATAGTGGGAAGAAGGGCTGTTTGAGATGAAAGAGTCCAGAGGGCAGTTTTCTCTGAGTAGGTAGCATTTAAACACACCTGAGGGGTGGGAAGCACCAGCCCATGAAGACGGAATTTCATTGCAACATTTCACAATCTTCCTCAACACTTTCTCTCAACACCTTAATGATCTATATTGTGTGATGGGGATGACTAACATTAAACGGAGATGGGGGCCGGGCATGGTGGCTCATGCCTGTGATCCCAGCACTTTGGGAGGCTGAGGTGGGTAGATCACTTGAGGCCAGGAGTTTGAGACCAGCCTGGCCAAAATGGTGAAACCCTGTCTCTACTAAAAACACAAAAAATTAGTTGGGTGTGGTGGCGGGCGCCTGTAATCCCAGCTACTTGGGAGTCAGAGGCATAAGAATTACTTGAACCCTGGGGGATGGAGGTTGCAGTAAGCCAAGATCATGTCACTGCACTCCAGCCTGGGTGACACAGTGAGACGCTGTCTCAAAAAAAAAAAACAAAAAAAAGCAAAGAGAGTTGGGAAGATTGACTATAGCCTGTGATTTTCGCTTCCACTTAGGGGTCTCTCCTTGGATGTCTCCTCATCTTTGCCTTGTGAGGTCTTATAATCTCTTTTACTTGCTCCCATGAGCACTGAAGGAACCAGACTTTATTTTGTGAGACAGAGTCTCCCTCTGTCACCCAGGCTGGAGTGCAGTGGCACAATCTTGGATCACTGCAACTTCCACCTCCCAGGCTCAAGCAATCCTCCCACCTCAGCCTCCCAAGTAGCTGGGACCACAGGCACGTGCCACCATGCCTGGCTAATTTTTGTATTTTTTGGTAGAGACAAGCTTTCACCATGTCAGCCAGGCTGGTCTCAAACTCCTGACTTTAAGTGATCCTCCTGCTTCGGCCTCCCAAAGTGCTGGGATTACAGGTGTGAGCCACCGTGCCCAGCCCAGACTTTATTTTGTAGCTGATCTTCATAGGATTGGCTTGGATGCCTCCTCAGGTCCTACATAGGTAGATAAAATGAATCAGCACATGTTTAGTTACAAGTGGCAGAAAACCCAACACAAACTGGCTTGAACAAATAAAGGGGCTGGGTGCAGTGTGCAGTGGCTCATACCTGTAGTCCTAGAACTTTGGGAGGCTGAAACGGGCAGATCACTTGAGGTCAGGAGTTTGAGACCAGCCTGGCCAACAGTGAAACTACTTCTCTACTAAAAATACAAAAATCAGCCAGGCATGTTCATGCCTGCCTGTAATCCCAGCTACTGGGGAGGCTGAGGCATGAGAATCGCTTGAACCTGGGAGAGGGAGGTTGTAGTGAGCAGAGATCATGCCGCTGCACTCCAGGCTGGGTGACAGAGTGAGACCTTGTCTCAAAAAAAAAAAAAAAAAAAAAGGAATTTATTGACTCCCATTACTGGAAAGTTCAGGGGTAGTGTTCAGATACAGCTGGATCCAGGATCTTCAACACTCTGGGTGGGAATCTGTCTCTTATCATGTTTTTGAACTTTGCTTTTCTTTGTGTTGGCTTCATTGAGAGACAGGCTCTATGCCTGCATGTGGTAGGTTCCAGCAGATCCTTGTGTATATCCTTCTAAGTTCAAGTCCAGAGTAAAGAAAGCTCTTCCCCTAATGCTCCACTCAAAGTTCTGGTTGACTCTGGTTAAATCACATGTCCAATCCAGAACCAGTGACTGCAGCTAGGCTAAGGTATGAATTGAAATTCATCACTCCTGGAACTTGGTGCAGTTAGCTTTGACTGAACCACATGAAGCAGGAATACAAGAGAGGTGGTTCTCCAGAGGAAGTTATGAATGATGAATAGCCACTGTGCTAGAATTATGGAGACTTATGTGTCAGCCGCCTTAAATCAAGGCTTAGTTTAAAATAGTTTAACACCAAAGCATTTTGTGTGCTACTCTTGGAATTGAAGAGTAAACATTGGAATTGAAGGGGTGAACATATTTCTGTAGGACCACAGAGGAAGAAAAAATCATTAAGGGGTAAACATATTTCTGTAGGACCATAGAGGAAGAAAAAATCATTCTGGCTGAAACCTCATGAAGAAGGTGACATTTGAGTTGAACCAAAGAAAAAAAAAAAAGAATGTCTGCACTTGGAAGTGCAGAAGGGCATTTCAGATGAAAGGACTGGTTTGAACAAAGGCAAAGAGACAGGAAATTATAAGGTTTTGTTGGAGGTTGTGGAAAGGCTGGGTGCGGTGGCTCATGCCTATAATCCCAGCACTTTGGGAGGCCGAGGTGGGTGGATCACTTGAGGTCAGGAGTTTGATACCAGCCTGGGCAACATGGTGAAACCCCGTCTCTACAAAAAATACAAAAAGCCAGATGTGGTGATGTGCACCTGTAATTCTAGCTACTTGGGTGGCTAAAGCACGAGAATTGCTTGAACCTGGGGAGGTGGAGGTTGCAGCGAGCTGTGCCACTGCACTCCAGCCTGGGTGACAGAGCAAGACTCCGTCTCCAAAAAACGAAAAAAAAAAAAAAAAAGGGAGAAGAAACGTTGTGGAAAAAGATGCTGGAAAAGTTTGGATCCTGATGCAGAAGAAGTTGTATGTCCAAACTGTCTGAGGGTCATAAGAGTGACTGAAGGAAATAAGCAGCAGACACACAGGACACAAGTGCCTTTAATATTGGTGAAGGATGTAAGAGATTCGTTGCCTGAAGACACTTCCATAGATTAGGGGACATACTCAGTTGAAGTAGTATCTTAAGGACATGAACTTGGATGCAGAGGCCAGGATGGTTTGGAGTGGGGATTCCAGAGGAGTAGGATGGGAGATCAGTCAGGAGACTACAGCAACAGCTTATTTATCCCCTCAGGCCTGGGGACCTTGATCATTCCTGGATGGTTTATCTTTTATTCTTACTATTTTTTAGGCTGAATCCATTTTGCAAGGGTACCTGGATGATTCAGGATACAGTATCCAGGACCTGAAGAGCTTTCATTTGGTAGGACTTGGTGCAACCCTGTGTGCTATAAACATCACTGAAATCCCACTTATAAAGATCTCAGAATTCAGGTAACTAAAATATGAATGTGCAAAATGGCAAATGGGTTAATTCATCCATCCATCCATCCATCCATCCATCCATCCATCCATCCATCCATCCAGATATTCCACCTCCTGACACTTGGCACCTTTCTGGGCTAAAATCCCACTGGGCTAATGGGATAAGCTGGATCTGCTGTCCCTGCTGAGCCTACTGTGCAGTGTGTGTGTGTATGTGTGTGTGTGTGTGTGTGTGTGTGTGTGTTTGTTTGTTTTTGGCTGAAGAGTCCAAGCTCATATTATATCCCTCCCTCTTTAACCACTACCAGGGTGGTAGTGGCCAGAATTGGGACCCTGCTCTGCAGCACACATGTCTTAGCCGAGTTTAAGAGGAAGGCTGAAGTTGTGTTTGGGGATCCCACTGAGTGGACCAGTTCTGTCTTGCAGGAGCTTGGGACCATTGCAGGTAAGACTCACCCTGAGCATACCTTTCTCTCTCTTTCCAAACTTAAATGTGGGGACACAAAATAAAACATTATCCTTGGCCATGTGTAGCAAACATCAGTGGCGTTACAGTAGAACCTACATTTCATGATTTGAAGTTGCAGAGGGTGGGTCTGCAAATCTGCTTTTAAAACAAGCTCTTTTGGAGATTCTTGTGTACACTAAAGTTTGGAAAACCGCTAGTTTAGAATGTGATTTAATTGGCCCCTAAGTAGGTTTATACAAAATTTGAAAGTGTGTAAATTGAAGTTCCTTCTGGGCATGCGTTTCACTGTAGGAGGCCAATCAGGGCTAATGTGACCCACATTTTTTTTTTCTGAGTTGATGAAGGAACTTGATTCCCCAGTGTGATTTCCAGGGCCTTTTGTAAGGAATGATGCCTGCCTAGAACACTCAGATCTGAGCATTATGCAGCACCATTAATAAAACAAGCGGAGTTCTGATGGCTTGAACTAAACCCCCGTGATTCCTTTTTCTCCCCAGCTGGATTAACTAAGGCAGAGCTCCGGATGCTTGACAAGGATTTGATGCCATATTTCCAGCCATCAGCAATAAAATGCCTTCCTGATGAGATATTCAAAGTAGGTGCTCAGTTCTTCAAGGAGAAATGGGAGCTTGACCCCATTTCAAATCACACAGGGAAACAGGTGATGGGCCTTGGAATTTAGAGGCTTGTGACCAGGCTCTGCTGATGGGGTCAGAGGAGATCTGTGTGAGTTTAGGTGTTTTTAAAAAACATTTTTTCTTAAAATTACAATATGTAGTTTAATTATATTTATTTTTACGGTCATCTTCTCTTCTTCTAGCAGGTGGTACTGATTTTCTACTTATGGTGGTATGACAGGTTCATAAACCCTTACGAAAACCCCTGGGGACAGATATAGTTCAGAATTCAGAATTTCTCAGATTTTGAAAAGATCACCCTGTACATTTACTGTATGTAACTTCATACCCCCAGCAGTGTCTGGGGAAGCACCTTGTAAGCAAACACATTAATATTTCTGTGAAGAAATCTGTGACAAGCCACACTAATTGGAATAAATAGAGACTATAAATAAATAGCCTCACATTACTTCAGGTCAAGTTTTGCTGATAAATAAGTTTGACTTAAACTTTGGGGGAAAACTTGCAGTTTTCAGATTATTTTTGGACTTTGGAATTGCAGATGAGGGATTGTGGACCTCTGTAACATTTCCTTTTAAGATATAATTAAATAAAAATATTTTAGTTGATTTAGGTCAGGCATGGTGGCTCACATCTGTAATCCCAACATTTTGGGAGGCTGAGACAGGCCAATCACCTGAGGTCAGGAGTCTGAGACCAGCCTGGCCAACGTGGTGAAACCCCATCTCTATGAAAAATACAAAATTAGCTGGGCGTGGTGGTGGATGCCTGTAATCCCAGTTACTTGGGAGGCTGAGGCAGGAGAATCACTTGAACCCGGGAGACAGAGGTTGCAATGAGCCAAGACCACACCATTGCACTCCAGCCTGGGCAACAAGAGCGAAACCATCTCTCTCTCTCTATATATATATATTTTTTTCTATATATATATATTTTTAGTTGATTTAAAGAAAAGTATTAGGAAAATCACAAGAGGACAGGTGAAAAACTGCTATGAAAAAATTGAGAGGGTGAAATTGGATCATTTGAAGGAAGGGAAGCAGGGTATCTAATGACAGGTCCTTTTTTTCTGTCTGTATACAAGATTAGGGGAGTGTTTGGTGGGAATAGTCTGCTCTGATGAGGAGGCAGTCATTCTGGTGTTCCTGTTTGCTGCGTAATGTGGGAACACATTTTGTCCAGCACTTCTGGATAAAACACACAAACCAGGCTCGACAAACTCCCCCAGTGCCACATCACTTGTTCATTTCAAGAAAGATAGCTGAGGCCGGGTGCAGTGGCTCACACCTGTAATCCCAGCACTTTGGGAGGCCGAGGAGGGTGGATCACGAGGTCAGGAGATTGAGACCATCGTGGCTAACATGGTAAAACCCTGTCTCTACTAAAAATACAAAAAAATTAGCTGGGGTGGTCACATGTGCCTGTAGTCCCAGCTACTCAGAAGGCTGAGGCAGGAGAATGGTGTGAACCCTGGGGGCGGAGCTTGCAGTGAGCCAAGATCGCTCCACTACACTCTAGCCTGGGCGACAGAGCGAGACTCTGTCTCAAAAAAAAAAAAAGAAAGCCAACCTTCAATCACTTCAGCATCCTGGACAGTTCCGAGCACATTGCAGGCATAATAGCTGTTTGAGGGCAATAAATAGCAGTCCTCAAAGCCATTGAGCAAATACCTGCTTCCCCTCTGGGGCACTCTGCATGGGACAAGCAGCTTGGTCTTGGATGCTGGCATTTTGCTAAGCACTTTCTCTTGGTCTTGTTTGGAGTGCTGTTGTGCTGCTTCCTTGTACAGGTATTTATCTATTCCAGAAATCCCTACTGATCACCTACATTGTGGCAGGCTCCAGGGTAGGTGCACCTAAGGATGCACAGGTGAAGGGGTTATCACATAGTGCCTTCAGGGGCCTAAAAGGTAACATAAGGTGCAGTAGGCTGGGTAGAGACCGAAGTGAACTGGAGAGCCTTGTCTAAATGTGGAGGCTGCTTCTCATTCCTAGCACATTCATGCAGTGTGGCCATGTGGGCCCAGGATTGCTGAATTTTCCTTTTCACTTTTTTCGAGAAGAAGTCAGAAATCTTCATTTTCATATGGAATTGCTTGATAATTAAATGTTGGCAGCCAATCTGAATTTATTTTTGAAAACACAGTGCCGTAGGCCTAGAGATTCAATCTGGCCTGTGGGTCGCAAGTCAGCAACATTGATAAAAGAGATAATTTTTAGAATACAGACTCTGTGTTAATGGTATATGGAAGCCAAAAAAGTACCTCTCTGACCACCCCACCGTGTGTGTGTGTGTGTGTGTGTGTGTGTGTGTGTGTGTGTGTGTGTGTAGTGAGAGGAGAGGAGGTGATGCTGAATTTTAATTTTTTTGAGACAAAGTCTCACTCTGTTGCCCAAGGGAGTGCAGTGGCACAATGATGGCTCACTGCACCCTTGATCCCCTGGGCTCAAGCAATCCTCTCACGTCAGCCTAAGTAACTAGGACTACACACTTGGCTAATTAAAAAAACTTTTTGTAGAGAAGGGGGGTCTCACTGTGTTGCCCAGGCTGGTCTCGAACTCCTGAGCTCCGTTAATCATTCTGCCTCAGCCTCCTAAAGTGCTGGGATTGTAGGCATGAGCCATGGCGCTTGACCGACCAGATGCTGAATCTTGGAGAACAGCTGGCGATGAAGAAGAAACAGTGTTCCAGGCAGAAAGAGGTGCACAGGAAGATGCTGCCTCTAGGGAACTGTAAATATTGGCACCCACTCTCCTGGAGTGAAGAATGCCATGTGTGAGGCTGGAGAGGTGGGCAGAGTTTTTTCCAGGAGCCTGAACTGTGTTCTGGAGTGGGGTTCCTGGAAGGGCTTTACACAGAGGGATATGATTCCAGGGAAGTATCTACCTGGACAAAAGAGGAGGAGAGGGTGACTGACAGGAGAGGAAGGGATGAGGGAGCATAAGCATCTTTCCCAGATTCTTCAGGGCCTTTAGAAAATAAACATGATGATATAGAGTCCCCTTCGTATTCCAGTCCCATTGGAACGAGTCACCAAGTCCTTTGATCTGGAAGTGACTTCAGAAGACACCTTGTTCACAGTCCTTGAAGACATAGTCTGGCTGGCAGAATTTCCAACTCATGTTGTCCATAGCAGATATCACCAATAGATGACTGCATTTTCCCTCCATGGAGCCCTCACAGAGCTCATCACATGGTGCTCAGGCAGTCAAACCAAAGGATCAGAATCAGTCAGCAGAGGAGATGAGTTCTCTATGCCGTCTCACATTTATCCCCAAAGCCCACGGAGGCTGTGTAATTTGTTCAAGGTGACACAGCAAGTATGTGGCAGAGCAGGGGCTCGAATTCAGGCCTCTGATCTTTAAGGCCTGTGTTTCCCCCTCCATATCAGTGTTTCAGGAGGTGGAAGACTTGAAGCACTGGGAAGCTGTCCTGCATTGCATTAAACAACATTGCCACATAGGGAGGAAATCATGCTTCCCTTTTCAACTCTCCATTAGTACTTCTAAATACCTCAAGAAGGAAGTGTCAATTTAACCCTGTATAGTACATTTTATATTCTCTCTCTCTCTCTTTTTTTTCCAAGAGGCCAGGGGTTCAGATATTGTTGGCGGACAAATCTAGCTAGGATTCAACAATATTGTTTTATTTTTATTTTGCGGCTCCTATTTAATGCTTGCTTATGGCAAGTCTGCCGGCTTTCCATTTTTGGAAACTTCCATTTTAAATTTTCTATTTTTAAATGCATTTACTTTGGTAGTGCAAGAGTGATCTAATTTTAAGGAAATATCTTAAAGAGGACCACACATGATACACACAAGGGGATGGCAAAGTTGTGTGCATCCTGCGCGGACGCCCGAGATGTGGGAAATCCGGGGAGGGGCCCCGTGTGAGGGTGCTGCCCCTTTGCCTCCTGCAGGAGCTGTCCGCGGAGCAGATCGCCTCCCTGGGTCCGGAGAACGCCGCGGCGGTGACCCACGCCCAGCGCCGGCGGCTCAGTCCACTGCAGCTGCAGAGCCTCCAGCAGGCGCTAGATGGCGCCAAGACTCACTCCTGGCAGGACGCGCCCGCTAGCGCCGGTCCCACTAGAACCTCATCCTCGCGTTCTCCCGCAGGTGAGCAGAGCCGCCCTCTGCCCCGCGTCCCAGCCCCACTCTCCTTCCTTGTCCTCCCTGTCAGGCCTGGGGTGGGGAGGTTCTTAAGATTCAGAGCGAGGTCTCTGACAGTCACTGGGGATTCTGCCCTCAGTGAAAAACCCAAAGTCCCTATCAAGCTTCCCTACCAAGCTTCAGAATTAGTGATTCTCAACTATGGCTGCCCTTGGGTGGGGGGCATTAAACATCTTCCAGTTCTCCCGCCCCTACCCAGAACGCATAACATCAGAAACTCAGGACTAATTTCATTTTAGCCGCTCCTTTGCAAACTCCCTCCTCACTATCCAATAATAATGAACTATTATTATTATTATTATTTTGACTCAGAGTCTCGCCCTGTCGCCCAGGCTGGAGTGCAGTGCCGCGATCTCGGCTCACTGCAACCTCCACCTCCCAGGCTCAAGCGATCCTCCCACCTCAGCCTCCCAGTAGCTAGGATCACAGGTGTGTGCCACCACACCTGGTTAATTTTTGTATTTTTAGTAGAGATGGGGCTTCACCATGTTGGCCAAGCTGGTCTTGAACTCCTGACCTCAGGTCATCTGCCCACCTCAGCCTCCCAAAGTGTTGGGATTACAGGCGCGAGCCACCAAGCCTGGCCTGTCCAATATTAATTAATTCAACCCATGTTTACTGGGCACCTACTATGTTCCAAGTCCGCAGTAGGGGCTGGGAATACAGAGGTGACCAAGATAGATAAGGCCCTCTTGTAAATGAAGAAGATATTTCAAATCTGACAAGACCAGGGAGGGTGATAGTGACTGAGGGCTGAGCTAAGATAGAGAAGCCTCCCCAGGGAGTGGCATTGGATCCTGGGAACATGGCCTTCTTTCCTTTTTCTCCCCCATGCCTTTCTTACAGCTCTCCCCATTTCCCCTTCACTTTCTCACTTCTTTGTGATAACTTCTGTTCTTAACACCACATTTGGACCATGCTCTGGGGAGATAGCTTCTAACAAGATGGGGAACAGAGATGTTCCCTACCCTCATTGAGCTCTCAGTGCAGCCTGGCGGGGAGGGAAGACATGTACCCTGGTGAACATGAGGCAGGTGCTGGGTGCTGAGATGGGGAACACACATGGGTCAGGAAACCTCCTAAAGTCAGTGATGTCTCAGGTGAGACACAAGGTGAGAAGAAGATGGGCTTAGCGAGGTAGACAGTGTCTCAGGAGTAGGTACCGGCATGGGCAAGTGCCCAGAGAAGTCAGAGGACTTGGTGCTTGACTAAAACCTCCACTCCACCTTTTCCTGACTTGAATGTCTCCCTGTCCTGCCTTCACATAGGGATGGTGAATTGGAGTATTCCCCATTTCTACAGCCACAAGTGGCCAGAGGTGGCACTTGAAAACATAAATCATGCCTTTTGATGTATTATATTATTACTTTAAAACACTTTTCATTGAGGCTGGGCACATTGGCTCATGCCTGTAATCCTAGCACTTTGGGAGGCCGAGGTGGGCGGATCACCTGAGGTCAGGAGTTTTGAGACCAGCCTGGCCAACATGGCAAAACCCCGTCTCTACTAAAAATACAAAAATTAGCCGGGTGTGGTGGGGGGCACCTGTAATCCCAGCTATTCGGGAGGCTAAGGCAGGAGAGTTGCTTGAACACTGGGGGCAGAGGTTGCAGTGAGCTGAGATCATGCCAGTTCACTCCAGCCTGGGCAAAAGAGCAAAACTCCATCACAAACAAACAAACAGCAACAAAAAAAACTTTCCATTGAAATATGATATGCATATATTTGAAAGTTATTTGTAAATGTTATAGCATTTTGCATGAATAGATAATATGTGCAATAGATAATGCACAGGGTTCCGAATATATAAAGTCTGCAAGGCATGTGGTGAAATCTTTTCCTCCAGCCCCTGTCCCCCAGCCACCCTGTTCCCTCCCCAGAGGCAACCAATGTTAGCAGCTTCTTGTGTATTTGTCCAGAGATATTCTATGCATACACAGCAAATCAAATATAGATGATCTCTGCACTTTTCACAAAAGCTTATTATACACCTTATTCTGCACCTTGTATTTTTCACCTAACAATATACTTTGGAGGGAGTTCTGTATCTGTGCACAGGAGCTGTGCCATTGTTGGTTTTATGGCTATGCCGTAACTGTATTCAACCAGAGGTCTGTAGATGGACCTTGCAGTTGTTTCTATTTTTTTTTTTTTTTTGCTGTTATGAACAATGCTGCAGCTCCTGACCTGATATAATTTGCATCTGTGCAAGTATGTCTGTAGGATAAACTCTTCAAAGTGAGATTGCTAGATCACAGGGTCTGCATTTATAATTTTGATGGATGTTGGTCGGATGTGGCAGCTTATGCCTGTAATCCCAGCACTTTGGGAGGCTGAGGCAGGTGGATCACTTGGGGTTAGAAGTTTGAGATGAGCCTGGCCAATATGGTGAAACCCCGTCTCTACTAAAAATGCAAAAATTAGCCAGGTGTGGTGGCACATGCCTTAGTCCCAGTTACTAGGGAAGCTGAGGCAGAGGAATCGCTTGAACCTGGGAGACAGAGGCTACAGTGAGCCGAGATGGCGCCATTGCACTCCATCCTGGGTGACAGGGCGAGACTCTGTCTTAAATTTTTTTTTTTAATGGATGTTGTCAAATCCCCTGCAGAAAGGTGTGACCAGTTTTCCCTTGAAACAGCAGTGTCAGAAAGTGATGAGGGCCCCTTAAAAAGATGTTTCCTGCATGTCCCTGGCTGGGCAAGATCCTGGATGCCCCTCCTTCATTCACCCCAAGGGCCTAAGTGAGGGCTGCCATTGGATGAACCCTTCCTATGGACCAGAGCCCTAATCTTTTCTTTCCTAAAGTTGCTTAATTATCAGAATCACCTGGGAGAGATGCTTAAAATACAAATTCCTGGGTCTCCTGGCAGACTTGCTAAATCAGAATCTCCAGGGGATCCTGGAATTGGTGTTTCTAACAAGCTCCCTAGTACATGCTGACTGACACAATCTCATTTAATTCTCACTCCCCCACCCCTCCTCCTCTTTGGGGATCATTGTTCCCATTTAAGAGACGAACAAATCAAGGCTCTGCATCAAGTGGCCCCAGAGAGAGACTCGGGGAGTTGGACATGATGTGTCTACCTTCTGCTTGCTGCCAGAACTTCATGTGTACTCTTATTTTGTATTTGCTTTTAGGAGCTCTCCAGTCGTGGGGTCTTTGGCTTGGTTGTCCCCTGCTGGTTCTAATGGCCAAGCTCCTGTGGTGAGTGGCCTGAGCGCATCGTCCTGTGTTGCCCCAAGCAGCTGGCCAACGTGTGTAGAGACAGGATGCTCCAGATGGTGGGACACCCTTCCCTGGATCCAGACCCTCATCTAGGGCAGGGAAACCCTGGGGCCTTGATGGTGAAAATGCACCCCAAATGAAAAATAATTATTAAAAATGATCTTGCAAATTATTTTTAATTTTTTTAAATTTTAATTTTCATTAGTACATAGTAGGTATATATATTTATGGGGTACATGAGATGTTTTGATACAGGCATGCGATGTGTAATAATCACATCATGTAAAATGGGGTATCCATTACCTCAAACCTTTATCCTTTGTGTTACAAACAATCCAATTGTACTCTTTTAGTTATTTTAAAATGTGCGATTAAATTATTATTGACTATAGGGTCGGGTGCAGTGGCTCATGCCTGTAATCCCAGCACTGTGGGAGGCCGAAGCAGGTGGATCACCTGAGGTCAGGAGTTCAAGACCAGCCTGGCCAACATGGTGAAACCCCATCTCTATAAAAATACAAAAATTAGCTGGACATGGTGGTGTGCGCCTGTAATTCCAGCTACTCGGGAGGCTGAGGCAGGAGAATCGCTTGAACTGAGGAGCCAGAAGTTGCAGTGGGCAGAGACCATGCCACTGCTCTCTAGCCTGGGTGACAGAGTGACGTTATCTCAAAAAAAAAAAAAATTACTGTTGACTATAGTCATCCTGTTGTGCTATGGAAAAGTAGGTCTTACTCATCTTTCTGTTTTTTTTGTACCCGTTAACCATCTGCCTCCTCCCCACCAACTCTCCCATTACCCTTCCCAGCCTCTGTTCACTCTCCTTCTACTCTATCTCCATGGGTTTAATTGTTTTGATTTTTGATCTTGCAAATTCTTAAGCCCACTCATCTCCTCAGCAGGAAGCCCTTCTCTGTCCCATTGCAGCCTCTTTTGTTTTCCAGCTTGGAGACAGAGAACCTGTGGGGAAGGAAGGGTGTTTTCTGTTAACAGCACGAGACCCTTACAATCAAGTTGCTGCCCTCACTTTAGAGAGATACCAGAGAGAGGCAGTGCAAGAAAAGGCACCATTTTAGCCAGGGCCTCATCTAGTTTCTACTTGGGCTTAATTTCACTTTCTTGAAGCTACAGGCTACATTGGATTTCTCCTCTACGATATTTAGCAGAGCTGAAATAAATGAATCCCTGAGCAGAAGCCAATATTCTTGCCTGATTGCTGGGACTAATTGATGTTTTGGTGGGCATTGCATTGGTTGGAAGTTAAAACATTTAACATGGCTCAACGTTAAATCAATTTAAAAATACATTTTTCAGGTGTCTTCCATTTCCTTGGGACTCAGCTGAATGGATGGCTGTGAAGTTATCATTAAACTCTCAAAATATTCCCTGTTTTTGGTGGAGATGGTGGTGGCTCTTCTGGTTTTAAGTTGCTCTGGGCTTTGGGGAATTGGTTGAAATAAAAAATAAAAGTACATTGGGTAAGTCAGTCACTGATGTGATCCTGGCGGGCTGAGAAAACTCCACCCACTGGCTCGATCCTGCTAGAATGAAGTTACTTCCGGGAATTGCCAGGATGCTTTTAGCCTTAGGTTTAGGAAGTCAGGGCTCAGGGAAGGGGGGCAGCAGTGGTGTTTGCAAACACCTTCTCGAAGACAGCATCACAGCTGCTTGTCAGGGCGTTTCCCTGGTGGCATCCTAGGTGCTTCTGTTCTGCCATCAGCACACCTTGGGTTCTCCTCCTAGTCACCTATCCACAGTAGACATCTCATCTGGAGGTAAGAAAACTGCATGTTTCCGAAAATCTTGGTGTCCCTAAAAGGCGGTGGATTTTACAAAGCGTCATGAGTAGGTGTTGCAGAGGCTGGAGTGTATTTTCAGAGGTCACGTGGTTTTATAGAAAACTAAGACTGCAGTGTGAAAGGTGTGATCCTGTGATCCTGCACGTGTTATTTAATGTCTGACTTGGTTTTCCTTCATCCTGGCAGGGAAGTAGCAGCAAATGGGTGCTCCTCAGGTACAGAACATTAATTTTTTTTGTTTTTGTTTTTGAGATGGAGCCTCACTCTGTCACCCAGGCTGGAGTGCAGTGGCATGATCTTGGTTCGCTGCAACATCCACCTCCCGGGTTCAAGTGATTCTCCTGCCTCAGCCTCCTGAGTAGCTGGGATTACAGGCATGCGCCACCATGCCCAGCTAAGTTTTGCATTTTTGGTGGAGACGGGATTTCACCACGTTGGCCAGGCTGGTCTTGAACTCCTGGCCTCAAGTGATCCGCCTGCCTTGGCCTCCTAAAGTGCTGAGATTACAGGCATGAGCCACCGTGCTTGGCCCAGAGCATTAATTTTCTTACAAACAGCAGCCCCCAGTTTAGCTGGGCTGGACCAGCTGCTTGGAGAGGGGTTCTTGATGAAAACGTGTCTGCACAGACTCCCATGAGGATGTCCTTGGATCTCAATCGGTATTCTCACTTTCTGCCAGTCTTGGATTATCCTGGACAAGAAAAAGCAAACAGTAACAAAATCCACTCTCCTGCGAGTCAGGCTTCACACTGCCGACTTCATGTAGCTTTTGTATTTCATCTCTCTTTCTGGTCATTTGTTTCTGATCTAATTCCTGTTTCTTTCCTCCCATCTTGAATAATGACTCCCATTACAGAGGGCTGACTCTGGGTCAGGCTGTCTAAGGGCTTTCACTGTGTCATTAGCTCATTTCATTGTGGCCATGCTCCTGCCAGGTAGGCACTGTTAGGATTCCCATTTTCCAGATGAGGGGACTGAGTGTGAGAGAGGTTAAGGAGCTCTTGTCTAAGCTTCCCAGATAGGACAAATTTGAATCCTGACTTCTTTATCTCTGCACTGTGCTGCCTCCTGGACAGGTGTCCTTTAACTTCTCTAATAAGTCAGATCAGAGAGAGATTCTGTAAATCCCTTCACCTCCTCCTCTGGTGGGAGGACAGTTTGCCTCACAGCACATATAATTGGTGATCGCCCCAGGCAGGAAGACAAATCTAGCTGATGCCCTGCAGGAACCCCAGGGTCTCAGGTTGAAATGCACAGTCCTTTGCATGCAGGAAAGCAGCAGGTCACGCTGGCAGGTGCTGCTCCCATTCACCTTTCAATGTCAGCTCTCCTGATGGATTTCTAGCCTCCATCCTTCACAGCCCTCCTCAGCTGGAGGCAGGGATCACTGGCACTTGTATGCAGATCACAGCATGTTGGCTCTGGTTCTTATCAGTCAGGACCTGTGCCATTCTGGCTTCTAAATTTTTTGAATATCACCCCAGTTAGATCCTTTTGCAGAATCTCTACCTTCAGGCCCGCTCCAGACACCAAGCCTGGCTTGATGGGGGCTGCAACTTCAGCCTAACATCCAGTGGAACTTACAATGAAGTTATCCTCTCTAGTCCTGGTACCCAGGGGTTCAGCCACAGCTGCTTGTGATGGGCTGTACTACCAAACAGAGGTTACTGTGTCTTGGGGCATGTGTGTGCTTACTCTGCTTTACTGAAGTCATGGAAGAGAGTTACAACACAGTAAACAACTTAATATTCAATACTAGGCATTTTTTGTCCTTAAAAGTCCTTTGCCCACTTTTGCCTCTTGAGGGGCCTTTAGAAATATTGGGCCAGGCGTGGTGGCTCATACCTATAATCTTAGCACTTTGGGAGGCTGAGGCAGGAGGATCACTTGAGGCCAGGAGTTCATGTCCAGCATGGGCAACATAGGGAAATCCTGTCCCTACCAAAAAAAAAAAAAAAAAAAAAAAAAAAAAAAAAGGCTGGGGGCAGTGGGTGGGTCACTCCTGTAATCCCAGTATTTTAGGAGGCTGAGGCGGGCAGGTATCTGAGCTCAGGAGTTCAAGACCAGCCTGGGCAACATGGTGAAACCTCGTCTCTAGTAAAATACAAAAAATTAGCTGGGAGTGGTTGCACGTGCCTGTAGTCCCAGCTACTTGGGAGGCTAAGCAGGAGAACTGCTTGAACCTGGGAGGTGGAGGTTGCAGTGAGCTGAGATTGCACCACTACATCTGAGTCTGGGCAACAGAGTGAGACTCTGTCTCCAAAAAAAGAAAAATTAGCCCCCGCCTGGTGGCACACACCTGTAGTCCCAGCCACTCAGGAGGCTGAAGTGGGAGGATCGGTTGAGCCCAGAATTTTGAGGCTGCAATGAACTATGATTGTGCCACTGCACTCCAGCCTGGGTGATGGAATGATCTATATCTATCTGTGTATGAGATATATATCTCATATACAGAAAAGCGTAATACAAACTACCTATGGTATTGGAAGAATCCCAGGAATCGTTGGAGGTCTTGAATGAATTTGAAGAGGGTACTCGTTCAAGACTAGTTTAAGACACACATTTTGTAGATGTCCCAACTAGACACTGTGTGGCCTGGGAATATAGATGTAGATAGATATCTATATCTATCTATATATGAGATATATAGCTCTCATATCTTATATATATGAGATATATTTCATATATATAAGAAAATAATATATATGAGATACGTATAACTCATGTATATGATAATATATCATATGTATAAGATAATATATGAGATATATATCAAAGATTATATTTAGATATATAATATATCTAGATTATATATAGATATATAAGCTATATATAATCTTATATATGATATATATTTCTTATAAATATATTATAACATAATATAATTGAAAAAAAGTAAACATTGCAGAATTCCCAGGCCACACAGTATCTAGTTGGGACATCTACAAAGTGTGTGTCTTAAAGTAGTCTTGAACTGAGTACCCTCTTCAAATTCATTCAAGACCTCCAACGATTCCTGGGATTCTTCCAATACCATAGGTAGTTTGTATTACGCTTTTCTGTGGTCGCTTCCCCGATTACTGATTGTTTCAGAAAGAGACATGGGCTTGGCTGATCCATGGAGATATCTGCAGCTTGCCAGCAGCTGAAGTCTTTATTTGCCTTTATCTCCGTTGTGGCCTCTGATGAGCCAGACTACAGAGATGCTGATGAAATCTGGGAGGCAATGGTGGAGGCTGTAGTTTCCCAGGAGAACTCTGGCCCTGGGGAATTCCTTCCAGTCTCTGAGTCCCTGTGGCACATCTCCATGTGTGGCGGACTAGGTGATTGCTCCTAGTGATTCTGCTTAGTTCCTTTATTAGAATTATAAGCTTTTTGCCATGTGACTTTGTAGTACATCTCAATAGGTAGAGTCTAATTCCTTGCCCTTCTAACTTTGGGCTTTGGTCATTGGAATGTGAGCAGACACATTTTCCCCCAGCAGAAGTTTTAAATGTGCTGCATGATTTGACTTGACCTCTTGGCAATTGCTTCTCATGTGAAGGGACATGTGGAGCAGACCTGAACTCAACCCAAACCTTGGAGCCAAGCTGAGCTCAGCAGAACCTAGCTGAGCTCAGCCAAGCCAAACCCAGTGTAATCACAGCCAATCTGAAGACTCAGAAGCAAGAAACAAATATTTGTTATAGGGATCTATTGGGATTTGAGAGCTATTTCTCTTTTTTTAAGTTATTGTTATTTTTTGAGATGGAGTCTCACTTTGTCACCCAGGCTGGAGTGCAGTGGAGTGATCTCGGCTCACTGCAACCTCTGCCTCCTGGGTTCAAGCACCACTAGTGCCTCAGCCTCCCGAGTATCTGGGATTACAGGCAGTGCCACCTTGCTTGGCTAATTTTTGTATTTTTTGGTAGAGACAGGGTTTCGCCATGATGGCCAGGCTGGTCTCAAACTCCTGACCTCAGGTAATCCACCCGCCTTAGCCTCCCAAAGTGCTGGGGTTATAGGCATGAGCCACCGTGCCAGGCCTAGGGAGTTCCTTGTTATTGTAGCAAAAGCTGTCTTATATATCATGTCATTAACATGCCCACCTTACACAGTGCTGGTCCCATTCTGATGACAGGAAGATGATACATTTTATCCTTTACCCTTACCATCATTTACTATGTACACTATGCCCATTTGTCAAGCTCTTCTGCCTCCAAAAAGTGCTATGGTACTTGATACCCGATAATAGTCTTTAACTTCTGTCATGCACCCATTTATTTCCCATCTTCAAGACCAAGGGTCGTAGAAATCACAGGAAAGCTGGGGTCAGAACTTATACTCATAACATGGTTGTTCCACCTACTTTGCCATGGCAGACTTTGTATCTCATGGCTCACTTAACTACTTCCCTTGAGCACTCACTGTTCTAACACTCATTTCCCCCAAATCTACAACTTAGCTTCTCTCCCTGGTGCAGTCAAGGCCCTTTTACCTGGAGTCTCCCAGAAGGATTTTCAGGTCATGTGCTATATTAGCTCATCCTTAGGGAAGAACGTTCCAATTGAAGAAGCCATCTGACTCTCCCCCAGGTGTGTGGTCATCTTCTCTGCTCATGCTGGAAGATGGAAGACCCTTTGAAGTAACTTAGTTCAACAAATCTGCCCTTAAGTTGTCTTCCCCCTGGGGATCTGCCCCATCTTCGTCTTCTCCCTGCCACACCAGGTTCATTGAGAGCTCACTCTCCCCCACGGTCCTCTCTCATGCTCCCTGGCATCTTGCAACAGGGAACTTGAGATGCTGATGGGCAGTTGGGTGGATTCTCAATGGTGGCCAGTCCAGCTCCAGGACCTGCCATACTGGCAAGGGTTTTGGGTTGGAGGAATCGGCATGACAACTCACCAGCCTGTATTCCACCCGAATGTAAGCTTCTGTGGGCAGGAGGCTCATCTGTCTTGTTCGCTGCCATGTTGCTACTGCCAAGCAGTCCCCAGTAGGCTGGTCATGGCTGGTGTCCATTACATATTTGTGCAGCATATGGGTGAACATACACACGTCCTTTCTGAAACAAAATTGAACTCAGTAGGACACTCACTCAGGCAAAGATTGGGAAGCTTTAGATCCATTCTGGAGGAGGGGGAGATAGAATCAGAATATATTCATTTAACAAACATTTATGGGGAACCTACTTTTTTGGCAGACCTCATGCTACAGAAACAACAGTACACAAAGCCCTGCTTTCATGAAGCTTACAGTCTACCGGGGACTGGGAGAGGCGGACCATAAACACACACATGCACACATATACATGTTCACATCCACACACCCCTGTATCAGATAGTGATAAATATTATGGAGCAAAGAAATCTGGAGGAAAGGATCGAGAGCTCCAGATGGTGATGGTAGGGATAGGGGTGGTGCAGAACAAGCTTTAATAAAACATTAGGTGGTCAGTAAAGGCTCTGCCCTCAAGAGGGATACAATCGCTTCTTAAAGGTCCCACCTCTCAATGCTCCCACTTTTGGGATTCAGTTTCAACATGAGTTTTGGGGGGTCATTTGAATCAAAGCACATGGTGTCCACCATCAGCTCTAAGTTTACAGCCTAACACTTCCGCAATAACAAGAAAGAGAGAGAGAGAGAGAGAGAGAGAGAGAGAGAGAGAGATCTTTCCTAGTTACTTCAGCAAAAGTCCCCAGGTTAGGTCTGATTGGGCTTGCTTGAGGCAGGTGCCCATTTCTGATCTGACCACTGTGGCCCAGACAATGGTTACACCAATTGGCCAAGGCTAGGTCTGATTACCCTAAATCCTACCACAAATAACATTGACTGAGCAGGAAAGGACTGATTCCAGAAGAGATCAATTACTAACATGTGGTAGGCAGAATTCTGAGATGGCCCCCAAGATCCCTGCTCCCTGGTGTGCACAATCTGTGCAATCTCCTCCTCTCCAGTGCTGCACAATTAGAGGATGTGATGGAATAGCCCTGCCCTGACTGGGCTACTAGTTAGTTGATTTTGAGTTAATCAAAAGGGAGAGCATCTGGGTGGGCCTGACCTAATCAGGTGCACCTTTAAAAGGGACTAGGCCCTTCCTGAAGTCAGAGATGCTCAAAGTGTGAGAAAGCCTATGGAGAGGCCACAGGGCAAGGACCTAGGTTTGTCTTTAGGAGGTGAGAGAGGTCTCTGGTCGATAGCCAGCAAGAAAAAAGACCTCAGTCATATTGATGCAGGGTAGATGAACTCCAAACTGGGGCTTAGCCTGTGAGGGTTCTTGGCCTTGCCCAGGAAAGAATTCAAGGGCAAGCTGGAGGTAGAAGAAAACAGCTTTACTGAAGCGGTGGTGTTACAGCTCCTGCAGTGTTACAGCTCCATGACGGCTCCTGCAGAGCAGGGCTACCCTGTAACCAGAGAGTGGCATCTCTGGGCAGTTTTGCAGTCATATTTATACCTGCTTTTAATTATATGCAGATTCAAGGGTGGTTTCTGCAGAACTTTCTAGAGAAGGGGTAGTAACTTTAGGTCATCAGGTCATTGCCATGGAAAGGGGTGGTAACTCCCAGGTATTGCCGTGTCAATGGTAAACTGACCTGGCACACTGGTGGGTGTGTCTTAGGGAAAGCTGCTTCCCTCCCAGCTCTGTTTTAGTTAGTCCTGAACTTGGTCCGGTGTCCAAGCCCCACCTCCAGAGTCAAGTCCTGCCTCCTATCTCAAGATAATCAGAAGGAGCGGAAGTCTGAAAACAACCAATCATCCTGGAAGAAGACCCTGAGCTTTAGATAAGACTACAGCTCCAGCTGACACCTTGATTTCAGCCCCATGAGACCCTGAGCAGAGAATCCGGTTGAGCCGTGCTTGGATTTTGACCTATAGAGCTGTGAGATAATACATTTGTGTTGCTTTAGTTGATGCACTTCTGTCAATTTGTTACACAGCAATGAGAACTGAATAAGGGAGAAACAAATGCTGGGTAGACAGAAGCGACGGATGTGCATGAGGAGCTGAGACAGACAGCTGCCTGGAATTGAGCCTTACTTAACCTGGAAGGTATGACTATGTCTGTGAATCCTCATTGGAAGAAGTTTTATTGGTCAGACATCCTGTTCCATGTCAGCCTCTCCCTCTAGGATCTTTTGCTTCCTGCAAGGAGTGGGGCCTGGTATGTTTATCTTTTGCATTTGTCATTCATAGTGACTCAGCATCAATTCATCCTTTCCCACAGTATTGTGAATTTCCTTTGGGGAAGCACACTTTTGGTACTCTCCAGTGGATTAGGTGGCATTAGCCCCACCTTCACTCCAGTGCTGGGCCCTGATTCCCTTAAGTCAATTAGCATACTCCATTCCCCAGGCCATAATGACTGATTCAGGGATGGACCAAAGAGAGCCAGGCTTTGGATTTTTTATTCAACTGTCAGAGTAAAGAGAAAGAACTTCTCTTTCCTCTGCACATGAATTGGGCAGCCATCTTGAAATAGTAAGAAGAGAAGCTTTATAAAGGAATGAAATTAAGAAATGGAGTGAGAAGAATGGAGTTAAGAAATGGTGTGAGGTCAGGCATGGTGGCTGACACCTGTAATCCCAGAACTTTGGGAGGCTTAGGTGGGTGGGAGGATTACATGAGCCCAGGAGTTCGAGACCAGCCCTGGCAACATAGTGAGACTCCCTGTTTCTATAAATAATGAAAAGAATTAGCTGGGCATTGTGGTGCATGCCTGTGGTCCTAGCCACTCAGGAGGCTGAGGTGGGAGGATTGCTTGAGCCTGGGAGGTTGAGGCTATAGTGAGCTGAGATTGCACCATTGCACTCCAGCTTGGGTGACAGAGTGAGATCCTGTTAAAAAAAAAAAAGAGAAAGAAGGAAAGACAAAAAGAAAAAGAAAGAAAGAAGGAAAGAAAAAAAGAAAAAAGAAAGGGTGTGAGAAACACTGGGTCCTGGCAAAAGATGTTGGCACCTGCATCAAACCATACCTGCAGGTTTGCCCCTGGACCTTTCAGTTATATGAACAAATATGGGTTGGATTTCCTTATACTTACAAGTAGTTGGGTTGCTTTCTTTTTTCCTGTTTATTTTTCTTGCTCATGAGATGCACACAAATTGTTTTTTATTATGGGTATAAGTGATCACAAAGTGCCCATTTTCTCTATAACCTGAACAGAGAGAGTATGGGCATCTCAGCTTCACTGGGCCACAGCATCAATCTTTACCCTGAATTCAGCTTTGATGCACCTGAGTGCCTGATGAGCTACAGGGATCCTGTTTCTGAAAACTTTACGTGGGTGACAAAATAGCAAAATAGTGTGTGAGGCCTTTGCCTTGAGACCTGGGTTTGTTCCGGAGACAACTCTAATGGAGGAGAGAGATTTGCTCCTCCCACTCTCCTCGCTGACATTTGGCCTCAGGGGACTGAGTCATACCCGACTGACTCCATGTATATAAGTGTGAATGGCAGTCTGGTAGTCCAACCAGGTGATGCTTCCTGTCCCCGGAGGGTAGCCAATATCATCTCCTGCTTTTCTTCCTTCTGATTTAGCATCACTCAGGGCAGGAATTCTGGGCTGGAGGAGAGGGGCCTATAGTTCTCTTGTATGGTCTGAGTTTGCTCACACAGCAACCTGCTCTTATCTAGTCTGATTTTTTTCAACAGCATCCTGTTGTACCTTGTCATCTGGCTCTGTGGACAGGCCTTTCTGGTCTTCACACTGATGCAGGTTTGTTAGTTTTTTTCCTCCTTGTTAATGTATAGTCAGGAATTTAACATCCTTGACTGTCCTCATCATCGGACACCCTCACTAGTCTTGTCAAGTCTTAGCTATACAAATGAAAGCATGGAAGCTTGGAGGTGATATGTCATGATGCTGAATCCTAGGACTGAGCCCCGTGAATATGCTGTTAAGGTTCTTCAATCCCCACTTGCCTTCTGGGCCTGCCGCTCTTGCAACATCCTTGTGTCATGCTCAAAGACCTTTGCAGTGCCCAGTTCTGTGTTTCCTAACAGCGTCTTTGTTTTGGGTGCATTCTTTGATATTGGATGCTTGAAATGGACTAATCAGGTCCTGGCAGGCAATGGATGCACATTAAAATCAATTACTTGAGGAGAGTTTAGCAAAGAGAGTATTTACAGAAGCATGGACTGGGTTAAATGAAACAAAGGATGTGAGGTACTCTGGAACTGTCAACAGCACAGAGCCCTTACCAACCAGGTCTAAAAGGGAAGGGGAGAGAGACTCCTGGAATCCAGAAAGAACTGTAGTGTGATTACTCAACCTTCCTACCCACTGCATAGACAAAACCAGTTTGCTGAGACTGTGGTATTGCAGTGAAGAAAGAGTTTAATTAACTTGAGGCTGGCCATGTGGAAGAACTGGAGTTATCACTCAAATCAGTCTCCCCAAAAACTTGGAGGTTGTGGTTTTTCTTTTCTTTTCTTTTTGAGGTGGAGTTTTGCTCTTGTTGCCTGGGCTGGTGTGCAATGGTGTGCTCTTGGCTCACCACAACCTCCGCCCCCCGGGTTCAAGTGATTCTCCTGCTTCAGCCTCCCAAGTAGCTGGGATTACAGGCATGTGCCACCATGCCCGGCTAATTTTGTATTTTCGGTAGAGACAGGTTTTCTCCATGTTGGTCAGGCTGGTCTCGAACTCCTGACCTCAGGTGATCCCCTCACCTTGGCCTCCCAAAGTGCTGAGATTACAGGTATGAGCCACCGCACCCAGCCTGTGGTTTTTCAAAAATAGTTTGGTGGGCAGAGGACTAGGCAATGGATGCTGCTGATTAGTTGGGGATGCAATAGAGGTGTGGGAAATGGTCCTGGTGCTCTGAGTCCACCTCTGGGTAGGGGCCACAGGACCAGTTGAGTCATGAGTTACAAGTCCAGGTGGGGTCAGTTATTTGCCAGAATGCAAAGTCTGAAAAACATCTCAAAAGACCAATCCTAGGTTCTATAATAGTGATGTTATCTATAGGAGCAATTGGGGAAGTCACAAATCTTGTGACTTATAGAACAATGGCTGGTTCTAAAACTATGCCTAAGACTATGCCTCCATTTTAGCAGAATTCAGGCCCCTCCCTAATCTTGTGGCCTTTCCTTAGTTTTACAAAGGTGGTTTCAGCCCTGAAACAATGAGGGAATCAGTTTTAGTGGAACACTATTATCATCCTTGCTTTCAAATTAAACTATAAACTAAATACCTATCCAGGTGCAGTAGCTCACACCTGCAATCTCAGCACTTTGGGATGCCAAGGCAGGCAGATCGCTTGAGCCCAGGAGTTCAAGACCAGACTGGGCAACATGGCGAAGCCCCATCTCCACAAAAAATACAAAAAAATTAACATGCGCCTGCAGTCCTAGCTACTCTGGAGGCTGAGGTGGGAGGACCACCCTGAGACCAGGGAGTTCGAGGCTGTGGTGAGCCGTGATCATGCCACTGCACTCCATCCTGGGCGACAGAGTGAGGCCTTGTCTCAAAAAGCAAATAAATAAAATAAAAAAATTCATCTCATGATTAACTTGGCCTATGCCCAGGAATGAGTGAGGACAGTTAGCCTGTGAGGCTAGAAACAAGATGGAGTCAGCAACACCAGATTCTCTCACTGTCATAATCTTTGCAAAGGCAGCTTCAGTAGCTGTGAGAAAGAGCCGCCCAACAAGGGCTGTAGCAGCTTTTCCCAGTGGCGCCAATGCTTCCCTAGTCCAGGCTCTGGGGAATTCTCTCTTGGAAGACGCAGCAGGCTGGAGTTGAGGGTGGGGACTTTAATCCTCCTCTGCACATTGCCAGGAACCACCTTTTCCCTTCCAGAGCAGACTTTCATTTTAAAAGCTATTTTGTGTTCATCTTCTGAAAGCCCATGTGTTTGCTCATTTCCAGGAGAATTTTTATGACTTCTACACTTTTAAAAAGCTCATGTGAAGCTGCCTGGCTTTCTGTCTAGGTTTTGGATACTTTCTTCTTGCGCCTCCAAATCCGCTGTCCGTTCTTCTCAACTCTGGTGTGCCCAGGGAGCCAGACTGGCCAGTGGGGACCCAGTAGGAGATTGGAGGGTGGAAGGGGAGGTCAGGGTATTTATTCCTTTGGCTTCTTTCCTTCCGGGCTGAGAGTTTGCAGTAGCTCAGTTTCTCCCTAAAGGCCACAGTTCCTGTTGGGCAGTTCTGTCTTACAGCGACAGCTCTCTCTGGGTTCCAGGATTCTCTCTCTCTCTCTCCTTCCCTTTTAGACCCCACTGTTGATAATACCAGCGTGCTCCACATCCTTGTTTTCTCTTAATCCTGTCCACACTTCTGTAAATAATCTCTTTCCTAAACTGTCCTCAATTACCCCATTGGAGTGTGCATCTGTTTTTTGCTGGGGCCTTGATTGCTCCATTTCAAACACCCAGTGTCAAAGAATTCACCCCTGAAGGCTGCAAGGGGAACCTCAGGGAAGCTTCTGCAATGTCTCTCTGTTTCCAGGTGGTAGTCCACCTCCGGCGTAGCCTGAACCAGGTCAATTAATGCTGCCTATTTTATATGATCAAGTTTGTCATTGAGGTCGTGAAGATGCATACCTCTTACTTCTGGCTTGGGGACAGTTGGGCACTGCCCCGTAGTTAATGACTGTGGATACAGTTCTCAAATTAATCTGGGTGTCAGCTGAGTCCATCAGCCAGTGAGTAGCCCCTGATTGCATGGCCAAGGAAAACCAAAACTTCACCAGGGTTTCTGCAAATGACTGTCTCAGGACTCCTTCTGGTTGCATGCTATCGATGTACCTCCTTGCCCCAGGTGTGAATCCTCTGAAATAATTCATAGTGGAACATTGTGGTAGACAGCTTCTAAGATGACCCCAAATGATCCCTGCCACCTCATATTCACGTCCTTTTGTGACCCCTTGCCCTGACTGTGGGCTGGACCTAGTGACTAGCTTTTATTTTTTTATTTTCACTTAAAAAATAATTTCTCGGCCAGGTACGGTGGCTCACGCCTGTAATCCTAGCACTATGGGAGGCTGAGGCGGGCGGATCACGAGGTCAGGAGTTCAAGACCAGCCTGGCCAACATAGTGAAACCTTGTCTCTACTAAAAAAAAAAAATGCAAAAATTAGCTGGGTATGGTGGTGCGCTCTTGTAGTCCCAGCTACTTGGGAGGCTGAGGCAGGAGAATCGCTTGAATCCAGGAGGTGGGGGTTGCAGTGAGCTGACAGTGAGCTGTCTCTTTTTTTGAGACAGGGTCTTGCTCTGTGGCCCAGGATGAGTACAGTGACACAATCACGGCTCACTGCAGCCTTGAACTCCTGGGCTCAAGCAATCCTCCCACCTCAGCCTTCCAAGTAGTTGGGACCACAGGTGCACATCACAATGCCTGGCTAATTTTTAATTTTATTGTAGAGAGGAAGTCTCCCTATGTTGCCCAGGCTGGTCTTGATTTCCTAGGCTCAAGTGATCCTTCTGCCCCAGCCTCCCAAAGTGCTGGGGTTACTGGCATGAGCCACTGCGAACAGCCTATAATTTCAACTTTTATTTTAGATGTAGGGGATACATGTGCAGGTTTGTTACATGGGTATGTTGTCTGTTGCTGATGTTTGGGGTATGACTGGTTCTGTCATCCAAATAGTGAGCATAGTTTGTCAGCCCTTTTGTCTCTCCCTTTCTCTCTCATCTAGCAGTCCCCGTTTTTTTTTTTTTTTTTTTTTTTTTTTTTTTTTTTGAGACAGAGTCTTGCTCTGTTGCCCAGGCTGGAGTGCAGTGGCATGATCTTGGCTCACTGCAACCTCCACCTTCCAAATTCAAGTGATCCTCATGCCTCAGCCTCCTGAGTAGCTGGGATTACAGGTGCTTGCCACCACGCCCTGCTAATTTTTGTATTTTTAGTAGAGACAGGGTTTTGCCATGTTGGCCAGGCTGGTCTTGAACTCCTGACCTCAAGTGATCCGCCCAGCTTGGCCTCCCAAAGTGCTGGGATTATAGGTGTGAGCCACCATGCCCAGCTGTAGTCCCCAGTTTTTATTGTTCATATGTTTATATCCATGTGTACCCAACGTTTAGCTCTTGCTTATAAATGAGAACATGCAGTATTTGGTTTTCCATTCCTACGTTAATTCACCTAGGAAAATGGCTGCCAGCTGCATCTATGTAGCTGCAAAGGGTATGATTTTGTTCCTTTTTATGGATGTGTAGTATTCCATGGTATATATGTACCACATTTTCTTTTTCCAATTCTCCATTGATGGGCACCTAGGTTGATTCAATGTCTTTGCTTTTGTGAATAGTGCTGCAATGAACATATGGGTGACTAGCTTTTAATCAGTAGAACACAGCAAAGGTGATGGCATTTCAGTTTGAGATTAGGTTACCAAACACACGGACTTCTGTCTTGCTAGCACACACTCTGTCTTGCCTTCTTGCTGATACTGAACCTAACTTGGGTCCCCCTGCCCAGCACAGCAAAACCAAACATTGATATTGGGATTGTAGCAAGAGGAAGTGGGGTATTTATTGGAGGGGCACCAAGCAAAGATAATTAGTTAATGCTTAAGTCCCAAGCTCCCGGATGGCTTATAGGTAAGGATTTGTAATTGCAGGAAGGCAGAGGTTACATGCAAAGTTATAAATCAATATATGGGAGGCTCTACATTGGTTTGACCTAAAAAGGCAGGACGTCTCAAAGTGGGAACCCATGGGTCAAAGGTAGATTTAAAGATGTTTTGATTTGTAATTGGCTTAGGAGGAGAAGCCTTGTCTAAAAATTTGAGATCAGTGGAATGTTAGTTCTGGCCTGGGGTGTGACTTCCTCTACTCCCCTTAGGAAGAAATTTAGAACTGAGAAAAGTGTTAAGAGTTTAGCCTTCAGGTCCCCCTTATCTGAGTTGTGTTGCTGGACCTTGTGTGTTGCTGGACCCATTTAGTGGGGAGTCCTCATTTTTGAAAAACAATCTATGAACATTAGTTTTTATAGGGAAGCCAAACATCCCATGATTTTAACTTTTTTGCCCATTATTCTAAGCTACTATTATCTTCTTGCTTATTAAGTTGTTTATTGATGTATTTATTTATTTCTGAGACAGAGTCTTTCTCCATTGCCCAGGCTGGAGTGCAATGGCATGATCTCGGCTCACTGCAACCTCCACCTCCTGGGTTCAAGTAATTCTCCTGCTTCAGCCTCCTGAGTAGCTGGGACTACAGGCATGCGCCACCACTCCTGGCTAATTTTGTATTTTCAGTAGAGATGGGGTTTTGTCATGTTGGCCAAGCTGTTCTTGAACTCCTGACTTCAAGTGATCCAACTGCCTCGGCTTCCCAAAGTGCTAGGATTACAGGCATGAGCCCCCGTGCCCGGCCTTATTTATTTTTTAAGGGCTAGCTAAGTGCCTGGAATTTTTCTTAAAGGAACTTAAGATTTTTCTTTATTTCTATGTTTGAGGGTGGGAGTGCTGCATGTCCCTAAGAGAGGTCCCTGTTCTGCCTCATTGCCTGCTTGCTCTGATAAATCAAGCTGTTGTGTTGTGAGCTGCCCTTCGGAGAGGCCCACGTGGCAAGGATCTGAAAGCGGCTTCTGACAACAGTTCATGGGAAACGAATCCTGCCAATAATCATGTGGGTGCACTTGGAAGTGGATCCTGCCCCAGTTGAGTCTTGAGATGAGACCTAGCTTACACCTAGATAGCAACCCATGGGAGACCCTGAAGCAGGGGGCCCATCTTCGAATTCCTAACCCACAGAAACTGTGAGATAATAAATGTGTTGTTTTAAGCCACTGAGTTTTGGAATAATTTGTTACACAGCAATAGATAGCCGATATAGCAGTGTAGACTTTAGTTGATGATTCCGGTGGGGAGACCAAAGTGAAATTTACATTGCACACTTCACAAAAAGTAACTAACTAACCAACCCATCAGTCATTTCTGTGCTTCCTCAGCCCTCTCAATGCTGAGGGCTCCTCTTTCTTGCTCTTGTTCTCTCTCAATATCATTTTCTAATTTGGCCATGTCTAGCTTCATTGCATATTATCTTTCTCTGGATTGTCAGTTTTTTCTGTGTCCATTTTGGCAGAGAATTTTAGTTTTTTATGATTTTTTTTCTTTAGAGATGGAGTCTCACTCTGTTGCCCAGGCTGGCCTCAAAGTCCTGGGCTTAAGCAATCCTCCCCACTTGGCCTCCCAGAGTGCTGGGATTACAGGCATGAGCCATCACACCTGGCCCTTTCTACTTCTACTCCCAAACGTGTTGGCCAACTCCTCAAGGTATTCAGCAGGAAAAAATCCTCTCTATTAATGCAGCGCACATTTCCTGGGCAGCAGTGTGGGTTATAGATACATGAAATATCTATTACATAAGTCTCTCAGCTTCTTCCTGCATATATTGCTATTCAACTGCTTAAAGCTATTGAAAAATTCATGCAAACAAAATTTTAATCTAACAGAGAAAATATCTTTGTGACATTGTTCAAATCAAGTTATATCATGTATGAAGGAGAAGCACATTCCACCGAGAAAAGCTTTTTAAACCCTCTGCTTTTTGACATTTTAACCAGTATGTTAGATAAGAAGGCTGGTATGGAAATATAGTTAGCAACATTGTTGGAAAATATAGGCTAGAAAAGAGTTCAAGAATATGTATCCATTGAACTTGATGAAATAATTTTAGAAGCTGAGGCTGTGAAATCTTGACAGCAAAACTGAAGAGACACTGTAGAGTTCCCATTTTGCAGATTTATATTTGGTTGGTTCATGCAGGCAGACTCCAGGAGAACTAAGACTTTGTTAAATACCTAACACATACCCAGTAAGAAGGATAAATGTAGGTGTTCACATCAGGGTTTTAAACACGTGATCCAATAAATCAGCAAAAAGGCAGCAAAGCAATTGTAGTAATGGTTAAAAAAAAAAAAAAAGGAGTGGGGAAGACTTCAGGAGCAGGAATTGTATAAAAATACATCCAAATGTGGCTATTTCTGACTACTTCATTTAAATGTGAGCCTCTATCCGTTCTCACCTGGATTCCAGCAAGAACTTCCTAGCAGTTTTCTCTGTTTGAGATTTGCTTTCTTGGGGTCTATTTTCAACAAGGCAACTGGAATAATACTTAAAAAAAAAAGTATCAGGCTGGGCACGGGGGCTCATGCCTGTAATCTTGGTACTTTGGGAGGCTGAGGTAGGAAGGATCACTTGAGGTCAGGAGTTTGAGACCAGCCTGGGCAACATAGCTAGACTCTGTCTTTACAATACATAAATAAATAAGTAAATACATACATTAGTCAGGTGTGGTGGCACATGCGTGTAGTCCCAGCTGCTTGGGAGGCTGAGGTGGGAGGATCACTTGAGCCTGGGAGGTTGAGGCTGCAGGGAGATGTGTCCCTGCCACTGCATTCCAGCCTGAGTGACAGAGTGAGACCCTGTCTCCAATCTCTCTCTCTCTCTTCTATCTTCTATTTAATTTATCTATCTATCTATACACACACACGAAGTATCAGAACATTATTCATGATAGCCAAAAGGTTAAAAAAACCCCAAATGTCCATTAGCTGAATGGATAGTTAAATTGTTGTACAGTATATCCATACAATGAAACATTACTTGGCAATTTAAAAAATGAAGTATGAGTAGTCATATTTATAGAGACAGAAAGTACAATGGTGGTTGCCATACCAGGGACTGGGGTGGGGTGGGGAATGGGAATTGTTGTTTAATGGGTACAGAGTTTCAGTTTGGAGAGGTGACAAGAGTTCTGGAGATGGATGGTGGGTATGGTTACACAACAGTGTGAATATACTTACTGCCATGAAACGATACACTTGAAAATGGTAAAGATTGTTAAAAAAAAACTCAAAAGGACTGAAGTGCTGATATATGCTACAACATAGACGAACCTTGAAAATCTTATTCTAAGAAGCCAGATGCAAAATGTCACATGTAGTATGATTCCATTGATATGAAATGTTCAGAATAGGCAAATGTATAGAAAGTAGATTAGTGGTTGCCCAAGGCTGGGTAGGGGTTTTGCGGGAAGGGTTGAGAAAATGGGGAGTGATGGCTAATGGGTAAAGACTTAAATGGGTGATGGGATGATAAAAAGTTCTAACGTAGATTACGGGCAGGTGCTGTGGCTCATGCCTGTAATCCCAGCACTTTGGACCCGAGGCAGGTGGATCACTTGAAGCCAGGAGTTTGAGACAAGCGTGGCCAACGTGGTGAAACCCCATCTCTACTAAAAATACAAAACTTAGCCAGGCGTGATGGCACATGCCTGTAATCCTAGTTACTTGGGAGGCCAAAGTGGGAGGATCGCTTGAACTCAGGAGATGGAGGTTGCAGTGAGCTGAGATCACGCCACTGCACTCCAGCTCTGGACAATAGAGCTAGACTCTGTCTAAAAAAAAAAAAAAAATTATAATGATGGTTGTACTACATTGTGAATATATAAAAATCCATTGAATTGTAAACTTTAAATGGGTGAATTTTATGTCAATTAAAGCTATTTTTTAAAAAAGACCTATATGAAAAACTTGAATTTTGGGGAGTTAGTTGTATTAACCAGGCCCTATCCAGTCTTTTTTTCAAAATTAGAGATGGGGGTCTCACTCTGTCACCCAGGCTGGGGTGCAGTGGCGTGATCATAGCTCACTTCAGCTTCCCAAAGAGCTGGGATTACAGGCGGATGCCACAATGTCTGGCTAACTAAAAAAAAATTTTTAAGAGATGAGGGGTCTCACTATGTTGCCCAGGCTGGTCTTCAACTCCTGGCCTCAAGTGATCCTCTCGCCTCAGCTCACAGGCGTGAGCCACCATACCTGGCTTATCTAAGAAAGCCACCATACCTGGCTTATCTTTCTCTCATCTTGAGAAAGAATGAATTCAGTTTGGTTACTGCACATTGAAGAGTAAGCTATCCTCAACATCCAGTAACACACCATAGCCTTTCCAAAGGTAGAAATGGTGATAGGGTCAAATAAGTATTTGTTTCACAGCATTTGAAGAAAAAAAGGCAGATTATGTTATTCCTTTGCTCAAAACCTTCCAGTGGTTTTCCATGTTAATGAGTGGAAACTAAAGTTCTTAAAATTGCCTACAAGGTCCAATACACTCAGTTTCCCACCTGCGACTTGTTTGAGCTTACCCCCTACTTCCTTCAGCCATGCTGACCTTCTCCCCATCCGTCCCATGCCCTGGACCCACTCCTGCCCCAGGCCTTTGCACCTGCTGGCTGTGACCTCCGCCTCCGAAATTGTTTTGCCAAATTCCCTCATAGCTTGCTCACTTATACCTTCTTTAGTTCAAATGTCACTTCTTGGCCACCTGTCTGGCCACCCGCCACGGAAGTGCATTCCTGACATTTTCTGCTTTTCCGCTTTTCTTCCCTCCTTCATTTTTTTCCCATGACACACCTGCACAATACACAGTTTGTTCATTCTTTGGTTCATTGTCTCCTCACACCCACTCAAGAATGTAGTACAAAGGCAGGGATTTTTGTCCATCTTGTTCACCGCTGTATCCTCAGTACCTTTATAATGGTGTTTGGCACATAGTAGTAACTCAATAAGTATTTGTTAAATGAACAAATGAAAAGCTGCCATGTGTTCAAGAAGTCATTGTGTGTTGCATAGGAAAACAGTAGCTGTTAAGGAGATACCAGCATCCTACAAATAGTGGAGGAAAATGCCATGCAAGTTGCCAAATTGATTAAAGTGTGCCTTTTAACTTGTAGACTCCGGAGGGTAGCTTACACAAATATGAACAATTGTTCCCTTATATGTACAATTTGCCCCTGATTTTTCATTCCAGCTGTCACACAATTGCCTGGAGGATATTTTTTTTTTTTTTTTGAGACGGCCGTCACCCAGGCTGGAGTGCAGTGGCACGATCTCGGCTCACTGCAAACTCCACCTCCCAGGTTCACACCATTCTCCTGCCTCAGCCTCCTGGGTAGCTGGGACTACAGGTGCCCGACACCACGCCCGGCTAATTTTTTTGTATTTTTAGTAGAGAGAGGGTTTCACCTTGTTAGCCAGGATGGTCTCGATCTCCTGACCTCATGATCCGCCCACCTCGGCCTCCCAAAGTGCTGGGATTATAGGCGTGAGCCACCGCGCCCGGCCGAGGATTGTTAAACATCATTTAATAAGTGGGTCTTTGCTGCCCTTCTCCCAGGAATAGAGTGTATAGAGTTGCCCATGTGAGAAGCAGCCAAAGCCCAGGTCAGCACCTGCAATGAGGAGTGGCTGCCTGGTTGAATGGAGCGGGGCTTCTGTTTGAAACCTCACTGGTTTTCTCTGTTGACAGCATCTTGATATATATGGCATGTGTCTCCTGACCTTAGTGGCCTCTCACAAAACTCTGGAGCATAACAGTGCATCTCTTTGAGATTCTCTTAGCAGCATAGTCCATAGGTGAATTCTCTATGGACTATGTGTCTTATATTTTAAACCAATTTAAACCAAACCCATCACAAAAGTACCCTCCAACTTTGGTGAAAACCTGTCCAGCCATTTTCTTATGATATTGTAAGACAGAAACTTAATTTTTTTTTTGGAGACAGTCTTGCCTTGTTGCCCAGGCTGGAGTGCAGTGGTGAGATTTCAGCTCACTGCAACCTCTGCCTCCTGGTTTCAAGCGATTCTTATGCCTCAGCTACCTGAGTAGCTGGGACTGTCGGCACACACCACCACACCCGGATGATTTTTGTATTTTTAGTAGAGACAGGGGTTTCACCATGTTGCCCAGGCTGGTCTTAAACTCCTGGCCTCAAGCAATCCACCCACCTTGGCCTCCCAAAGTGCTAGGATTACAGGCATGAGCCACCACGCCCAGCCTGTATTTTAATCTCCAGGTAAAATAAGAACCAGAAAGACTGGGTCTTGTGTTTGCAGTATGTGGAACTGCAAATTAAGACTTTCAAATAAGGTTGAAGCCCGAGAGACAATGGTAGGTAAGGGATGGGTCTGTGGAGGGCTCTGGACAAAAACCTATGTCTACCCACAATTGGTATGCAGATTATCTTGAGTAGTTGGGATTACAGGTGCCTGTCACCATGCCTGGCTAAGTTTTGTATTTTTAGTAGAGATAGGGTTTCACCATGTGGCCAAGCTGTTCTCAAACTCCTGACCTCAAGTGATCCACCTGCCTTAGCCTCCCAAAGTGCTGGGATTACAGGCATGAGCCACCACATCAGGCCTAGAAATGGTATTTAAGGTTTACTTATCTGATAACCTGATTTCCTCCCTAGAGAAAGAATTAAATTGTTTTTAGCTGATTGAATGGGGGCTTGGGTGACATTTCAGGAGAGTTAGAAAGTGTACGTGTATATTTAAAGACTGATTTGTAAGTTGACACTTGAATATATGTAAGAGTAGTCAACTTGGTTTGAAACAGTCTTTTTTATTCTTTTTGGTTTATTGGTAACTGTGAGTTGATTTATCCCTAAAATAGTTCAAAGCCTTTTCTGTTTTAGCTCTGGGAATAATGTTTTTCTTCTTTTCAAAGATGTAATATTTCTGTTAACACTATAGAAAGATAAGAAAGATAAGAACCTTCAGGGCTCTTTGAAGACAAAATTGTATTCTGAATTGGGCATTCATTAGACTGAGCGGATAAATCTCTAAATCTGGGTTTTATGATTTTAGGTTTGTTTGTTTAATGGATTTCTTTGCTTAAACTTCAGGTGCATGCATGATAATTTTGAAGAGCAGAGAGATGGACAAATGTGATTTGATTTATAAGTCTTTTCAAAGGCATTTGAAAATGTATTTCAGGTTTAGTTAAGCTTATTTTTCACACTCTTAGTTGAAGGCAGGAGTGATTGTTTTCCTCCCTCCACACCTCGAAAGATGGAATGGTTTTTCACTTATAAATTTTTCCATCTCAGAAAAGGAGGAGCAGAGGTTTTCCAGAAGGGTTAAGAATAAAGGTGGGGAAGGCAAGCCCTTGTTACCATAAGAGCAGGAATCCATACGGAAGAGTGGCTGGTTTAGATTTGCTGGCTTGAGAGTGGATTATTTTATCCAACTCTTGATCAGTGTTGTGAGAATTAAGTAAGATAATGGATTTAAGGGGCTTAGAAGTGTCCAATCAATGTTAGCTACTGTTGTTATTCTCAGTACTACCTGTAGGCTTGATGGATATATTTGGAGACATTTGTACCAAGGGTTATGGGGCAATAAGTGCGTGGTTCACCATTTGGCCCAGTGAACTTTTCAGGACTTAGGATGAGGAAGGCGGGAAAAGCCCTGGGGCTGGCAGGTTTAGAGGGAGACTCTTGCATTATGGTCCTGAGAGCCCCAGGATAGGAGATGACCTTTATCACAAGATCTGAGAACTGCTGCTATCTCGGGCTTCTGGGATAATGAGCTGGAAGCTCACACTCTGACAATGGAGGGATTTTTTTTTTTTTTTGATGGAGTCTTGCTCTGTCACCCAGGCTGGAGTGCAGTGGCGTGATCTCGGCTCACTGCAAGCTCCGCCTCCCGGGTTCTTGCCATTCTCCTGCCTCAGCTTCCCGAGTAGCTGGGACTGCAGGTGCCCGCCACCATGCCTGGCTAATTTTTTGTATTTTTAGTAGAGACGGGGTTTCACTGTGTTAGTCAGGATGGTCTCAATCTCCTGACCTCGTGATCCACCCTCCCCGGCCTCCCAAAGTGCTGGGATTACAGGCATGAGCCACCGTGCCCGGCCCAATGGAGGGATTTTTTATAGCATTATGTCTACCTGGCTTTTCATATGACTTGTGTCCTGCTCATGCAGCTTTGATGACTTCTGAAGTACAGATGTTCCTTGACTTACAATGAGGTTGCATCTCAATAAACCCACTGTAACTTGAAAATATCTTAAGTAAAACTTGCTTTAATACACCTAACCTACTGAACATCATAGCTTAGCCTAGCCTACCTTAAACATGCTTAGAACACTTACATTAGCCTAAGGTTGGGCAAAATCATCTAAAATAAAGCCTGTTTTATAATAAAGTGTTGAATATCTCACATAATTCATTGAACATTGTACTGAAGGGGCAAACCAGAATGGTTGTATGGGTACTTGAAGTACAGTTTCTACTGAATGCACATTGTTTTTGCACCATTGTAAAGCTGAAAAATTGTAGATTTAACCAATGTAAGTTGGAGACCATCTGTGTTTTGTTCCTCCTTAAAGCATACAAAAGTGTAGCCAAAGAGTGTTTCAAAGCTGGATTACATAATGAATTATTATTATTTTTTTTTGAGATGAAGTCTCGCTTTGTTGCCCAGGCTGGAATACAGTGGCGTGAGCTCGCCTGACTGCAACCTCCGTCTCCTGGGTTCAAGCGATTCTCCTGCCTCAGCCTCCCGAGTAGCTGGGATTACAGGCATGCCTGGAATTACAGGCACACGTCACCACACCCAGCTAATTTTTGTATTTCTAGTAGAGACAGGGTTTCGTCATGTTGGTCAGGCTGGTCTCAAACTCCTGACCTCAAATGATCTACCCGCCTTGGCCTCCCAAAGTGCTGGGTTTACAGGTGTGAGCCACTGCACCTGGCTGAAAATCCAGATTTTTGTCCAAGATTGCAGAATAAATTGCCTGGGACAAGTCAATGAGTGAGGAGAGATAAGTCAATGGACTGAGAAGGGGTAAACTCAGTCTTGCATAAACAGAATACAGAGGGGATTTGGGTGGATGGGGAGCAGTGAGTGAATGGGCAAAGATAGGACAAAACCAAGCCCACTTAAAGAACAATAATATTACAAAGGACAAAGTTGAGAATAAGAGGCAAAGGGAGGAAATTTAAAAAGCACATTTTTGAGCACTGACTAGTGATGCTTTCCCTGCATAATCTCATTTAACCAGTTTAACAACCTTAAAAAGGAAGTAGTAGTGTTCTTATTTCATAGATGAGGAAACTGAGGCTTGGAGACAGGAGAAATGTTCAGAGAAGACTGTTTCTAAAAGGGTATGTGGTTAGCTATATTCTAAACATTCTTGATACCTCCCCCAACCCCCCTGCCCTTGAATAGTCACTGTCTTCCCAGCCATCATCTATTCTACCTTCAAAACATATCCCCAGTTCATCCACTGCTTCCCATTTCCTGCATTGTCACCCTAGACTACCACTGCGTCTCAACATATACAGCCTCTCGATTCTCCTATTTCCTAATCTGCCTTCTGCTTAAATTGTTCTTTCAACAAAATCCAGAGAAACCCCAAACAAGTGCACATCTGATAAAGATACTGCCCTCATTAAAACCCTCAAAGGCTCCCTTGCAATTACTTTAAGAATCTCAAGTGCTCATGCTGGCCTGCAAGACCCAGCATGACCTTGTCCCTGCCAGCCTTTCTGGTTACATCTTCTTCATCATCTCCTTCATCCCGGTGCCCCACCAATGCAGTCCTTTCATGTCTCTAACTGCATCCTCGCTTTCCTTCTCCGTGGTCTTTACTCATGCTCTCCTTGCTACTTAAAATACTTTCTTTCCACTTTGCACTGACAAAGTGACTTGTCTTACAGTTCTCACTTTAAACATCACTTTTCTAACTTTCCAAATTAAGCCTCCTGTACTTATTAAGAGTGGCATATTTTTCTTTGGGACACTTCACAATATAGAATTATGTACTTGTTTGTGTGATAATTTTTTTTTTTTTTTGAGTTGGAGTTTCGCTCTTGTTGCCCAGGCTGGAGTGCAATGGTGCGATCTCAGCTCATTGCAACCTCTGCCTCCCCGGTTCAAGCAATTCTCCTGCCTCAGCCTCCCAAGTAGCTTGGATCACAGGCATGCACCACCATGCCTAGCTAATTTTGTATTTTTAGTAAAGATGGGGTTTCACCATGTTAGTCAGCCTGGTCTTGAACTCCTACTCCTGACCTCAGGTGATCCACCTGCCTCGGCCTCCCAAAGTGCTGGGATTACAGGTGTGAGCCACCATGCCCGGCCTGTGTGATAATTTGTTTAACATCTATATCTCCCTAGTAGACTATAGCTCCACCTGGTGAAGGAGTGTGTTTTTATTGCTCACTATTGTATTTCCAGGGCCTCATGAAGTGCTGCCAGGTAAATAGGCCCTCCATAAATATTTATTGAATGAATACGTGAATGAATGAATGAATGAACTGCACCTAGGATTGCTGACAATTCTGGCTTTTGGGACTTTAGTGTCATTTTTCATTTACTTTCTTAAAGAGCAGTAAGTTTAAACTTATACTTTCACCTAGAAGACAGAAGAGTTTTTGAAGCAAAACCTTGAAGCTCGTGACGTGTGCCACGTAATGAATGGATGTCCACCCAATTCAAAGTCCCTGTGTTGTGATCTGACATGACCTCTGAGCTTGCCACAATGAACTTGACCACAAAGACACTGCGTGCACTGCCAACCACAACTAGCAATTGAGTAGCAAGCAGTGGTGTCAATCTTAAAAGCCTAAGATATTCTTAGATGCTTATTTTTATAATCAGTTTTATTATAGAGTTGCTAAAATGGGCCCAAACCATATGTCTCTCCATCGAGAAAAGTCAGCACTGACTGCATGAAACAAAACACTTGCAGAGACATTGAAAAGCCACTTGTTTGACTTTGGAAATAGAGCGCTAGTATTTTTTGCAACTCAAAAGACAAGCCTTGTCTTGGAGCAGTACAAGGAGAAGTGCAATCAAACCAATAGATAAAAAATCATTTGTCTCTTCATTCGAGGTCGGTTTAGAATCACTATGAAAGGTATATGCAATAATAGAAAGCCTGGTGAAGCCCGGAGCTGCAGAAAAGGGTTGAAATTATTTTGGGTCAAAAAGAGGCAGCCAAGTTGAAAAAGGTGCCCTTATTGAGTGACACCATCAAATGGGTTCAAAAGACGTGCTTGAAAATTGGTGGAGAGTCCCAGAGGCAGCTAGTTCTTTACATTTTGATGAAAGGGGGAGACATCCATGACTTGGCTATTTTGCCATCTTTAAAATAATGAAGTCTAAGAAGGTATGCTGATTTTCCCAATGCTGAATGGTATAGCAGCTGGTGAATTTTCAATAAGATACACTTTTCTCCTGTTCTAGCAAGTTTTGATATTTGCCATTTGGTTCCAGAAACTTATTGTGTCTATGTTCCTAAAGCACTTTGACTCTGAGAGAGAGGACAAACTGAACCTGATATATGATGTTTGTGCCCCTTGACGGAGGCTGAATTTTCTGAACTTGAATGATCAATACAACAGTGTCTTGCTAAAAATTGTCTCGCAGAAAATTTTTCATTCATTTTTCTTGATGGCAAGTAATGTATTCCTTCATCAGAACAATTAAACATCTTTAATGATTTTTAAAGACAGGGTGTAATTACATGCACATGATAAAAATTTAAGCAGCACCAAGGGCGTACAGTGAAAATTAAGTCTCTTTCCTGACTGGAGATCATAGTATGAGTGTTTCATGGCTCCTTTCAGAGAGATTCCATGTCTAGCATTTATACATGCACATAAATTCATTTCCTTTTTAAAATTAACACAAATGACAGCATGCTGTATTCTCTCTCTTTTAAAACATTGAGATGGGGTCAGGCGCGGTGGCTCACGCCTGTAATCCCACACTTTGGGAGGCCGAGGCAGGCAGATCTCCTGAGATCGGGAGTTCAAGACCAGCCTGACTAACATGGAGAAACCCCGTCTCTACTAAAAATACAAAATTAGCCGGGCGTGGTGGCACGCACCTGTAATCCCAGCTACTCAAGAGGCTGAGGCAGGAGAATTGCTTGAACCCAGGAGGCGGAGGTTGTGGTGAGCCGAGACTTTGCCATTGCACTCCAGCTTGGACAACAAGAGTGAAACACCATCTCAAAAAAAAAAAAAAAAATTGAGGTGAAATTCACATAGCAAAATTAGCCACTTTAAAGTGTACAATTCGGTGACATTTTACTCCATTCACACTGTTGTTCGGTTATCACTTCTGCCTAGTCCCAAAACGTTATGTTCTCTTTTGCAATTTACTATTGCTCTTTCACTTAAAAATCTATCATGGAGATTGTTCCATACTAATACATATAGATTCATGTCTTCCATCTTCATCCTATGGGTAACCCTTGTGCCAGACCTGGAGATGAGCTGCTCAGATCCTCCTTAAACAAAGGCTCTCTGTCCAGCTGTGGGGAGTGAGGAGCTGATAGCCTTAACCTGGCAGCTCTTTCAGGGTCCCCTTAGCTGTTAAGTCATGGTCATGCTCTTCTTGGAGTGGCTCCCATCCAGTGACTGAGGGTACAAGGGCCTGACCATTTCTCTAACAGGCAATCTTTGCTGCCTTCTGAAATGGTGGTAGCTCTAAATTGTGCTCTAATGGCCCCTCCTGCCCAATCCTATCTCTTCTGCTTTTCTGGCAGAGGTGTTACTCCCTAATGAATCTTTTGCATTCTATCCGGGCATGCGCTTCTCGGAGAACCCAACCAACATGTACAGTATCTCATGTACACAGTCTTCTAAGGATTGACACTGAGGTTGCTTCTGGATTTTTGCAATTACAGATAGTGCTGGATACAAATCTTTGCAAATATACCTTGCACGCATGCATGAGAATATCTGGAGAATAAATTCCTAGGGTCTAATTGTGGGTCTATTTAAATTTTGCATAAAAATTTGATACATGTTTTCTAACCACCTGCTCCTCCCAAGAGGTTGCACCAGCTTACAGTCCCACCAATCAGGGAAGAGGGATTTTTTTTTTTTTTTTTTTTTTTTTGGGACAGGGTCCGGTCCTGCCACCCAGGCTAGAATACAGTGGCGTGATCATGGCTCATGGCAACCTGGTCTTCCCCAGTTCAAGCAATCCTCCCGCCTCAGCCTCCCCAGTAGCTGGGATGATAGCCGCATGCCACCACACCCAGCTAATTTATATTTTACTTTTTGTAGAGACAGAGTCTCACTATGTTGCCTAGGTGGATCTTGAATTCCTGAGCTCAAGCGATCCTCCCACTTTAGCCTCCCAAAGCTCTGGGATGACAGGTGTGAGCCACCATGCCCTGCCTGAGAATTGTCTTCTCACACCCTTGTTAATAGAACTATTATCACATTTTAAAATGTTCTCAATTTTGTAGGTGAAAATATGTCATAGTAGTTTTAATTTGCTTTTATTTTATGATGAGTGAGGTTGATTGTATTTTCAACTCCTTAAAAATGATGACAAGCAAATGAAAACTATTTCATACTAAAACAAGCAGAGAAGATAAACATTTGCCATGGAATCTTGAGATAAAACACAATGCTTTAAAGAAATCCTCCGCTTGTAGAGGGCTACTTTGTGCTAAATTTCCATACATCTTTTGGCACAAATTCTCCTTCCTATTAAGAAAACTGTGATAGAAAAATTTGAGAAGTCCCGCATATTGATGTAAGATTTTCTTAAAGTACAGGAGGAAAGGTGTCTACCTGTATAAGGGATTTCCTGAGTACTGAATCTATTAGGTTTGGACATTAAGCATGTCATAATTTAATATGTATAATGAGTTAAAATGATTTTTTTCGGGAGTTGTTGTGAGTTGGCAATTAGAATGTTTTAATTCCTACCATTGGTTACACTCTGTCAGGCTCCATGAGATAAAGGTAATGGCAGAAATAATTACGTTTCCTGTTTTCCCAAATGAGTCTAAGGAGGAACCAGGGCAGGGAAGGCTAAGCTCCCATTTCAAATGTAACAGCTGTGAGTGCAAAGGACCAGTGGGGAATTTGTCCTGTCTGATGACAGGGGCAAGTTGAGGTGACATAGGAAAGGAATATCATAACATTCTGAGCTTTGGTCACAGACCAAGGCTATATCTATTAATTAATGGTCTATTTATTTTTATTTTTATTTATTTTTTTGAGACAGAGTCTCACTCTGTTACCCAGGCTGGAGTGCAGTGGCATGATCTCGGCTCACTGCAACCTCCCCCTCCTGGGTTCAAGCAATTCTCCCGGCTTAGCCTCGTGGGTAGGTGGGATTACAGGTGCACAACACCACGTCCGGCTAATTTTTGTATTTTTAGTGGAGACAGGGTTTTGCCATGTTGGCCAGGTTGGTCTCAAACTCCTGACCTCAAGTGATCCACCCGCCTTGGGCACCCACAGTGTTGGGATTACAGGTCTGTATCTATTCCATTTGGATGATGTTTTGAGACTCATTTTGCTTCTTTGTCTCCCTTAGGAGCAGGAGACTTGGTGAGGTATATTGATTAGACTAGAGGGTAGGCTGCTGTCACAAAGAAGCCCTAAAATGCAGTGCTTCAAAAATATGATTAGGACTTATGTTTTTCTCATGTTATAATCCAGGTGGGCCCAGGGTTGGATAGGTAGCTTGGTTCTGTGAACTCGTCTAGGGACTTGGGTTCCTTCTGTCTTATTGCTTAGTCATCTCCTGGAGTTTGTTTTTATTCATGTGACTGAAGCTGACTCACCAGCATCACATGCATGTTCTGGCTCATTGGAAGGGTGAAAGAGAGGAAGTGGAGGACCAGCAGTTCCCTTTTTAGGAAAGTGATGAAGATACTGACACATCACTTGCACTCACATTCTGTTCATGAGAATTTAGTCACAAGGCCACATCCAGTTGCAAGGGAAGCTGAGAAGTGAGATCCCAGTAGGGTGACCACATGCCCTGTTAAAACTCCATGGGAGGGTATAAATGGAAGAAGAGAGGATAAATTTTGGAGGACAATTAGCCATCGATGCCACATGGACTCAGAGCCTGGCAGAATTATGATCCAAGAAAGGCAATAGGTCTACGTCTATCATTAGCCACATCCATTCCAAACCTCCTGAACTGGCACCACAAGTGGGCAAGATAGTGGCAGGGGAGAAGGTAGCACCACTTTCTTCTTTGATCCTTCAAATAGGCCAGAATCTGTTATCAAGGGTGCCCAGTTAACTAACTTGGAAGCCATTCAGTCATTCGACAGATAATTAATGGAGCATCTGCTATGTGTCTGGCATTGCCTAGGCACTGGGTGCAGGGATGTCCTTGTGGAGTTTCTAGGAGAGTGGAGGAGGTAGATGTTTAACAACAAAGAACTTTGCTAGATATATAATTACAAATTATGACAAATGCCATGAAGGAAAGAGTAGAGGATTCTGTGAAGAACTTGAGATATGGATTTCATTCATATTAGAGATAGAGGGAGGTCTTGGAGGGAGTATTTAAGCTGAGATCTAAAAGATGTGCTGGAATTGGCTGGTGGATGATGAAAGGGAAATAATGGTCTAGGTAGACTGTCTTAGTCCATTCAGGCTGCCGTAACAAAATGCCATAGGCTGGGTAGCTTATAAACAATAGAAACTTACTGCTCACAGTTCTGGAGGCTGGGAATTCCAAGATCAAGGCATTGGCAAACTCGTATCTGGCAAGGGCCTGCTTCTTTTTTCACTGTATCTTCACATGGCAGAAGCAGCAAATGAGCTCTCTGGGTTCTCTTTTATAAGGTTACTAATCCCATTCATGAGGGCTCCACCCTCATGACCTGATCACCTACCAAAGATTTACCTTCTAATACCATTACCTTGGAGATTAGGATTTTGACATGAATTTTGGGACACAGACTATAACACAGAGGAATTAGAATAGTAAATGAGAAGAGAAAGAAATTGTGTGGCTGGAGAGAGAGGCAGCATAGTTTTTCTATAGACTTGTAGGCCTATATGTATCAGAGAGCTATTGTTGCATATCAAATTCCCCCAAAAGGTAGTGACTTAAAACAATAGTCCCTTATTACTTCATGATTTGGCAGGCTGGCAGTCTAGGCTAGACTCAGCTGGGAGGCGTTCTGGATCTAGGCTGAGCTCCCTTATGCATCTGGAGTCAGCTGTGGGTCAGCAGATGCCTCTGCTTCTGGGGTAGGCTGGTTGTTGGCTGGGGCACCTCAGCTCTCTTCCACATGGTCTCTCATCCTCCATTAGGCTAGCCCAGGCAGGATTGTTCACATGGTGGCAGGGTTCTAAGAGAAAGTTGCTGCATGCAAAGCCTCTTGAGACTCATGCTTAGAACTGTCACGCCATAATTTCTGCCACATCTATTGGCCAAAGCAAGTCCCATGGCCAGCCTAGATTCAAGGGGTGAGGAAATAGATTTTAACTCTTGATGGGAGGAGCTGCCAAGCCACATTGTAAAGGGGGCAAGATAGAGGGAGGGGTGAATTATCAAGGGCATTTTTGCAACCAGGTAGGAAATTTGTGTGGTTGGAAGTCACAGGAGATTTTTAAGCAGGGACCAGCAATAACAGGGCACATAGCCAAGGTCATTTGTGCTGCACTGTGATGGAAACTTTCAAGAGCTTGTGTCTTACCTTGCCGTTGTGGTTATGAGTTCTTAGGATGCAAAGTCTGCGATGTCCTTTCCCAAGGCTGGACACAGTGCCCATCTGCCAACTCAACTCCCTTGGTTGCAAACAAGAATTGAAAGCTCTGTTTTCAGCACCTCCAGGTTTGCCAGTGAGGTGTTGTTGAGGAGATTTCACACAGACAGCTTAACTTGTTTGGAGTTGTGAAGCTAATACCATCACCACAAGCTGAGCTGTGAAGAATCCCAGACTTGTCTAAATTATAATTTGTTTGTTGGGCCTTAAGGGGGTCTGAAAAGCCTGTTCCAAATTCTTTCTCTCCAACACAAAAGCATATTTACCCAAACTGGCATTTCCCCTTTTGAGCATGTTTTTTTTTCAATGATAGTGTTTTGCCAACTATGGTGTGCTGGTTGTTAAGCTATTGTCTCTCGATGAACCCATGAACCCATCCTTCTAGACTTTTCTCTGCAGTAGCCTCTCTGCTTTCTCTCTCTCTCTCTCTCTTTCTTTCTTTTTCTTTTTTTTGACAGAGTTTCGCTCTTTTTGCCCAGGCTGGAGTGCAATGGTGCGATCTTGGCTCACTGAAACCTCTGCCTCCCAGGTTCAAGTGATTCTCCTGCCTCAGCCTCCCAAGTAGCTGGGATTACAGGCATGCACCACCATGCCTGGCTAATTTTGTGTTTTTAGTAGGGACGAGGTTTCTCCATGTTGGTCAGGCTGGTCTCGAACTCCTGACCTCAGTTGATCCACCCGCCCTGGCCTCCCAAAGTGCTGGGATTACATGTGATAGTTTTTCTATAGCCTTGTAGGCCTATATGGATCAGATAGCTATTGCTGCATACTGAATTCCCTTAAAGGTAGTGGCTTAAAACAATAGTCACTTATTAGTTCATGATTTGGCAGGTTGGCAATTTAGGCTAGACTCAGCTGGGAGGCGTTTGTGTGACCTAGGCTGAGCTTCCTCATCTGCAGTCAGCTGTGGGTCAGCAGATGCCCGTGTGATGTTGGGGTGGTGCTCTGTGGAGCACCTTTTCCCGTCACCAGCCAGATGCTCTGTCATGAGGGAGACTGGAAGGAAGGAAGAAGGGGAAGGGACACCCTCCTTTTTGTTTGCTTGCTTTTCCAGTAGCATCTCTTCAGCAGTGATTCTTTACCCTGGCAAGGGTCATTGATTACAGAGGAAATTGTTCCAGTTTCCAGTTTCTTTCCCTACACTGCTAGAATCAGCCTCAGGAGCTCCCTTAGAGACACCAGCATTGTCAGGGGCCAACCCTCTCCTCATAGGGTCCCAGCTCCTGGTGGTTCCAAACTTCTAGGTTCTAATAACCCCATGCTCTTCCCTTTATTCCTTCAGGACAGTAACTGCTTTACGTAGTTCTTATCTCCTTGTTAACTCAAGGGTTCCCTTTTTTACTTTTTTAGTTCTCCCATACCGTTTAAAAAATTCTGATAAAATAAACTCATGCAGTTTCTGTTGTGTTGCCCAAACCTTGGCTGTTATATATAGTATATAAGATTATTTTAAATGATACCCACTTGAGCACTCAAACAAAAATTTGAATGGGCATTTATTAGTATAATATATATTATGGAAAAATATAATGAATACACAAAACTCATTAGTTCTTGAATATTATTGCTTAAGATTAAAACAATAAATTAAGAATGGGTTAACTTAAAGAACAATATTATGCAAATAGGACGAGTGGAACACAAGCAAAATAGCTGTGGGTGTAGGCTAGCTGCTGGCTGGGGCACTTCAGCTCTCCTCCACGTGGTCTCTCATCCTCCATTAGGCTAGCTTTCGTAGGCTTGTTCACATTGTAGTAGAAAGCATATGCATGCCGGAGAAAGCATATGCATGCAAGAAATTTTGAGAGTACGCTAGTGAGGTATGTCTACCCTGCCCATTACTGTAATAAAATGACCTTTTAGAAGGAAAATCATCTTGATTCCAAAAAAGGATCCCGATAGAGAGATTAGAAAAGTCATAAATTCAGATTTCCTACGTTTCTTTACATTCCCAGGTCCATATATGATGTCACCAGGGTTCCCAACGTAGCAGCCAACCGTGGTCATTCCCCAGCACCTGAACTCTATCCTATAGCTGACTGTTTGCTGGGTTTGAAGGCTGAACTTTACATATTCAGATCAACCAACAGTTGAGAGGGTTGGCTGCCATTTTGAAAGTCATATATAGAAAGAGCTGCACAAAAGCAACCAGTGGAGTCTCCAAAGTTGGGGGCCCACATATTTGTGTTTCATCATCATGGTGTTGCTGAGCTCTGAGTTGCTTTCTGGGCGGCAGTCTGGAGGTCAAATACCAGACCTGGGAAGACTGTGTAGCGAGGTTGGAGAGGGAGTTGGGGAGGCTTGAGGAGCCACTCAAATATCTTACCTGTAGCTGACAAGGCACAACCCGTAATGACATCCTGTTCTCAGAACTCTAATGCTATTTTTTTTTTGCTTTCATGACAAGGAGTTGAGGTAGTTATCTTTGTTCCAAGCAACTCCAGATGGGTGAAAGTCAACCCACACAGTCTGGAAAGGATACTAATCCTTCAAATCAGAGACTTCACAAGAAGCACAGAGGTGGCCAGGCCTAATGAGGTTACCCCAGTGGAAACTGTGAACCCAAAATGTGACTTCTGGATTATGTGCAAATGAGTAGAAAAGTGCAGCCCACTAAGTGGGGACCTGGCATTAGACAGTTGTCTCTGGAAACACTTCAGCAAAGGCTAAGTGGGGAACGTGTCCCTCCATGACTGACACTCAGTGTCATAGCTTTAATTTTATTTCACTTCTGAGAGGAAAGTTGACATAGGTGAGCTACAGATGGAAAGGAAGGGGATATGAAGAACGATTTCTCTTTTACCTAAATGTGACAGCAAAAATTTTTCAATTTATACATTCAGTCCTTCACAGAGACTTCTTAATCTTCAGAGAGATTGTGATGTGCTGAAATTTTCTGGTTGAATGTTTTCCTTTAGGAATGGTGGTTCAGAGATAGAGGCAAAACCAATTGAGAACCACAATTTTTCTAAGATAGCTAACAGTTCCACTTGAAATGATCAATATGATATAGAAAAAAATGGTTCTTTGGTTTCTGCACTGATTTTAATCTTTTTGGAATTTTTTTATACACAGTGTCTTAAAAAGGACCAGGTTTGCTATTTATTGATAGATCTTCCTGAATGTCTCATCACCAAAACTTTTTTTAAAACATTGTTTCCTTAATCACTAAAGTTTGCCAAGTGTAGGAATGAAGTATATCAAGGCAACTTGCTTGTTCTTGATTTCTGAATTATTTTTGACTTGTTCCTTTTCTCTGCCTATATCCAATCACTTCCCAAGCCCCACACACTGGGGCCATTCACTCATTCATTCATTCGACAAATATTTATTGAGCACCCGATATGTGCAACCTTCTTCCTCAACCTGGAGATATTTATCCTCAAAATTTTCATTCAACGCTTTTTATTGTGGACCCTTAGCATCTGGTGACATGAGGTATCTGCCATTGGCCCAGAAAGTGTTCTGACATCTTTGGCATCACAAGCATCACTTAGATTAGTTTATTGCCTCTCTTGTGTCAAGGCATAAGTATGATAATGATCAGGTTTGCATATATCCATCAATTTAAATAGAGAAATAAATATAACAGAGACAAGGCGCGGTGGCTCACGCCTGTAAGTGAGGTCAAGGTGGGTGGATCATCTGAGGTCAGGAGTTCGAGACCAGTCTGGCTAACGTGGTGAAACCCCATCCCTACTAAAAATACAAAATTAGCCAGGTGTGGTGGCGCATGCCTGTAATCTCAGCTCCTTGGGAGGCTGAGGCAGGAGAATCACTTGAACCCGGGAGGTGGAGGTTGCAGTGAGCCAAGATCGCACCACTACACCCCAGCCTAGGAAAAAAGAGTGAAATTTCATCTCAAAAAATAAAATAAAATAAATATGACAGTAATCTCTGTTTATTAAACACATAATGTGCCAGGTACTATTGTGGTCACCCTGCAAAGACATGGACCCCACCACCCAAAATTTGTTTTAGATGTCAAGACTGATGATACACCACATGCACCAAGAGGGTAGGAAAAGGTTTATTGCTCATATAATGAAGCTTTCTGAGAGAGCAGGGCAGATTCCCAAGCAGGTCCAAAAATGGTTTCAGAAAACCAGGCAAGGAAACTCCCTTAGCATTTATGGTGGTTAGGGATGGGGATGGGGATGGGGATGCGATGGGGATGGGGATGAAATGTGGGTCTGGTGGGAGGGCTAGGGCTTGTTGGGTATGAATTTCCAGCTGGTGCCAGAGGAGAGAGCAGCAGGCTTTCTTAGCTTGCCCAGATGTGGGGCAGAGGGGGAGAGGGAGGGTGGAAGATGTTAGCAGTCCCATATCAAAAGTGGAGGCAGACTGTTTTTCCCTCTACAATTTTTTTTATTATGGTAAAATACACAACATAAAACTTACCATCTTAACCATTTTGAAGTGCACGGTTCAGTGGTATAAAATAAATTGATATTGTTGTGCAACCATCACCACCATCCATATCCACAAGTCTTCATCCTGTAAAATGAAAACTCTGTACCCATTAAACAATAATTTCCCCACTCTGTCTTTCTGCAGCCGCTGGGGACCACCATTCTACTTTCTGTCTCTCTAATTTTGACAACTCTATGGGCTTCCTTTAAGTAGAACCATACAGTATTTGTTTTTCTGTGACTGGCTTATTTTACTTAGCGTAATGTCCTACAAAATCATTCATGTTGTAGCGTATTGCAGAAATTCCTTTTTTTTTTTTTTTTTTTGATGGAGTCTTGCCCTTGTCACCCAGGCTGGAGTGCAATGGCACGATCTCAGCTCACTGCAACCTCTGCCTCCTGGGTTCAAGTGATTCTCCTACCTCAGCCTCCTGAGTAGTTGGGACTACAGGCACAGGCAACCACACCCAGCTAATTTTTAAAATTTTTTTATAGAGATAGGGTCTCACTATGTTGCTCAAGCTGGTCTTTTAACTCCTGGCCTCAAGCAATCCTCCCACCTCAGCCTCCCAAAATGTTGAGATTACAGGCGTCAGCCACCACGCCTGGCCTTTTATAATGTTACTAATTTCATAGAAATTTAACAGACTCTTACAATACTAGAGAAACATAAATAAAAATATTTTAAATAACTCCCATCAAGAAAGCATAAATAACTTACTTTGTGATTGCAGCAAAAAAGTTAACCACTGAGGGCAGGCAAATCTTCAGGGGATTTAGCTGGCTCATCACTATCCGCTCAAAATTCAGACTCTGAGGATACTGCAAACCTTTGGTTTAAAAAAAAAAAAGATTTTTAAAGGTACAAATAAGTGAAAAGTGTAAGATATCTTTAAAAGCACAAATTATCACACATTTAAAAAAAACTTAAAAAAATTATTTGCAGAAATGCTTTCAATAAAGGTCCATGCAGATAGTCACACAGTATATGGCCCAGAAGAGTATCACTAGGCTAACCACATTCATTGGTCACCAAGGCAGCTTCTCTAAAGGAAACTTAGGAAGTAGCAGGCTGTAAGATTCCACGACAACGTGAAGTTCATACGTTTGTAAGCTCAGTGTATGCTGAGCTAATACAGAGGGAGAAAAAGACCTTGTGATTTGGTTTCAGCTAACAATCACGACAGGCAACAAAACAAAACAGCAATTTGATTCTAGCTTGCATGTCTCGTTAGTGAAGCTGAGTGCTGTTTTCAGGTGCACAGTAGTCATCTGTAGTTTTTTTTCTAAACAAGAAAACTCCAAATTTGCCTTCTACCTCAACGGACGGCAAATTTAGACAGAAGCCACTTTCTTAGACTTAGTGAATACAATTCTTTCCTACATGAGTAAAATAAAGACATCACATTTATTTTAAGAGGCAAGCTGACCAACTTGTACTTAAGTATATTTTCTTAGGAGTTTCTTTGATGCATATTTCAATAAAAATTACCTAAATGGGATGTCACTGCTTACAAAAACAAGATATTTAATTCAGATTCCTGGCATTAATTTATACAAAGAAAAGCAGAGCTTGTATTTACTTACCTTGTGATAAAACCTCATCCTACTAGTTCATACAACATCTTTTAGAAGCATGTAGGATGTAGGTAAACATATATAATGCAACACGTACAACTGTCAGTTTAGAGCTGTGGCTGTTAACCTAAGGAGACTGCAACCCCCACAGAGGACACCTGGCAGTGTCTGGAGACACTTTTAGTTGTCACAGCTGGGGGTGGTCAGGGACTGCTGTTGGCAGCTAGTAGGTGGAGGCTGTTAAACATCCTACAGTGCAGAGGACAGCCCCCGACGATGAAGGATGATGCAGCCCAAATGGCAATCATGCAGGGTTGACAGACCCTGGTTTAGAGGAAGTGACCCACAAAACCATATGAATTATTCATAAACATAAACAGAACAATTTACAATGACTTATAAACACTGTTCTTGGAGACTCTCTTCAACTAAAATACGCTAATCTAGTAAGTTTCAACTGATAGATTTGAATTATAAGTAACTCTTAGAAATTAGCAAAACAATACTGGTCAATTAAGTCTCAAGGCTTCAGGCAGAGTGTAATCTATATAAACTCAAACTTTAGGGTCAGCTGAACCTGGCTTCAGTTTTCTAATCCTGCCAGTAACCATGTGATCTTGGGAAAATGACTTCCCCGTGCTTTGGTGCTGTCTGTAAAGGGAGAATACCTGCCATTTACTGGGCTGTTACAAGGACAACAAAGAGAAGGTGCATCCAACTGAAGCTTTGTACAGGGCGCTGGCACAGCCCAGGGCTCAGCCTCACCTCTGGAGACATCTTCACATTTCAAACCTTCAAAGGCAGAAACCTCTTTCTTAACCTCAAATCCATCTTAAGGGGTTTGTAGGGTTCTCAAGCTCAAATCTATCTTAAGGGGTTTGTAGGGGCCTATGAGCTGCTTGAAATTATTATTAGAAGTTTGAGTGTACATGCAGTTTTCTGAATCCAGTTTTTATAAAAATCTCAAAAAAGTAATGAATCACCATTCTGAAGGGTGACAAGAACACAAGGAAAATCCAGTCCAGCACTCCCACAACACTGACCTTCTTTCAGGTTTCCGCTCAAAAGCTGCTTGTGTCTAAAAACAAAGGTGTAGAACACAGCTTGGCAGGCTGAGTAAAATGGTCCATGGAGAGCAACATCGCAGAATGCCTTTGTTCCCGAATCCTGGTTATTAAGGTATATGTGCAGCCAGTTAACCAAAAGATCTAGGCATGGTTTTACAGTACTAGAGAAAAGAAAAATTCAAGTCAACTTTACACTTCATAAAAAAACCAGAATAACATAAAAACACACAACTGCCTTTCATTACAAACCATGCTAAGTAAGTTCATAGGTTTCTTTAAATAATACCCATGGGTACAGAGGAAAAGCAAAGAAAGGAAGGATAAGGATGGGTGCGTAGGAAGACAACCTTCCAATTACAAGGCAGAGTAGCTCTGACCTTCTAGGAACAGGTGAGCCCCTAAGAACGTCCCAAGGGATGGAAAGCAGGTTCTCCTAACCATCTCAAAGGCACCCCTCTTAGGGTGATTGGCCAAATAGGACATGTTCACCAACACGTCTCAAGAGAAAGACAGTCTGGTGGACTTCAGTATTCCCTGATGCATCCAGTCAAGTCCTATGGGTGAATAATTTTGTTCTTGGGGAAGGGTTTCAACAGCATCCTTGTCCAAAGATATCTTCATGGGCCACTGAAAGAAACTGGCCTCCTAGATAGGTCTATTACCTTTAAAAGGGTTTTTCTTCAGCTTTAACAGATACAATAGATTTGGAATGCAAATGAAAAAAATGACAAACCTACAAAAAGAATCAAAACAGTATACAACACTGTCCTCTATCCACAAAACAAATGGATCTTTAAGTGCAACCACACAAAAGAGATGACAAAAGCCTTACATACAGGGTTTTATATATAAAAAAGGAGACACTTTATTCTAAAATCACCACTTAGAAATATAAACATCTTGCACAGAGTAGGAATTTTATTCACTTTAAAAACATGCCAAAAACATATGGGAGATATTTCTGACTTGAGACAATGCTATACTCTTTTTAAAGCATGATATTAAAAAGTACTCGGCAAATTAGGCTACTTACATAAGAGAAATAAATTTAGCTCTTGCCAAAAAGCTTCCAATATAATTTCCAGCAGCCTGCCTGATGATGGCAGGATTACTTGGATCCTGCAAGTTTTTCCAAAGATGTTCCAAAAATGCCTCTGCGAATCCCTATAAAAAGAGAGGGCATCGGTGTGATATTTTTTAATGCCTAAGATAATCTGACTATCAAAATCCCAAGATTTTTACTTCACCAATGTAGGGAAAAGTTCTACTATCTCATAACTATCTCATGGGCTTCATTTTTAAAACACGTTGAGAGAATATCATTAGAAACAAAAGGCACCTCGGGTGTTAAATAATCCAATGGATCCCAAACCTAGCTAAGCATCAAAATCAACCCAGGGCCAGGCACAGTGGCTCACGCCTGTAAATGTAATCCCAGCACTTTGGGAGGCCGAGGCGGGTGGATCACCCAAGGTCAGGAGCTCGAGACCAGACTGGCCAACATGGAGAAACCCTCTCTCTACTAAAAATACAAAAATTAGCCAGGCGTGGTGGCAGGTGCCTGTAATCCCAGCTACTTGGGAGGTTGAGGCAGGAGAATCACTTGAACCCAGGAGGCAGAGGTTGCAGTGAGCTGAGATCATGCCACTACACTCCAGCCTGGGTGACAGAGTGAGACTCCATCTCAAAAAACAAACAAACAAAAAACAACAAAAAATTCAACCTGGGAGGTACAAATTCAATAGGTTTGTGACAGGGCTTTGGAATCCACATATTATAAAAACTCTTCAAGTGATTCCAATGTCAGCCAGAACTAGTGACCAACAATAATTCACATCCCATGGAGCTCCACATGGGCACTCCTGTGAGTGCAAAGCACCTTCCGGTCTCTGGACACACTGAACTCAACCATGAACAGAAATACGGACTAATGTACAGCTGGTATTTGAGTTAATTATGCCAATCATGGAAAAAAACAGACACAGCTTCTCACCAAAGGGTGTAACTTCCAACTTCTCCTAAATAGCGCTGTTCTAAAGCTAGGCACGCCCATGTGGGCAGACTGAATTCAACCTTCTTTCCCATGACCAACACTCTCCTGACCTCTAGGAAGCCACAAAATCGTTGCAGAGAAGGAAAAGCCTTCTATATTCTTTCCCCCACCAAAAAAAAAAAGAAGAAGAAGAAGAAAAGTCAAAGCCTAAAGTTTTTAAAATTCTAGATTAATAAGTTGGTTTGGGCTAGTTACAACTCAACCCTTGGAAAGAATAAAGGAAATACTGTTAATTACCCCATATGAGATTTTAATAGAGAAAGGCTTAAGGGAAGACCACCACCTAGTGACCAAAGGCAGGATGACATTTTCAGAGCACCTAGCTGGGCTGGCAGGCAGCAATCTGTTTTCTCTCCAAGTGTACTGAGAAGGGAACGTGGGCCAGGCACAGTTGTTCACACCTGTAATCCCAACGCTTTGCGGGGCAGGAGGCGGGCAGATCACTTGCGGTCAGGAGTTCACAACCAGTCTGGCCAACATGGTGAAACCCCGCCTCTTCTAAAAACACAAAAATTAGCCAGGCATGGTAATCTGTGGTCCCAGCTACTCGTAAGAAGTAATGCTATAAAGTGTACAAGTGGTAAAATGCAGAAATTAAACAGTTATGCTTTTCCATTAGCCACGCCCTCACAGACAGCATCTGGCTTACAAAAACAAACACTGAAAGTTACAACAACAAAAGTGAAACATACTTCACCAAACCCAAATTCAAAGCCTTGGAAATAGACCAATTATGCTAAGTGCTAAATGACATGGCAGCAAATTACTCATATAAGGAATCGTTTTCAAGTTTGCTAAACTATTTTAATTCTTTCAATCTAAAGCCTTAACAAAGATGAGCAGCACTAGCTGTTTCCACCCTTTGATTATGATAAACTTCATCTCCACTTTCATTAATAAACTGCTAACCATATTAAACAATCCTTCCGTGGAATCTGTCCCACCACAAGTTTGATTTGCTGTTTCTTCAGCATCTTCAATACCCTGCCGGGATGCATTCACCTATAACAAAGGGGGGGGAAAAAAGAATAAAAGGATTTAAAAAATACAACTATGTTATTTTGGGATGGAAATTCATCTGATATACACACGTTCAAGGTGTCCAGATTAGTGCCTTATATCACACCCCAACACAATACACAATTATGGTGCAAGCCTGTAAACTGACCTAGGTCATGAAGGAATTTAAATATAATAAACCAAGCCCCTTTTACTACATACTTATATAAAATCGACAACTATCACATGATGCTCTATGTCAGGTAGCCTCAACAAATTCAACATTTATTCTAGCTCTGATATGGTCTGGCTCTGTGTCCCCACCCAAATCTCACTTTTTTTTTTTTTTTTTTTTGAGGCAGAGTTTTGCTCTTGTTGCCCAGGCTGGAATACAATGGCAAGATCTTGGCTCACCGCAAACTCCGCCCCCCAGGTTCAAGAGATTCTCCTGCCTCAGCCTCCTGAGTAGCTGGGATTACAGGCATGTGCCACTGTGCCCAGCTAATTTTGTATTTTTAGTAGAGATGGGGTTACTCCATGTTAGTCAGGCTGGTCTCGAACTCCTGACCTCAGGTGATCCACCGGCCTCAGCTTCCCAAAGTGCTGGAATTACAGGCATGAGCCACCACGCCTGGCCCCAAATCTCATCTTGAATTGTACTCCTGTAAGTCCCACATGTTGTTGGGGGGGGGACTGGTGGGAGATAATTTGAATCATAGGGTAGGTTTCCCCCATACTGTTCTCATGATAGTGAATAAGTCTCACGAGATCTGATGGTTTTATCAGGGGTTTCCACTTTTACATCTTCCTCATTTTCTCTTGCCGCCACCATGTAAGAAGTGCCTTTCACCTCCCGCCATGATTCTGAGGGCTCCCCAGCCATGTGGAACTGTAAGTCCAATTAAACCTCTTTTTTGGCCAGGTGCAGTGGCTCACGCCTGTAATCCCAGCACTTTGGGAGGCCGAGGTGGATGGATCATGAGGTCAGGAGATTGAGACCATCCTGGCTAACACAGTGAAACCCCATCTCTACTAAAAATACAAAAAATTAGCCGGGCATGGTGGCACGTGCCTGTAATCCCAGCTAATCAGGAGGCTGAGGCAGGAGAACTGCTTGAACCCGGGAGGTGGAGGTTGCAGTGAGCCGAGATCGCACCACTGCACTCCAGCCTGGGCAACAGAGCGAGACACCATCTCAAACAAACAAACAAAAACATCTCTTTTTCTTCCCAGGCTCAGCTATGTCTTTATCAGCAGTGTGAAAATGGACTAATACAATCTCTATGCACAAGACACTCACAGACACATTGTGTAATAAACATATCGTCAATCAATTGAGCAGAAAAATGATGAACTGCAAGCCAAATGTGCATGATGCAATATTTATTTTGGTATATCACCATTCAAATATCTTAACATACCACTCAAACCATGCCATTTTTTATTAACTATGCCTGACCTTCTTTGTAAACATTCTAAAATGTTCCTTAAGTATATACCAGAGAAAGACTATAAAGAGTACATATACAGTTGGCCAGAGAGGTGCAACTCCAAGGGAGCACTGCACCAGTGAGCCCAAGCTCCAGCTCTTCTAAGACCTTGTTCCATCTTCCTGCTTTCCTATAGCATCAATGTTTTCCTCCACCAAAGCTCCTCTCCCCTCAGTCCACAAACCTGCTCACATCTCCCCACTCCTAAACCACGCCTCTTAGCCCTGCTCCATCCCCTCCTTCCACCACAACCCTGCACCAAGGTCTCTAACAGCCCCAATTCTGCTTCCCCACCATCCACATCCTCTCCCGAAATGCAGTTTCTGCGTCTTCACTGACATGGTCCTCCAGAAAGCAACAAAGACTACCTTCTAACCACTAAATCCAAGGACTGTTGCTCTTTTCATCTTTCTAAAAAATGACAGCAGTATCTGATGCTGCTGACCAAACTCCTCCTTCCAGCGGATTCTTCCTGAGCATCCAGACTCTTGGTTTTCCCCATACTTCTGATCACCCTTCTCCTCCCCTGTCCTAAACTGCATCTTTCCAAAGGTTTATGCTCAGGTCCCCATCTGCAGCCACGACTGCCTGTGAGTATTCTCTGGTAGGCTGCCCACCAGCAACTGAACCTGGCCAAGATGGAACTACTCTTCCAACTGCCTCCTCTTCATATTTTTTTTTTCTTTTTTTTTGAGACAGAGTCTTGCTCTGTCACCCAGGCTGGAGCAGAGTGGCACAATCTGGGCTCACTGCAAGCTCCACCTCCCAGGTTCACACCATTCTCCTGCCTCAGCCTCCCGAGTAGCTGGGACTATAGGTGCCCACCACCATACCCGGCCAATTTTTTATATTTTTAGTGAGACAGAGTTTCACCATGTTAGCCAGGATGGTCTCGATCTCCTGACCTCGTGATCCGCCCGCCTCGGCCTCCCAAAGTGCTGGGATTACATGCGTGAGCCACCACACCCAGCCTCCTCTTCATATTTCTAACTACCATTAATGGCAACACCAAGATTCGATTCCACAGGGAGCAACTATTGAAGGATTCCTTTCCCTTACTGTCTGCCTCCCCTCCTCCAAACCAGTCTCAAGGACCAGTTCACCTTTCCTCACAATGTCACTAGAATCTACCACTTCCTTTCATTCCCACTGCACCTTAGTGCGGGCCTCCTTAAACAAAGTTTTAACTGTTTATAATTATAATCTGCCCTTAAGAAAGGCCAAACAGGAAAAATCACTTCCGTAGGAATCCCTTCCTGACCCCACTGTGATTCTATCAGGTTCTCTAACTCATAATGTATGTTTCATTCATGGCATTTTCCACAACCATACTTTTACATTTGGATAACTATGTATTTAACGCCTTGTTCTCCAATCATGAGAAGGAACTGTCTACAACTCCCAGCACATGCACAGATGGAGTTCAAGACACATTCAAAGAAAGGAAGCAAAGAATGGTGCTAGTGGTTTCTTTTCTTTTCTTTTCTTTTTTTTTTTTTGAGATGGAGTCTCGCTCTGTCGCCCAGGCTGGAGTGCAGTGGCACGATCTCAGCTCACTGCAAGATCTGCCTCCCGGATTCAAGCAATTCTCCCACCTCAGCCTCCTGAGTAGCTGGGATTACAGGCACCCACCATCATGCCTGGCTAATTTTTTTTTTTTTTTTTTATAGAGACGGGGTTTCGCCATGTTGGCCAGGCTGGTCTTGAACTCCTGACCTCAGGTGATCTGCCTGCCTCGGCCTCCCAAAGTGCTGGGAATAAAGGCATGAGCCACCATGCCTGGCCAAGTGGATTCTTTTCTATCACTGACTATTGTTTCCACATACTGTGATTATAACAAATTCAAGTCAGTAAATGAAAATAAAAAAATAAAAAATAAAAAAAAGAAAATAAAAATAGATTACTCAATACTTACATCCAGCTTGAGTAGTTTTTCAATAATAAGCTCCAGAATTTCATGCCTCAAGGTTGGAAAATATACACTAATCCTTAGTAAGTTATGAACGTAACATTCCTAAAGGAGAAAACGTAAGATAAAACATTTCAACAGAGAATAAATATTTCACAGTTATGTAAGAAAAACATCAATTACATGACCTTTAGTTTCAAATATTGAAAAAGAAAAAAACAGACTATCCAGCAATACAAAAACTATACTGTTTCTACATGTATTATGTTCGGTATAATCATTTCAATTATCCCCAGTAAATGAAATTTTTAATTTGCATAACTATAGGTTTTTAAGTAGCTGTATTGATAAAACTCATATATCATACAATCACCAACTTAAAGTATACAATTTAAGTTTTTAATATATTCAGTTATGTGACCGTCAACATAATCAATTTCAGAACATTTATTTTTCTTTTAGAGACAGGGTCTTGCTCTCTCTCTCAGGATGAGGTACAGTGGGTGCAATCATAGCTCACTGCAACCTTGAATTCCCGGGATAAGCAATCCTTCCTCCTCAGCCTCCCTAGTAGCTAGAACTACAGGTGCACACCACCACATGAGGTTAATTCTTCCTTTTAGGGAGACATTTTCTCACTATGTTGCCCAGGCTGGTCTTCAACTCCTGGATCTTCCCACTTCAGCCTCCCGAAGTGCTGTGATTATGGGCATAAGCCACTGCACCCAGCCAGCAATTTTGTAACATTTTAATCACTCTAAAAAGAAATCCTACATCCATTAGTGCACCCCTAAAAAATGAAGACCTTGGCAACCACTAGTCTTTCTATGAATCTGCCTCTTTGAGACATTTCATATAAATGGAGTCATATAATACATGTTTTTAGGGTTCAATCATGTTGTAACATGTAAACCATTCCTCTCATATCAATGGAGTCATACACAGTTTGTGGCATGTTTTTAAGGTTCAATCATGTTGTAACATGTAAACCATTCCTTTCCTATCAATGGAGTCATATAATACACAGCCTTTTGGCATGTTTTTAGGGTCCAATCATGTTGTAACATATAAAGCATTCCTTTTCATTGCTGAGTAATATTCCATTGTACCATGTTTTGTCATCTGTTCATCAGTTGACAGACATTTGAGTTGCTTCTACTTGAGGCTATTATGGATGCTGCTGCTATGAACATCCATGTACAAGTTTTTCTGTGGACATATATTTTCATTTCTCTTGGGTATAAACCCAGAAATGGAACTGCTGAGTCACGTGTTAATTCTACATTTAACCTTGAAGAAATGCCAGGCTATTTTCCAAAACGGCTGCACCATTTTACATTCTCACAGCAACATATGACAGTTCCAACGTTCCCATTTCTCCATATCCTTGTGAACACTTGTTACTGTCTTCTCGTTCTGATTATAGCCATCCTTGTGGGCATTAAGTGAAATCATTTCCCTGATGGCTAATGATGTTGAGCTTCTTTTCATGTGTTTTGCAGAAATGCCTATTCAGATCCTTTGCCCTCTTCAGTTGGGCTATTTGCCCTTTTATTATTCAATTATAAGAGTTCTTTACATATACAAGTCCATTACCAGACATAAAATTTAGAAATATTTCCTCCCATTATTTGGGGATTCTTTTCATCTTCTTGAAGATGTCCTATGAAGCATAACAACGTTTAATTTTGAAGTACAATTGATGCATTTTTTCTTTGGTTGCTTGTGCTTAGGCATCAAATCTGGAAATTACTGCCTAATCCAACATTATGAAAATGTACTCGTTTTCTTCTCAGAGTTTTACAGTTTTTACACTTCATGTAGGGCTTTTATTGAGTTCATTTTTGTATATGGATATCCATATGCTTCACTCTTTTGCATGTTCATATCCACTTCTGCCAGCAGCATTTGTTGAAATGACTATTCTCCCCTATTCAATTGTCTTGAACAACTGGTTAGTGTATGTTAGTCTTCTGTCCCGTAACCATGCTGAACTCATTTATTATCTCTAAAATTTCTTGTGTGTGTGTAAACTTCTTAGAATGACATATAAAATCACCATGCAAAAGAGAGTTTACGCCTTCCTTTCCATCTGGATGCTTTTAATTCTTTTTCTTGCCTAACTGCCTTGGCTAGACAAGCAGCAAGAGCGGAAATCCTTGTTTTGTTCTTTGTCTTAGGAAAAAACTTTTGGTCTTTCACCACTGAATATGATGTTAGCTGTGGGTTTTTCAGATGCCCTTTATCAGGTTGAGAAAATTTCCTTCTGTTTTTCTCATAAAGGGATATTGGTGTTTGTCACACACTTCTGCATCTACTGAGATGATTATGTGGTTTTTGTCCTTTGTTCTATTGCTACAAAATATTTTATTAATTCATTTTCAGGTACTAACTCAATCTCAGCCGGTCACGGTGGTTCACGCCTCTAATCCCAACACTTTGCGAGGTGGAGACGGGTAGATCGCTTGAGGTCAGGAGTTCAAGACCAGTCTGGCCAACATGGCAAAACCCCATCTCTACCAAAAACACAAAAATTAGTGGGGTGTGGTGCCCCATGTCTATAGTCCCACCTACTTGGGAAGCTGAGGTGGGAGAGTCACTTGAACCCTGGAGGCAGAGGCTGCAGTGAGCTGAGATGGTGCCACTGCACTCCAGCCTGGGTGACAGACAGAGACTGTCCCCCCACCCCCGAAAAAAAAAATCAATCTTGCATTCCTAACATCAGTCGCACTTGGTCATGGTACGTAATTCTTTTTGTATGCTACTAGATTCGGTTTTCTACTAAGGCAACCACTATTAATTATTAAAAACTGCACAGATGATCTGAACATTGTACAAAAACTTAAGCAGAATTCTTCTATGGAAGGCTTTGTTTTCAGGTTAAAATAAGGCATGTTCACAATTAGTAATACATGAACTATTATCTTCTAGTAATTCTTGCCCGTATGAGCATAAAGCCACTACAGATATTCCGGAAATGAACTCAGACCTTGACTTGCACATAGTAATAACAGAAAAAGGCACTGCGAATCCCCAATAGCCGCTTTATAAGAAAGGAATCTGAGTCAAATTCTTAGACATCAGTTTAAAGTCTAGAAGACAAAGTAACCTTTAAGAAAAAGACCTAACATCAGCCGGGCACGGTGGTTCACCAATCCCAGCACTTTGGGAGGCCGAGGCAGGCAGATCACAAGGTCAGGCGTTCGATAACAGTGTGGCCAATATGGTGAAACCTTGTCTCTACTAAAAATACAAAAATTAGCTGGGCATGGTGGTAGGTGCCTGCAGTCCCAGCTAATGGGGAGGCTGAGGCAGGAGAATTGCTTGAACCCGAGAGGCAGAGGTTGCAGTGAGCCAAGATGACGCCATTGCACTCCAGCTTGGGCGATAGAGTGAGACTCGGTCTCAAAAAAGAAAAATAAAAATAAAGACAGAAAAAGAAAGAAAAAGACCTAATATCATCTAAAATGAAATCATACAAACAACTTTTCCATGATGTTCTCAATGAAAAGATTTCTTACCAGTGTTCTCTCTGATTTTCGAACAAATGGAAATTTTTCCACCAGTATTGGCATGAGAAACCACGGTGCCCTATTTTTAAAAAATTAAATCAATCCATGTTGACTTTACTTTCTAGAAAAGGAATAAAAAGGAAAACTACCATTCTAAAAGCAAATATCGATAGACATAGGAGGCAAACAGGAACCCTTACCTCAAAGAACTGGAACTTTTTTTGTTTTTTGAGACGGAGTTTCGCTCTTGTTGCCCAGGCTGGAGTGCAGTGGCACAATCTCGGCTCACTGTAACCTCTGCCTCCCGGGTTCAAGCGATTCTCCTGCCTCAGCCCCCCAAACAGCTGGGATTACAGGCATGCGCCACCACGCCCACCTAATTTTGTATTTTTAGTAGAGACGGGGTTTCTCCATGTTGGTCAGGCTAGTCTCGAACTCCCGACCTCAGGTGATCCGCCCGCCTCAGCCTCCCAAAGTGCTGGGATTACAGGTGTGAGCCACCGCGCCCGGCCAGAACTGGAACTTACAATGTATAGCTTCTGAGAAAGTCTATAACAACTTAGAGAAAATAAGCTTCTGTTAACTCTGATATCAACAGCAAATCAAAGAGGGAGCTTCTCTCCCACAGAAACATAACAGCACTTTTGCTGACATTTCCCACTACACATGTATATTATTTTTAAAAGAAGAAAAAATAATCAAGTTGGATTTTTTTAAGTTAACAAATAATCAACAGACAGAGGGAACTAGAAATCCACCCCTCCAAAAGAAACCCACAAACCTGAAAAGCTTTTCTTAGAAGTGCAATTTTTATTCATATGGCATGACACAAACACACCCAGGGGTTTCTCACTGAAAAATTTTGGATAGCATATCTGTTGAAGATAAAAACAAAATTCCAACCACCATACAAAATTGGGGGAGAATCTGCATACGAACTTTGAAAAACAATTAAAGAGAATAAATAGAAAATGGAAATGCCACTTTTTGTAGAATGTAATGTTTCCTCAAGTGGATACAAAAAAAAAAAATGCAATGTAAGACTCAAGCTTTAATACTATTAACATTTTATAATTTTTACTAATTGATTACAATTTTCTTGAGAATTAAACATTCAAAATAAGGAAAAGTATACTCATGATGGTACATATCTTGCTATTATTTGCAAGGCTCTGTGATATGTGTCAAAATTTGCAGGAAGATCTGAAAGAAGAAAAGTTCAGAGTATGAGCATCAAAACAAAACTGAAGGGCGACATGCTTGAAACTAAAAATAAATGCTGGCCGGGCACAGTGGCTCACGCCTGTAATCCCAGCACTCTGGGAGGCCGAGGTGGGTGGATCACCTGAGGTCAGGAGTTCGAGACCAGCCTGACCAATATGGTGAAACCCCATCTCTACTAAAAATACAAAAATTAGCCGGGCATGGTGGCAAACGCCTGTAGTCCCATCTACTCAGGAGGCTGAAGCAGGAGAATCACTTGAACCTAGGAGGTGAAGGCTGCAGCGAACCAAGATCACACCACTGTACTCCAGCCTGGGCAACAGAGCGAGACTCTGTCTCAAAAAACAAACAAACAAACAAAAAGTGACATACTTGAAGCTAAAAACACATGCTAACCAAAACGGAATAATTTATCAGAGAAATAATAATTTCAAGACTTTTCTCCACCAGCATCAATGAAAATTAAATGGACTAATTATATAAATAATGCATTCAGGACAACTGACTGCATATCAATGGTAAATATAACAAAAAGATTACATCAAAAGTTGTCATTTGTTGCAGTCTACTTATTAGAATAGATGCCAGGTATTCTGTGCTTTACTTTTTTTTTTTTAAAGAAGACAGAGTCTTGCCACCAGGCAGAGCTTGAACTCCTGGGCTCAAGCAATCCACCCACTTAAGCCTCCCAGGTAGCTGTGACTAAAGACACACACTACCCTGCCTAGTTCTACTTTAAGCCTTTTTTAAGAAAATATTTGAAAAAAAATGTTTTTTTGCAGAGACAAGGTCTCACTATGTTGCCCAGGCTGGTCTCAAACTCTTGGCCTCAAGTGATCCTCCCATCTTGGCCTCCCAAAATGCTGGGATTATGGGTGTAAGCTACTGTGCCCAGGCTTTAAACCTTTTTATACTTACTATCATCTTCATCATCAGAATCTGAAACATCTACATCGCCTTCCTTAATGATCACTCGGGCTTTTGAGGGAAAAAGAAAATATGTTGTTCTGTCATTGATCTAGACAATGAATGGCTATACAAAAAAAGTTATTGACCTAGACAATGAACAGCTATAAAAAAAGTTATTTTTCCATAATCCAAAGTTAGCCCAATGATTAATTAAATGCACAATCTGAAAAAAAGTAATGCAACTTTATAGTTTTTAAATGGCTAAAAATTCCTAGATTTCACCAGGAGTTCAATAAAGCAAGTTATAATTCATCAAACTCACAGCAACAAATGAATCTAGACACCTCCATAGGGGTCATTACGGGGAATATATGTCTACCAGACCTGGTGCCAATATGCATCTGGAATCTTCCATGGTAGCAGTCTCTCATATATAAGGGGAAGGTGGTATTTTAACAAAGAAGTATTAAAAAGAAAAGAAAAGAAAATTCCAAGCAAGCAAAGAGTAATGACTTACGAGGCACAAAATGGGAAGCAATCATGCTGAGACACGGTCTGAGGAAAACAGTCTATGCTGATACAAGATTACCAAGAAAAGCCAAATACTCTTCCACTACTGTTTGACTTCTATTCAACCAAGGCAATCTCTAGAGTGGGGGAAGAAAGATAAAAGCAGCATGTTATTAATATAACATATACTATTACCAAAGTTCTGAATTACATACTTGACAGTAAAATAAATGGTGAACTTACCAATATAATACTGATAAGTTGCTCAAAGTCTTTTGTCAAGTACATGACAGAAGAACGGAATTCTAGCAGCCAGTTGATGATCTGGTCATCCTTAAGTTAAACAAAGAGTACTTTCAAAATCACAAATCCTCTAAGATAACAGAAATTTACAGCTATCTTATATCAATCATTTATCAAGAATAGGTTGGGGGGAAAAGGTCACAAACTTGGAAGGAAATCAAAACTGGGTATTAAAACAGAAAAAGATGTCACAATAAACTTAATCGTTTTAAGAAAGTAATCTAGTAACTCTAATACACAGGAGAAAGACTTAAATGCAATACTTCAGCCTGATCACTTTTGTTTGCCCTGAAAAAGTGAAATCACCTCAAATGTTGACACCTGGGACTTTTAAAAACTGCAGAATTCTAGCAGATTGAAATATTAGAAGATCACAAAGGAACAATAGCTACCTCTATTTCCTCTATATTCAAGCTGACCAGGAAGCATGCTGATAAAATTCAGTCTAGGCTGATCAATTGGGGTCATGAATAAACATAACTTTTCTAAACCAAATCTGTGGCTGAGTTTAAATATATTATGATGTGTTTGTTCTGTATAAATGATAGCCCCATTCCTCCATGAAATATTTTTCAGGCAATCAAATTACTGTTCATAGTAATTGTTAGTGACATGAGAAGAACTGCTAAATTTGAAACGCAAGGTATAAAATACAGTGTCAATTATGTAAAATATTACTATATTAATTATATTCATGCATATATACTGCACAGGACAAAAACCATTAAGAAAAAGCCCCTAATTTGTGGAAGGCTTAGACATATAAATAAAAGCAACACAAGGTCATCATACCTACAGGGATATTCATATGGAGTTATCATTTAGTGAGAATACACCATATGCCAGGCATGGTGCCTGACACTCCGCATATATATCTTCTTCTAATCCTAAGAACTCTGCAAGATGTTTAGTTATTCCCATTTTGCTGTTCAGGAAGCTGAGGCTAAGAACGATTAATAAGCAATCTGCCCAACCAAGAGGCCAGTAAAGAAGCAGGTCCAAACCCATCTGTCTCGGTCAAGGCTATCCTCTGTCCACCATCCCACATGCCTCCCTATATGCGGAGAAGAAGCTGTCCCCTTTTCCCCACCTTAATTCAGCTACTGAGTGCTTACTATGCCATATCCATGTGTCAAACTCCCACAGATCAACCATTTTCTGATGAAATCCCAAGTAGCCTGGCAGTAAAATAAAGTAAAACCACAACTCATTTGTACTATGGTAATTTCATATGTCCAAAACTGTTAAGGATAACATTAACGGTAGCTCACTAAGGCCAAAGGCATGTAGAAAACAAGCTAAGTTAGTGTGTAAATAAAATAATCTATCCTATCTCTTTTCCACTAAAAAGACTGCAACAAAACTATAAGGATAACATTTAAACTGTACCATTTTTAAAAGTAAATCAGGCTGGGGGTGGTGGCTCACACCTGTAATCCCAACACTTTGGGAGGCCGAGGTGGGTGGATCACCTGAGGTTGGGAGTTCGAGACGAGCCTAACCAACATGGAGAAACCCCGTCTCTACTAAAAATACAAAATTAGCTGGGCGTGGTGGTGCATGCCCATAATCCCAGCTACTCGGGAGGCTGAGGCAGGAGAATTACTTAAAAAACTCGGAGGCAGAGGTTGCAGTGAGCCAAGATCATGCCACTGCACTCCAGCCTGGGCAACAAGAGCAAAACTATGTCTCAAAAAGAAAAAAAAAAAAGTAAATCAGTTGCAGACTTTGATGCTTTAGTACTGAACTATTATTATTTCTACTAGCAGGCAGGAACAGTGGCTCATGCCTGTAATCCCAGCACTTTTCGGAGGCCAAGGCAGGAGGAAACTGCTTGAGCCCAGGAATTTGAGACCAGCCTGGGCAACATAGGGAGACCTCGTCTCTAGAAAAATTAGCCAGGCATGGTAGCACATGCTTGTGGTCCCAGGTGCTCGGGAGCCTGAGGTGGGAAGATTGCTTGAGCCTGGGAGGTTGAGGCTGCAGTGAGCCATGATCGGGCCCATTACACTCCAGCCTGGGTGACACAGCGAGACCCTGTCTCAAGACGAAAAAAGTTCTACTTGCAACACTCCACACAACTAGTGCAATTCTTGGTATGTCAAAATACCAAGAATGAGAACTGCTGATACAAAATACAGTGGAACACAAAGAAAATGTCCCTTTGTATCTGGGAAAGGAGGCAGGGGTCAGGAAAAGCTTTAAAGAGAAAGTGATGCTTCAGCTGTCTTTAAACAGTAACACAGTTGAGTCTTTTCTGGAAGTTCTGCTTCTTACAGAAGGAAAAGTATGTTTTCAGAAAACTGAAAAATGTTCAGTATGGCTGGCATGTATAGTGACCAAGCCAACAGATAATAAATCTGGGGAACAAAGAAGCACCAAATAGACCATGGAGGGCCTTGTAAACCAGATCTGTAACTAGAGAGATCTGGAAGTGTGGGAAATAGACTCAATGAAGGAACAACCATGTGCTTAGAGAGAACCAGGGAAAGCTCCATGAAAGATGGAGCCCAGCCAAGAGTGGACATGATAAGTTTGGAGCATCTATGATGATTCTGGGTAAATGCATCTAACAGACAGTTAAGAAACAAGTCTAGGCCGGGTGCAGTGGCTCACGTCTATAATCCCAGCACTTTGGGAGGCTGAGGCGGGTGGATCACTTGAGGTCAGGAGTTCGAGACCAGCCTGGCCAGCATGGTGAAACCCCAAATCTACTGAAAATACAAAAAAATTAGCTGGGCGTGGTGGCACAGCTACTCAGGAGGCTGAGGTGGGAGGATGGCTTGAACCCAGGAGGCAGAGGTTGCAGTGAGCCAAGATCATCCCACTACACTACAGCCTAGGTGACAGAGCAAGACTCTGTTCTGCCCATCCCCAAAAATGAAAATGAAATAAGTCTGGAGCCCACAAGAGCAATCTTGGCTACAGACACAAATATATTAGGACACAGGTAGATTTCAAAGCCATGAAGGGAGATGAGGAGATCACACAGAAGAATCAACAGAGTGAGAAAAGAGTCAAGTTTTGAAGCCCAATCAACACCAAATTTAAGATCAAGAACCTATCGAGAGATACTAGAGCTTAAAGGATCACTGGCCGGGTGTGGTGGCTCACACCTCTAATCCTAGCACTTTGGGAGTCCAAGGCGGGTGGATCACGAGGTCAGAAGATCGATACCATCCTGGCTAACATGGTGAAACCCCATCTCTACTAAAAATACAAAAAATTAGCTGGGGGTGGTGGCGGGCGCGTGTAGTCCCAGCTACTCGGGAGGCTGAGGTAGGAGAATCACTTGAACTCGGGAGGTGGAGCTTGCAGTGAGCCAAGATTGCGTCATTGCACTCCAGCCTGGGCGACAGAGCAAAAAAAAAAAAAAAAAAAAAAAGAGAGAGATTAAAGGATCAGAAGACAGGAGGATCAGAAACACTGAAGTTTTAAGAAGTGGGTGGCCAACAGTGTCGGCTGATACAAGGAATACAAGGCTTAAAAAAGTAAGTCCACTGAGGCTGGGCTCAGTGGCTCACACTTGTAATCCCAGCACTTTGGGAGGCCGAGGCAGGCAGGTCACCTGAGGTCAGGAGTTCAAGACCAGCCTGGCCAACATGGTGAAACCCCGTTTCTACTAAAAATAAAAAAATTAACCAGGCATGGTGGCGGGTGCCTGTAATCTCAGCTATTTGGGAGGCTGAGGCAGGAGAATTGCTTGAACCCAGGAGGCAAAGGTTGCAGGGAGCCCATATCACACCACTGCACTCCAGCCTGGGTGACAAGAAGGAGACTTTGTCTCAAAAAAAGTCCACTGAAATCAGCATGTAAAAAAAAAACATGGGTAATCTGTCAGGGTAATTACTACAGTGATAAGAACAGTGGACTTAAATGTGAGTGAGAAATGATACAGCACAGTCAGCTGGAACAAAAACAACAGATGACAATTACTGCCCTTACTTTGAGTCAGAGACTGTTCTAAGTGCTTCTTGCATATTAGCTCATTGAATCCTTGTTAAGTATTTCCATGTTTAAAGCCAGGCACAGTGGCATGCACCTATAGTCCCAGCTTTTTAGAAGGCTGAAGAGAAAGGATCATTTGAGGCCAGGAGTTCAAGGCTGTAGTGCACTATGATCACACCTGTGAATAGCTAGAGCAACACAGCAAGACCACATCTCTTAAAAAACAAAACACTCCATATTTTTTAAATCTCTATTGTTTTCTTGGTTTCACACAGTGGAAAATAGAGGCAGAGAGGTTAAAACAATTTGCTCAAGATCACACACTGGATAATAAAATTGGAATTTCATTCCAGGCAATCTAACTACCACTGCCATGGTAATAAACCATTCTCTTCAAAACTGGGCAGTAAAGGAAGAATGGTGAAACAAAATGTATTAAGGTTTTACTACATGATAGGTGTATCTCGAACCTGGAAATGCTGAAACAGTGGTTTGTTTTTTTTTTTTGGTTTGTTTTAGCTTTAAAGAGACAAAAGAGTTGCATGCAGCATGGAGGAAAGAGGTAGTAATCTAATAGAAAGGAAGCATTAGAGCAGGGTTTCCCAGCCTCAACACTGTTGTCATTTGGGGCTGGATCACTCTTGGTTATGGGAGGCTGCCCTGTGCACTGTGAGATGTTTAGCAGCATCTCTGTCATTCACCCACTAGATGCCAGTAGCACCCTTTCCTCCCAGTTGTGACAAAAATATCTGCAGCCATCACCAAATGTCTTCTAGGGGGTAAAACTGTCCCTGGTTGAGAACCACCAGATTAAAGTAAGGGAGGACCATGGAGAGAGCAAGTTCTGCAGAACAGAATGGGACCCAAAGAGCAAACTATGTCTGTATAAAGTGGCAATAATTTTGCTAATGATCAAACACAAAATTAATTACCTTTATGTCTGGATCTAACAGCTGGTTCTTCAACAACTCAAAGTCATTTGTTTCACCCTTAACAAGAAGGGGAAAGAATTAAGTTATGCTTTTGTTTCCTGTTTAGTATCAACAGCAAGACTTTTAACCGTACTTTAACATCAGATGAAATTATAAAAGGAACACTAACTTTCACATGTCAATTGCGGATTATAAAATCATGACTACAAAAATTTAAACACTCATGTTAGTGCAGCCAGAGGGCTTGGAAAAAGGAAAATGATAAACTACATTTAGCTATACTTCTGTATTGACATTTGAATATAATAGTTGATACTCCTGCGAATTCTCAAAAAGCATGAGGGGAAAAAACAGCCAGCTCTAATGATCTAATTCAGGAGGATCTAAAAAAGTATTCACTCAAATATGGATACAAATGGATATTTCATATAAACATACGGTTACTTAACATTTTCCCTCTACTGCTGAGATATAGTAGAAATGCTTCTAAACTACCACAAAAACAAAAATCCCTATTCAGAGAACCGGTTTACTGTCCCAAAGTAATGCTTAGGTAAGTTCCTCAAAAAATAAAATGCTGTAGGCCAGGCATGGTGGCTCACATCTGTAATCCCAGCACTTTGGGAGGCCAAGGCGGGTGGATCACAAGCTCAGGAGTTTGAGACCAGCCAGGCCAACATGGTGAAACCCCGTCTCTATTAAAAAAATTAAAAAATTAGCCAGGTGTGGTGGTGCGTGCCTGTAACCCCAGCTATTCAGAAGACTGAGGCAGGAGAATTGCTTGAACCTGGGAGGTGGAGGATGCAGTGAGCTGAGGTCACGCCACTGCACTCCAGCCTGGGTGACAGAGGAAGACTCCAGCACAAATAAATAAATAAATAAAATGCTGTAATTGTTTTTAATTCTAGCACTTGCTAAAGTTAAAAGATGCTTTGTAAATAAAGCATTTGAAGAGGTGAAACCTCAGTAAAGACATTATTACTCTCTCATTATTACCTGTGAAATGGGCCAAGGTGGGGGAAAAAAAGGACACTATTACTCTAATTTTGCACTGACGGCATCATGCTATTATTAAATATTTGATTTCAACTGGTATCTTAATTAATCTTGCTATTTCTATTGGTCTTTAGTATAACAGCAATAGTTGTATTCTGACCTGACCAAAAGCAAACCTCACACATTATCTCCTCTTACCTTTTTGTACTTCAGCAAGACTTCTGTCACAGTTCCACCAAACCGAACAGTTTTTCTTGGGGGAGAATTGAAAAAATCATTCTCTAATGCACGCATATTTGAAATCCTGTGGAACCAAGATTAACAAGCTATTAAGTTCATGAAAATAATAAAAATTATAATAGCCAACCTTTATTGAACCAACATAATTCAGTGGGACTATTGTTAAGGCCTCTTTACTGGTCTCCCTGCTTCCACTCTTAACCAACAATCCCTCCTTTGCTCAGCAACCAATAACTGTCTTCCCACTGCACTTACAGTAACAATCCAAATCTCTCAGTGTGGTCTTTAAAATCCTACATTAATCTGGCCCCCGCCTACCTCTCTCACCTCATCTCCAACAACTTGTTTTACTACAGCCATCATGTCTTTTCTGCTCTTCAAACAAGCCAAGCTGTTTCTCATTTCACTTACTGTTCACTCTATTGGAAATACTCTTTTCCCAAATCTCTACGTGGCTGGATTTTTTTTTTTTTTTGAGATGGAGTCTTGCTCTGCTGCCCAGGCTGGAGTGCAGTGGTGTGATCTCAGCTTAACTGCAACCTCCATCTCCGGGTTCAAGCAATTCTCCTGCCTCAGCCTCCTGAGTAGCTGGGATTACAGGCACCTGCCACCACGCCTGGCTAATTTTTGTATTTTCAGTAGAGACGAGGTTTCGCATGTTGGCCAGGCTGGTCTCGAACTCCTGACTTCAGGTGATCCGCCCACCTCGGCCTCCCAAAGTGCTGGGATTACAGGCGTGAGCAACCGCGCCCGGCCTAGATTTTTGTCTTCATTCAAGTAGAAGCTGAAATGACAGATGTCTTCCCAATGAGAAATCTCGAACACTCCTTCTCTCCCTTCTCCCTCCCCCATTACCTTGTTGTATAACTGAAATCATCGTGTTCGTTTATTTATTGGCCTGTGTACTGCCTTCCCACCCTATGCTGTAAGCTCTGTAGAAAGCAGGGACATTAGTGTCTTTGGATAAACCACTGTCCCCAGTGTTTAACACAGTAAGCAGGAGCTCGATAAATATTAGGAATCATATTACGCTAATTGTTTTACAAGGTTTGCTTCACTTACACGTAGTAAATTAATGAAAAAACATAGCATCCTAATGACTCTGAAAGTTAAACGCCAAGAGTGCTATGGGGGTTAGGGATTTTAAAAGTGGAGCAAAATAAAGACTGCGAAACAAATACGTGTGTCGAAACAAATTTCAAACAAAAAAGATGTAATATTCAATTTGCCATGAGTGACAACGTTCGGCTGATAACCCACATAGCCCAGGGAAATCCCTTCCAAATTTGGACGAAGAAGAGGGAAGGAAGAGGGGTCAAGGCGCAGAAGGCAGTACCCA